>NC_000003.12:63040303-63343333 GCF_000001405.40 Homo sapiens | reverse complement strand
CCATACAGCAGCCACAGTGATCTTTTATAAATATAAATCTGTGCATGATTTTTCCTGCTTAAAACCATGAAAAGCTGTTGCAGCACACCTACAGTACCTAAGTGCCTTCCCATGACCCAAAGCTACTGCATCCCGTGGTCTCTGTCCTCCTCTCCAGATTCAATTCCTTGTTGCTCTTTCCACTCCGGCTAGTTTTCCTTCATCCTCAAATATGCCAAACTTGTCGCCTTCTCTGGGCCTTTGTACTAACTTCTCCCTCTGCCCGAAAAGCTCTTTCTCTAATGTTTTCCATGATTGATCCCTTCAGGCCTTAGCTCACATATCACCTCCTCCGGCAGGCCTTTTCTGATCATCCCCATTTTTATTTTATCAACATAATTTATCATTATTTAAAAACACATACAAAAGAATAAGGAATACTAGAAATAACTTTCAACCCATAAATTCTACAACTTAGAAGAAGTGGATCAATTCATTTAAAACAACAAACTACCCAAAATCAATCAACATGAAATAGACAATCTTGATAGTCTTGTAACCATTAAAGAAATTGAATTTATAATTAAAGAGCTCTTAATAAAGAAATCTCCAATCCCAGATGGTTTCATCAGAAATTCTACCAAACATTTAAAAAATAATTACCATCAATTTTACATAATCTCTTCCAGAAAATAGCAGAGGAGGGAACACTTTCCAACTCATTTTATGAGGCCAGCGTTACCCTGATACAAAAACAGATAAATCCATTACAAGAACAAAAATTAAAGACCAATATCTCTCATGAACTAAGACATAAAATCATCAACAAAATATTAGCAAACTGAATCCAATGATGTAAGAAAATAACTACACAACATGACCAAGTAGGATTTATTCTAGTATGCAAATGGGATTCAGCATTCAAAATACGATCAATGTAACCCATCACATCAACGGACTACAGAAAGAAAATCATATGAGCATATCAATTGGTCCAGAGAAAATATTAGACAAAATCCAGTAATGATTACAGTTTAAAACGCTAAACAAACAAGAATTAAAGAGGAACTTCTTCAACATGACAAACAATATCTACAAGAATCAAGGCAGTGTAGCATGGAGAAAGACTAGGCAAACAGATAAATGGAACAGAATATAGAGAGCCAAGAAATAGACTCACATCAGTTTAGCCTTGATCTTTGAAGAGGGAGCAAAGACAATTCAATGGAGGAAGACAGTGTTTTCAACAAATGGTGCTAAAACAACTGAACATTTATATGCAATATTTTAAAAAATGAATCTAGACACAAACTTCCTAACTTCCACAAAAATTAAAATGGATCATACATCTAAACGTAAAATGCAAAATTGTAATGCCTCTAGAAGATAATACAGGAGAAAATCTAAGTAACCTTGGATTGGGTGATGGCTTTCTAGATGCAACACCAAAAACACAATCCATGACAAAACAAAATAGGTAATTTGGACTCCATTAACATTAAAAACATTAACATTAAAAAACATCTGCTTTGTGAGAGATACTGTTAAGAGAATGAAATACAAGCCATGAAGTGGGAGAAAATATTTGCAAAACACATACCTGTTAAATGACTTGTATCCAAGATACATAAAGAACTCTTAGAACTCCATAATAAAAATAAGTAAAATTAAGCAAAAGATATGAACATTCATTTCACTAAAGAAATTATACAGATGGCAAATAAGCATATGAAAAGATGCTCAACATGAAATGTCATTAGAAAATTACAAACTAAAGGAGCAATGAGATACCACTACATAGCTATTAGAGTGGTTAAAATCCAAAACATTGACAATATCAAATGCTGATGAGAATGTGGAGTAATAGGAACTGTCATTCACTGATGGTGGAGACACAAAATGGTACAGTCACTCTGAAACACAGTCTGGTAGTTTCTTTCAAAGCCAAGCTTAGTCCACTATAGGATCGAGCAATTGTACCCCTATGTGTTTACCTAAATGAGTTGAAAACTATGTCCACACAGAAAACTGTCCACCAAACTGGAAGCAAACAAGATGTCCTTCAATAGTTGAGTGGATAAACAAACTGTGGTACATCCATACAATGGAATATTTTATAGTAATAAAAAATAAATGAGCTATCAAGTCACAGAAGACATGGAGTAACCTTAAGCGCATATTGCCAAATGAAAGAAGCCAATCTGTAAAGGCTGCAAACTGTATGATTTCAAATATATGACATTCTGGAAAAGGCAAAACTATAGAGACCATAAAAAGTCAGTGGTTGCCAGGAGTTAGTGGGGAAGAAGGAAGAGAGAGATGACTAGATAGAGCATAGAGGATTTTTAGGGGGATTAAACTATTCTGTATGACACTGTAAATGTGCATACACGACCTCATGCATTTGACAAAACCCACAGAACTGTACAACACAAAGAGTAAACCCTAATATAAACTGTGAACTTCAGCCAATAATAATGTATTGATATTGCTTATCAATTACACTAAATGTAGCACACTAATGCAAGATGTTAATAATAGGGAAATTATGTACAGAAGGAAGGGGGGATATGAGAATTCACTGTACTATTAACTTTTCTGTAAACCTAAAATTGCTTTAAAAAATAAAGTACATTGGCCGGGCGCGGTGGCTCACGCCTGTAATCCCAGCACTTTGGGAGGCCGAGGCGGGCAGATCACGAGGTCAGGAGATCGAGACCATCCCGGCTAAAACGGTGAAACCCCGTCTCTACTAAAAATACAAAAAATTAGCCGGGCGTAGTGGCGGGCGCCTGTAGTCCCAGCTACTTGGGAGGCTGAGGCAGGAGAATGGCGTGAACCCGGGAGGCGGAGCTTGCAGTGAGCCGAGATCCCGCCACTGCACTCCAGCCTGGGCAACAGAGTGAGACTCCGTCTCAAAAAAAAAAAAAAAAAATACATTTTTTTTAATTAATGGTAGAATCTAGGTGGTGAATGTGTGACTGTTCACTGAAAATTTTTCAACCTTGCTTTATGTTTAAAACATTTTATAGCAAAATATTGAGAAAAAAAATCTTATGGCCACACAAAACCTGTATATGTGCATTGATAGCAGCTTCATTCATACTAGCCATAAAATGAAAACAGCATAGATATTCTTCAATGAGTGAATGGTTAACAAACTATACACCATTCATGCCATGGACTATTACTCAGCAATATTAAAAAAATAACTTGGATAGATCTGAAGGAAATTATGCTGAGTGAAAACCTCCAGTCCCCAAGGGTTACATTATGTATAATTATATTTATATAAGATTCTTGCAATGGCAAAATCATAGAAAAGGAGGAGTGATTACTGGTTTACAGGAGTTAAGGACAAGTTAAGGAAGGGAGATGAGTGTGGTTATAAAAAGGTAGGCTTGGCATGGTGGCTCACGCCTCTAATTCCAGCACTTTGGGAGGCCGAGGCGGGCAGATCACCTGAGGTCAGGAGTTCGAGACCAGCCTGGCCAACATAGTGAAACCCTGTCTCTACTAAAAATACAAAAATTAGCTGGACATGGTGGGCATGCCTGTAATCCCAGCCACTCAGATGGCTGAGGCAGGAGAATCCTCTGAGCCCGTGAAGTGGAGGTTGACGCGAGCTGAGATCTCGCCACAGCACTCAAGCCTGGGTGACAGAGCGAAACTCCATCTCAAAAAAAAAAAAAGAACACAAGGAATTTTTATGGAGCTATTCTTTATCTTGATTATAGTGGTGAATACATGAACCTATACATTCATTAGAGTACAGAACTAAATACACACACACATGTGCACAAATTAATACAAGTAAAATTGGAGAAATCTGAAAAAGATAGGTGGATTGTGTCAAGGTCATTATCTTGGTTGTAATGTTATACTATAATTTCCCAAGACATTAACATCAGGAAAAACTGAGTTAAAAGGCACATGGGATCTTAATGTATTATTTCTTACAACTGCTTATGAATCTGTAATTATCTTAATAAAAATTCAATTAAAAATGAAAACACACCACAAAATTTGTTAATTTGCTTCCTGTCTGTCTCTTTCCAGCAGAATGCAAGTACCATGTGAGCAGAGATGTTGCCTCTCTTTGTTTACTACTTGTGCCTGGGACATAGTAGGTGCTCACTAAAAATGTGTTTAATAAAGACAACTATGACATGTCAACATGTCAAAATAACTGATATGATTAGAGATGTTATTTCATTCATTCATTTATTAAACAGCGCTTTACCAAGCAATATCAAAGCACCAGTGTATCAGGTAATAGAGGTGAATCTAAGAAAATTCACCATCTCCAAGGAATTCACAAGCAAACGCAGCAGGCAAAGATTCCTGAGGAGGAAATGTCTGCCTTACCTAAAAGCATCAGTAGTGTCTCTTTTAGGGAAAAGAAGAGGACAGTCCAATATTCGCTGACATGGTCCTTTACTTTGGCCCATGAAGGAGCTACAACATTGAGTAAGAGTTGAAGGAGACAAGGTAAACCAGAAAATGAGTAGGCATGTGTTGGGATTGCTGGATTCTGAACATGTCCCTGCTTCGGAGAAACCTGTGAACAGCATAGTGACAGTGCTCATTGGGGACAGCATGGTATTTGTCTCTAGAGTATGTGTTCAGATCGTGGGTCACTAGCTATGTGTCCTTGGACAGGCTTTTCATCTCTTGAGCTGCAGCTTTTCTTGGTTGTACAATGAAATGAATAACATGACCTAATACAATATAGTATATAATCATTCTATTAGAATCTGGTCCACAGTTCTCTATTGGCTCTTATATTTCAAGCTGTTGGCAAGGATCCACTTGGATCTGAAGCTTCTGAAAAATACTCAGAAGGGATTTGAATCCAAAGGCAGTCAGATTTCTCACTTTGAGACTTAACTCTATTGCTACCAAGTTGATTGTTTATTTGAAGATGTCCAAAGGGGAAGACAAGATGATCGAGAAAGCTAGACACTCCTCCCCAGGACTTCCATTGCTATTTTAAGGAAACTAGACACCTAGACTTCCCACTACTTTTAATTCATCTTCTCATGAACCTTCTCATGGGGTAGTGACTAGACGAGAAGCAGAACTACTTAGCCATTGTGGTCAAAGTTCAGAAGAAATTCTGCCAAGAATTTATTGGAGGCTAGATTCCTTTAAACAAATAAACTTTATTTATTAGAGCAGTTTTAGACTTACAGAAAATTTTAACAGAAAGTACAGAGAGTTCCCATATACTACCCCACTCCCATCCCAAACACACGGTTTCTCCTATTATTAACATCTTCCATTGGTTTGGTATATTTGCTACAAGTGATAAACCCATATTGGTACATTATTATTGACTGAAGTTCTTGGTTTGCATTAGAGTTCCCTGTTTGTGCTGCATGGTTCATTTGTCAAATGTATAATGTCATGCATCCACCATTACAGTATCATACAGCATAGTTTAACCATCCTAAAACTCCCCTGTGCTCCACCTATTCATCCTTCCCTTCCTTTCCATTAACCTCTGGCAACCACTGATCTTTTTTTGGTTTCTATAGTTTTGCCTTTTCCAGAATGTCATTTATTTGGAATCATACAGAATGCAGGCTTTTCAGGTTGGCTTCTTTCACTCAGTAACATGCACTTAAGATTACTCCATGTCTTCTGTGGCTTAATTGATATTTGTTTTTTATTGCTATAACATATTCCATTGTACGGACGTACCACAGTTTGTTTATCCATTCAACTATTCAAGGACATCTTGGTTGCTTCCGGTTTGGGGATATTATGAATAAAGCTGCTGTAAACATTAGTGGACAGTTTATTTGTGTGGACGTAGTTTTTAATGCATTTGGGTAAATATCTAGAAGTATTGCTCTATTATATGGTAGACAAGGTTGCACTTTGTATGAAACTGTGAAACTATCTTCTAGAGTGACTGTACCATTTTGCATTCCCACGATCAGTGAATGAAGAGTCCCTGTTACTCCACATCCTCACCAGCATTTGG
Organism: Homo sapiens; assembly: GCF_000001405.40. Taxonomy (NCBI): domain Eukaryota; kingdom Metazoa; phylum Chordata; class Mammalia; order Primates; family Hominidae; genus Homo; species Homo sapiens. The sequence continues at coordinate 63,337,362 of NC_000003.12, read as the reverse complement.
CATTGTTAGTGTTTTGCATTTTAACCATTCTAATAGGTAAATAGGTATGTAGTTCTTATTGTTGTTTTAATTTGCAGTTCTATAATGACATTTTATGTTGAGCATCTTTTTTTTTTTTTTTTTTTTTTTTGGAGACAGAGTCTCACTCTGTCACCCAGGCTGGAGTACAGTGGCACAATCTTTGCTCACTGCAACCTCTGCCTCCTTGGGTCAATCAATTCTCCTGCCTCAGCCTCCCAAGTAGCTGGGATTACAAGTATGTGCCACCACACCCAGAGAATTTTTGGATTTTTAGTGGAGACAAGATTTCACCATGTTGGCCAGGCTGGTCTCGAACTCCTGACCTCAAGTGATCTGCCCACCTGGACCTTCCAAAGTGCTGGGATTACAGGTGTGAGCCACCATGCCTGACCTTTCATGGACATATCTTCTTTGGCTCTAGGTGTCTATACAGTTTTTAATTGTTGAGTATTAATAATTTTTTATATATCCTGGATACAAGTGCTTTATCACATATATGTTTTACAAATATTTTCTTGCAATCTGTGGCTTGTCTTTCATTCCCTTAACAGTGTCTTTCACAGAGCAGAAGTTTTTAATTTTAATGAAATCTAACTTAATTTTTTCCTTTCATAGATTGTGCTTTTGGTGATGTATCTAATAATCATTACCAAATCCAAGATCACTTAGATTTTTTTCTATGTTGTCTTTGAGAAGTTTTTTAATTTTGCATTTTACATTCAGGTCTCCATCTATTTTGAGTTAAATTTTGTGAAAAGGGTAAGCTATTGTATAGAGTCTTTTTTTTTTTTTTTTTTTTTTTTTTTTTTTTTTTTTTTTTTTGCATGGGAATGTCCACTTGTTCTAGTACTATTTATTCAAAAGATTATCTTTTCTCCATTGGATTGCATTGAGACTAAATTTTAAACATAAACTTTTTAGATTGTAAAATAGTGCACGTTTGTAACTACAAAGTTCATCATTGTTAACATTTTGATGAATATTTAATTAGCCTTTTATTCGTGTGTATGTGTGTTGTATATTTGAGATCCTTTTATGCATTGCATAATCTCTTCCCTGTACTATCCTGATAGTTTTTAGTTTCATCTTCAAGCAGAAATTCATAGTTGTATCCTCTAGAAAATATTATACATACTCTTTTATAATTATTTTACCTAATTAAATAATGTAAAATTTTCCAAGTAAATATTTTTTGTCACTGCATATTATTCCATGATATATTTAATCACATTCGAATGGTCAGACATTTAGGTTGTTTTTAACATTTCTATTTTCTGCTAAATGAGACATAAAAAAGGAAGCTAATGGGAGGCCGAGGCAGGCGGATCACCTGAGGTTAGGAGTTCAAGGCCAGCCTGACCAACATGGAGTAACCCCGTCTCTATTACAAATACAAAATTAGCTGGGTGTGGTGGCACATGCCTGTAACCCCAGCTACTGGGGAGGCTGAGGCAGAAGAATCGCTTGAACCTGGAAGGCAGAGGTTGCGGTGAGCTGAGATTGCACCATTGCACCACTCCAGCCTGGGCAACAAGAGCAAAACTCTGTCTCAAAAAAAAAAAAAAAAAAAAAAAAGGAAGCTAATATGGACTTGAGTGTGTTAGAAAAGTGGCCTTTAAAGACTAGGAGATAGGCAAGCAAAAGGGAGAGTGTGTAAAGGACAGTGGCCAGACAGAAGTACAAGGTCAAGAGGAACAAGGGAGTATTGTATGCCAAGCGAATACCTTGGTTAAGGCTACCAAGATCAGAGGAAGCTCTCAGGTTAACAGTTTCTCAAAGGCATGACCATTCATTCCTAGGTCATGGCTTTAATGTGCGTTAATTTGGTTAAACCAAATTCAAGGAAAATGGAAATCTCCTGGACTTTCAGGTACAGTGGCTTCAATTGGCCCTGATTTTCTTCACGTGCCAGTGCACCAAACCCAACACTTATATTATTGGCCCAAAAGTACTTGCAGTTTTTGCCATTTTTTTTTTTTTTTTTTTTTTGAGACGGAGTCTCGCTCTGTTGCCCAGGCTGGAGTGCAGTGGCGCAGTCTCGGCTCACTGCAAGCTCCGCCTCCCGGGTTCACTCCATTCTCCTGCCTCAGCCTCCCGAGTAGCTGGGACTACAGGCACCCGCCACCACGCCTGGCTAATTTTTTGTTTTTCAGTAGAGACGAGGTTTCACCGTGTTAGCCAGGATGGTCTCGATCTCCCGACCTTGTGATCCACCCGCCTCGGCCTCCCAAAGTGCTGGGATTACAGGCGTGAGCCACGGCGCCAGGCCTGCCATTTCTTTTAATGGCAAAAACCGCAATTACTTTTGCATCAACCTATTAACAGTTGTCTCTCCCTGGACTCTGTACCCCAGAGAACAGAGCTGTAGCCCAGAGACCACACAGTGCAGGGTGCATGTGAGGGGCTCATTCCTATTCTGTAATTAAGCCTTCTTCCAGTATCAGGTTTTAAAAGTATCTGCTAGTGGAACTATTAGGTTGGTGCAAAGGTTATTGCAGTTTTCGCTATTGAAAGTGATGGCAAAAACGGCAATTACCTTTGCATCAACCTAATAATTTTAGTAGCTACAAAAAAATCAAAGAAAATGCTCATCAGCAGTAAGCTGAGTCAGGAGAGGCTGTAGGAAAATATCAATCGCCAATGTACCCAAGATTCAAAAGATACCCAATAAGTTTCCAGATGTAGGAGAAGCATTTCCTTTTCAGGCAGCCAGCTTGCATTCTAAGTGCTTGTGACTAGTGAAGTGGTCTCTAATCACCATCATCTGCCTGTCCACGTGTGTCCACACACACACACACACACACACACACACACACACACACACACTTCATTGAGACAACTGCCTGGAAATTTTAGGCTGAACTTCAACAGAAGGGCTGATGAAAGACAATAATGACAATGGCTATTATTATGTGTACCTGATCTCTCTTGACTAAATCCCAAGGCAAGCAACCTTCACCTCTTGTCTCACAGGACTCTTCTTTGTAGCAACCACACCCAAGTCATACTCTCTCCAGGTGGGCCACTTGCCAAAGCCACCAAGGTTGACCTTCTGATTTTAAGTATTGAGCCAAAGCCAATTCTTGAGAGGTCTTACAAGCACATAGATTTGCCTCTACTCCCTAGTTCCTGCCTGCACTAGGCTTTTACATGCTGAAGAAAAAAAACATGTAAGAGCTATTCTGAATTCTATAGCTAAACCATTTGCAATTATATAGTCCTGCCCTGCTCATTAAAACAGCTGTGAGCCAAAAATACTTTATGGTACTTGACTGAAATAGCACAGATTATTCTAAAAAATATTAATCACCTTGTTTTAACTCTAAGAAGTATTAAATGGTCCACCACCAGGTGTCACCAATTTCTCTATTACTATAGACCATCTTTTCATTCTTAATACAGTTTGTTTAGAAACTCTCTTAGTAAGACATTTCGGCTTTTAATATATTTTCCTTTGCATTGAATGAGAATAGACATAGAGGCTGTTTCCTATTTTAATACAAATGGATAAAAAATAAATTAGATGGAAAGGAAAAAATTTGGTTGCAGATTTAATTTTAAAACTCTTTGGACTGGTGCTATGAATGAAAAAGGGAGAACCTGGTAGCAAATAAGAAATTCCTGGGCCAGGAATAGTGGCTCGTACCTGTAATCCAAGCACTTTGGAAAGCCAAGGTGAGAGGATGGCTTGAAGCCAGGAGTTTGAGACCAGCCTGGGCAACATAGGAAGACTCCCATCTCTACAAAAAAATAAAAAATAAGCTGAGCGTGGTGGTGTGTGCCTATAGTCCCAGCTACTTGAGAGGTTGAGATGGGAGGATCACTTGAGCTCAGGAGGTTGAGGGTGCGGTGAACTGTGATCACTTCACTGCACTCCAGCCTAGGTTACAGAACAAGGGTCTGTTTCAAAACAGAAAGAAATTCCCCCTGTTCAAATCTGAGCCATCGGTTTTATCCTTTCCTTCCCTTGAAATTGGGGCTCTTCTCTTTGCTTTTTTTTTTTTTAGATTCAAAGTTACAGGATCACTGGGAGATGACCCCAGAGAGGGAGCAGGAGGGGGTGTGGAAGGTGGTGAGCAGCAGGAACTCACTGTTGATTAAGGTTCTGAAAAGCCTAACTGGAGATAGAGGGCAATCAATGAAGAGTTCATCAGATTCAAAAGCTTTCTTAATTTGAATTCAGAAAAGGAAAGCTAAGATGAACTCAAAATTTAAGAAAAAAAACCTGTTTTTGAGAAAGTCTGCATTTTAATATGCTGTTTTTAGGATATGACTTATTATTCTAAGGCAGTGGTTCTCAGCCAGTGATGATTTTTGTCTCCTAGGAGACAGTATCTGGAGACATTTTTGGTTGTCCAACTGGTGGCGGAGATGGGGCAGGGGGATGTATTACTGATATCTATGAGCAGAGGCCTGGGATGCCACTGCCATCCCACAAACTCAGGGCAGCCTCCAAACCAAGGGACCAGGCAGCCCAAAATGTCAACTGTGCCAACATTGATTAACCATGCTCTTGGATAATATAGACTAAAAAGAACCTTGCAGTCACACAGACTGAATTCAGATCCTTGATGCGTCACCAAATAGCTGGGTGACTTTGGGGAAGTCACTAAACCACTCTGGGCTTCAATTCACTGTTTATAAAACAGGGATGATGGAACCTATATTCCAGGGTTGTGCTTAAGACCAAATGATCGAAGAAGCCTGAGACATCAAAAGTGTTCAATAAATGTTTCATTATTATTAAGGTTAAAACCCATCCACCCATACCTTCTCTCTTCTCTCCCTTTCTTCCCTCCTTCCTTTCTTCCATAAATATACTGAGTAAGTAGTCTGTGCAAAGTACTGACCTAAAGTCTAAGGATGCAATAGGAGAAAGGGCAGATAGGGCAGATATATTTTGGCCCTCATGGAACTTACATTCTGATGTGAGACGCAGTCATTAATTGATCAGTTACTTCCGAAGTATAAACAAGTGAGCTGTACAAAGCCATGCAAGGGTAAAGGGATCAAACCTGAGGATGGAGGGTGGCAGAGCACAGTCAGGGAACACTTTCCTGTGCAAGGGAGGTTGGATCTGAACACACAGGGTGAGCTAGGGTAGGGAGTAAAGAGGGGTGAAGAAGAGAAAGCCAAGCCCAGGGAACTACAGCCTGAAGTTTCTGAGGCAGAAAGGAGCATGTGACTTCATAAAGTCCAATTATAAAACTCAGGCATCCTCCACACTATAGGTCTTCTTCTGAAATGTTTTTTCCAGATCTATATGCTCAGCATGTTTTGAAAGGAACATGCCTCAGAAAAGATGGAAGCATTGCCCCTCAAGAACTGCCTACCAGTCGAAGACAACTTTGGGATTCATAAAGCAACTGTTTTTAATCCCATCATTTTCAATTTTTCCCATCTAGCCTACTAGAAAGTAAATGCCAGAAGAGGCATATCAACTTATGCCTCTTCCAAACCTCAGCTCCTGGCACACAGCCTGGCACATTAAAACTCAGTAGATATTTGTTGATTTGTTGTGAGAAGTCTGAGGTCCACGGTCCAATTCTGTGTGACTTTAGAAAAGTTTCTGAACCTCTCTCAGTTTCAATTTCCTCATAAAGAAAGTGGGAGAGTGTACTAACAGCAGGTTCTTACTACTGGGCTGCTAATAGCAGGTTCACATCCTGTAAATAATTTTTTTAAGTTCCTCAAGTAAAAGTGTTAGCATGGACTTATATTTAAGCCCAAGCCCCTTCTAGACTACTGGCCTTTCAGAGTGGTCTTGGTGGAATGAGCTTCAAAGCGTTAGTATAAAGATACGTGAGCATTTAAGAAGAGAGGGTTATGGTATATTACTACTCTTCCTTTTGTTATTATTAGAGGAAAAGGAACAGAACAAACCAAATGGTTTAGCAGGATGAATTGGGACACAGACAAGAGGATTCTTGAAGAATTCTAAAGACTGCACTTGCTCATGAGCATCTAATAAACTCCTGTGGTTATGCTTTATTATCTAAAAGGCATTTATTTGTGGCTGCCTTAGAAGAATTCTGAAATGATAGTCCCAGAAGTATGTTGAGAGATCCTTTAATCCTAGAACGGCAATAGGTTTCATTTTCACCTGTAAACTCTGTTCAGTTTTAAGGTTGCCTGGATCAGTGTGTTGGGAAGAATCCTGAGGCTTCATCTAGATTTAAGGGACACATAATGCAATGATCAATTAGTGATGTCTGTCCTAGGCACAGTGTGGTCATAGTGGTGGTAATGATATATGTGCTGTGTATTTTCTGACCCTCATCTAGGCCAATACCTTCCTTACAATGATGATGAAGAATCAGAGTTCAGTTACCTGTACAAGTGTGAACTAGGTCTAGAGGATAAGATTAGTAGGTCTCTCTTACTGTTAATTTTTTTTGTCTGAACAGACAGTTTCATCGTAGAAACTTTTCTTCCTTATCTAATGGGGCTATTCATTACACGATTCTATAATGAGGTGGATCATCAAGAGCATCTGTTCCATTCCTAGACTCCCATAGCTAGCTCTTCAACTGCAAGTTATACAACCTTGGACAAGTCACTTAATCTCTCTGGACCTCAACTTTCTTATCTGTAAAACAGAAATAATAATAGTAACAATAATAATAATTCCTCTTTTATAGGGCTCATACATAGATTAAAGGAATTAAAACTTATAAAGTATTAAATTGTGACCAGTATATAAGAATATTTTATAAGTGTTTATCATCTCCTCTTTTTATCCCTACTTTGGTCAGAGCTTTTATTTAAGGACTGAGATGCACACTGAGAGAGAAATAGTCTCTCTCTTTCTGCGGTCTCAAGCAGGAAGAATCACTTAAACTTGAACCCGTGGCTGCATGAGGTGAGACTCTTTCTATAAATAAAAAAAAGAGGGGAGACAGAAAGGTAGATCCCCAATTACATCATTTAAAATACTTGATCCAGCCACAGATTGAGTAGGAATTTGAACATACATTTTAAAGTTCTCTTGGTGGTAGTGTTATTTTCCTTAAGCAAGTTTGAGTAAAGCTTTTGACACTTACAATTAGAAAACTCACATGTAGAGGTCTGTCCTTGAAGTCATGTATTCCAGAAGAATGCACCAGTAGAACCTAGAGGAAACTGACCCAGTCCAGTCAACAAATAACTGATTGGATCAAGGACTACTTTTCCATAGGGTACATTTGCTGGAGAAAAGGCTCCTGAGGGCTGAGAGGCACTTCTGAGTCCAGAAAGAGTCACTGAGCTTCTTGACACCAGGCACAGGTGAGCCTACATAAGCCAGAAAACAAGTTGCTCTCAGCCCAGCCAGCCCGAGTTGATGCTAAAATACCTGCAGGGATGTCCAGACCCTGGGAACAAGGGGTTACATGCTCTCCTGTACACAACCTGATATCAGAACACTGTGCTGTGATATTTACTTTCCTCCTTTAATAAGGGGCAGATAAGAGAGGCAGCTGCTAGGCCAAGCAAAGGACCCCTTTGTGGGTAAAACCCAGAGGTACCTGGACAGCGAATTTCTAGTCTTGAGTCCTGGGTTAGATGAAAAAATTGATCTCATCCTCGAATTAGTCTCTATTCTAGCTTTACTTGAGAAAGTTTTGACATTTCTGGAAAAGGCAAATGTGTTCATAGGGTAGCCATATGATTTATTACCCAGAGACACATTCGTGAGTTGAAGGGGACTCTTTCAATTGCCTCAGGATGCAGGTGTAAAAATAGTCTTAAGACGTATGGCCAACATTACTAGTCATCAGAGAGCATAGTCCTCTCCTCAAGAAATGTATTACATTACATTTTGAGATTTTCTCTAATTCAGGGAAATTAACTGGATTAGGAACAAACTCATTCCATTTTCTCCAATTTTAATTGCTGTGTTGTGATGTCTTGGGTGAGGGTTTGCATTGCAGGTTGGTTAAAGGACTAGATTTAGATTCCGGGTTCAAATCCTGGCTCAACCACTAAACAGCTGTGCCACTTTGGGGTAGTTACCTCTCTGTGTCTCAGTTTTCCCACCCGTAAAATAGGGCTAAGAAGAGTAGCTACCCCATTAAATTGCTGTGATAATTAAACTATAATGTAGGTTAAGTGACCAGCTTTGTGACTGATACATAATAAACTCTCATAATAAAATAATGTATTAAACATAAATATTATTTTTAATATTTAAACAATGCCATGTTGTCACTTGAGAGGCAGTTTGCTGAATAGTCAAATTCTTTCATTTGTTTACGTGGAGAGAAAGTGTGTTTTTCTTGGCTCGTTGATAATAGTTATTACTTTTATACCACCTAAGAACTAGGAGACTGCTCCTATTTTTAGAACTGTGATAGCTGAGATAACTCTCAGGCTAGATTTGACTTATAGATTGTATTCAAATAATTCAAATAAACATATTGTGCGATGACTAGTGTACAGCTTTTTCAATAACTGCTGGAGATGTGGCGGTCAATTTGAGAAAACAGGTCCTGACCTCTCATGGACATTATAATCAATAAAAGGTAGAAGAAAATAAAGCCACCACTGTAATACTCGTGTTTAAACAGAAGCCACCAATAAATGTGGCAAGTTTATTTAGCCATAGTAGATTCAAGTACCAGCTCTGGGGAATTCAGAGCTGTGGCCCCCAGGTTCCTCTGAGGTCACATCAACTCTCCAATTGGATGTTTATTTTTCAGGTCCACAGTGTCCAGGCATCCACAGCTCTCCTGCTAAGCCCCAGAGCACTGCATTCTTCCCAGGGCTGCTGGCTACTATTCTTAGTCACCAGCAATTTTGCTTTTATGTTCATTGCCTTGTGCATTTACAAAACACATGATTGTGAGTCAAAGCCAGGGAGACAGGCATGTTAGGGGAACTGGGGCCTGGAGCACTCAACCCAGTGATTAAACTCCTAGATCACACTGGTACATTATGAATTCCTTCTTTTAAATATAGACCAGTCTCATTTGATATGAAATGGACTGACTCAGGCTAGCAATGCTAAACAGGTCACCTAATTGTGGGGAAATGTGCAGCCTGAATACAAGATTCTGGACATTCCCAGAAAGGGAGATGAGGCTCTGAGCTTTTGCAACCTGAGGATAAAGGGAAACCTGAGAAGGCACTCTCATTTTGTGAATATCACAGTTTTTCTGAGAGTGTGTTGAATTTTTTTTAATGGCTTAGTACTGAGCATCTTGAATTATATAACTGGTCTTGTGGTAGATGTGAGATTTGTAGAATTTCTTAAAAGTCATGTTAAAACCTAATCATGGGGACACTAAAATGTATTTTAAATTCAGCATATGTGGCATTCCTCATTTAAATAATATTTTGCAATTTATGCCCAATTAATTTGCTAACAATATTTACTTTGTCCTGCTTTTTCCATCTGTGCCTCTCCTGATCCTTTTCACACATTGCCTTTTTTAAGGTGAATTTCTTGATATATTACATACATGCAGAAAAGTGTAAAACAGCTCAATGAATTTTCAGAGGGTGAACACACCTATTACTCAATCCCTAGATCAAGAAATAATATATTATTGGAACCCCAGAAGCCCCTTCCTTAACCTCTAACCACCAAAAGTTAGCTACTGTCCTAACTTCTAATACCACAATGTGTTTTTTAAAAATATTTTTGAACACAAATTGAATTATATATTGTACTGTCTTTTGTATCTAGTTTCTTTTGCTCAGTTTTTTTGGGTGAAATTCATTCATGTTGTGTAAACTCATAGTTTGTCCATTCTCATCACTGTAAGTCAAATGCATAAATATACCAAAATGTATTTGTTCATCATGCTACTGATAAGCATTTGTGGCTTTATAAATTCTGTTATGAACACACTTATTTGTGTCTTTTGGGAAACATACCTAAGAATGGAATTGTTTGGACATAATACATTTATAATACATATAGCTAGATATAAACACACATACACAATACATAAATAGGTATTACATGTACCACATATACATGATAACATATATGTACATTTCATTTCAACATATACATATACCCACTTTAGTAGGTACTGCTGAGGTTATCCAAAGTTATATCAATTTACACTCCTACCAACAGTGTAAAAAAGTTCTAGTTGTTCTATATCCTTGCTGTCACTTGGTATTGTCCTTTTCATTTGGGTTATTTTGGTGGGATCACATTTTCTTTTATAATGTATATATTTATCTCCATTCTACTTTACACTTCCTTCATTGCCAATAACTATTTCCCCTCCCAATTTGCACTAATGATTGCAACTTTTACATAGTTAGTAATTAATATATATCTAGTCACTAACAAAATGAAACAGGAAATCTAAAAGTAAAGTGTCAGTGGTTCATTTTTTTTTTTCTATGAGGAAAGTAGTCTTTTAATGGATTGAGAAAGTATTATTATTGGCTTTGGTAAAATTTAGGAACATGGAAATGAATCTGATGGCCATTGAAATTAAGAACATTTCCAAATTACACTTCTTAAAATTTGCCCAATGTAAACTTAATTAGAAAGAGTACAAGCACAACCCTTCAATTACTTCCATGAGTTACTAAGTCTGATTCTTACCAGGAACTTGGCTTTCTTTTGAAGATTTCAAAGTTACCAGCAATCACAACTCCCTTTCTTGGTGCTGCTATTTAACAGAGAGAGAAACTGATAAATAATGCAGAAGACACTGATTTCAGGCCATCACTATGAGAAGATAGAAGACCAAGGACCAGCATCTGGCTTCTGGGCTTCTAGATAAGACTGGACACTCAGTGATCTGGAATGAACAAAGTATGATTCCAACCAGTGGCCCTCTGGAGTTCCTTTTTATATATAAGGAATGGTGATGCCCATTGCAATCTCAGTATAATCCTATTTGTTACGAAGGAGACCTTCCCAATGCAGACATGGCTTCATTATTGTCCCTAACAGCTGGTGATGGAAGAATAAAGTAGACTTATTGTAAGGTATTTTGATTCACACACAATCCCTTATATATAACCTGAGAAATGAATACTAAGTGAGGTCCTGTGGCCAGCTTCAGCCTCTGCTGTCTGTTGGGTGTTGGTTAAGAGCTCATCCTCCACAATCAGGCAGATATGTCCACACTCCTACACTGCCATTGACTTCAATGGGATCTTTAACATGTCCCTTAACTTTTCTAAGCCTCATTTTTCTCATCAATAAAGTCATCATTCCTGCTACCAAGAGGTGCTGTGAAGATCAAATAAGATCATGTGTGTGGGTATGGCAAACTTGAATTGTCAACCAATTTCTTCTTTTATTCTCCCACCTCATCCTCATTCAAGCAGAGAAACATGGGGTCACCATTTGCTCTGGGACTGGGGTTCTTCAGAAATGGACCAATGAATAAAAATGACAATTTCTCATCTTCTGGTTCTATCTTGGACATGCAGGGATGTGGAGACAGAATGAATCCACTTTTATAGCCCACGTCTCCTAGAGCCCCAGAGTGTTGTGGAGATGAGGTACCCAAAGCTTCCCTATCTTCAGCAGGAAGTGAAAGCTAGTTGAGAAGGAAAGATGCATGGGCTTGCACAGGGTCCAGTTGTGGGGACAAGGAGCTCTGTGTCAGATGTCAGCTGTGTGGATGGACAGTTTCCACCGAGAATGATGGGAGGACAGACATTACTTTCCAAGGTTACCTAAGCCAGGAGTCAAATGGGGACAAATCCAAACTGGGAATTTGCTCAGTCTCCATTTGGAGTGTGTTGAAATCTGACTAAATGAATTTACACTGAGTGTAGGAGGCCAGCAGGGGCCCTGCCAGGTCCAGATGGAGAACCAGCTAGCCACTCCCTACTGTCACCAGGTTGGCACCTCAGTAAGATCCTGGGCTTAGGATCTTTCCTGGGTAGAAAGGGGGAATAAATTGGAGAAGGTGAATATGATTACATTTTGTACCTGAGTGACTAACACATGCTGCATCGGACCTTTCCTGAGAGTGTGTAGATGATGTTCTGACCACTAGGTAGGTTGTAGGTTCAAATTATTTTATTAAAGAAACTAATGAAAATTATGTTTCTTGTGTACCCCAAGTGAGTGATGCTAAGAATTCATACCTATTACATGTGAGCAAATGCTTGGTACATGTGAATGGTCATTACTATTATCTGCAAGATCTAATTAACGTTCTGTCTCTTGTCACCTAAGAATTAAGTTGTAATTACAGTGGCTGTTCTGCCATACTATAAATAATTTCTACTAATACTATACTAGCAGAGAATTTTTCAGCTTCTAACCTGTTGGGAGAAGAGGATATAAATGCAGAAGGCTCACCAGATGGCCTCATTAAAAAACAACTCTGATTTTCATAAAGCATTCTTCACCATTCTCAACCTGAGTTAGTGTAACTGAGGCATTATGAGGGAAAAATGCCTTGAGAGAATCAGAAACTCTCAAAGAAAATTTTCTGATATGTTCATAGGAAAACATGTGCCTCTTGCTTGTGGTATTTGTTGTGCTCTCTCCTGAGGTCCGTGTAGAACAGTCAGTTACCCGTCACCATCTGGCCAGGCTAATTCTGGGTGGCTGCAGCTGCAACCCAGTGTCTGGTAATCACAGCTCCAGGTCCTCTCCATACTAAATAGCTAGCTCAACTTGCTGCCTGGTGAGCAGATTCCACTGCAGGCAGCTTCCCTTTCTAGTAGGAGATCCAGATTTCAAAGCACCAAAGAGGACTCTTGTAATTTATAAACCCAATACTATATATTTCCTTTCTCTCCTCTTAGTAGTCTATATTGGGCTTTCAAGACCACTCACCTGGACCACACATCTCACTGGATAAGTCGTCTTACATGGACTGGTGCAGTAGTCCCATAATTGGTCCCTCTGTTCTGATTTTCCATTCTATAATCTATCTTATGCTGATTCCAGATTAATCCTCCAAAAGCCCAAATCAAGCCATGTCACCTCCCAGCTCACAAACTTTCAGTGTTTCCCCGTTGGCTACAGGATAAATGCAAATTTCCTGGCTTAGCCTTCAAGGCTCTTTATTGTCTGATCCCAGTCTTGAGAAGCCATACATTGTAATGGTTAAGAGTTCAGGTTGAGGTCACTGATACTAGTTCAAAGCTCAGGTTCTCTGCTTTCTTAATATCTTTTCATCAAGGTGGCCACTCTTTCAGTTCACTCATCTTAAAATGAGATTAATAATACTTACACAACTGTTGTAGGGATTGAGTTAAATAAAAATAATTTGCCTAGTACCTTTGCACTGAAAATACTCATTAGACACAAGTGACAGTTACAATAATTGCAATTAAATTTTCAGCATCATTTTTCATTATTGGCCAATATTCCAGCTGCCATGCTTATTGAAGCAGTATACTATAGGTGGCTAAACATTAGGACTTTGTAATAAGACTGAGTTTAAATGCTGACTCTGCTACTTATTGTGCAAGTTGGGCAAGTTATTCATCATGCTGGGCTTCACTGTCCTTCTCAGTAAAATGGAAATAATAATAACTGCCTCATGGGAATGTTGTGAGTATTAAATGAGAGAATGCATGTGAAAAACAACAATTCTTGGAACAAAGTGCTAAGGAAAAGTAAATATAATTTCCTGTCCTATTATCACCTTATTTTAATATACTCTCTTTGAATGTACATTTTAAATTTTATTTGCATTTTTGCTTTTGTTTTTCTTTTCTTTGTCTATTCTAGAACCACCCTATAAACCTTACTCTTTTATTTGTAATTCTCCAGGTCCTACAGTCTTTGAACTCTGATCAAATGCTCAAGTGTTTCCTTCTCCAAAAGTCTTCCATCATGTCTCAGCAAAAAACAATGCCAAAAAAAAATTATTTGGGGAGTATAAAGAAGTACTTTCCAACACACCTGAGATTTTCTGGCCTGTGTATGTTTTATCTTATCAACTAAGTAATGAAGTTCAAGGATTTAATCTTCATATTAACTCCATAGTAGAAACTCAATAAATGCCTGTAGAATTGAATAAATTTCATCCAGTTTTCCCTCTCCCTTTTTGCCATAAGGCCCAGAAATTTAGGAATTAAAGCTGTGAAGTGGAAAGAAAGAAGGTTGGCTTTCCATTGGAAAGTGGATCAGTCCATAGCATTACCTTTGGCTCTTTCTTATTTCCTCTGGGGCCAGTTTTGAGTATTATGCCCTTATGAGAAAGGATTGTTGACTCAAAAGCGCTCAGTTGGGCAAGAAACAAACATCAAAAGCTCTTCCCCAGCAAACTCCACAGTCACTCTGCAGCTTGAGCCCTGCTATTTTCAATTTTACTGATGTGCTTAAACTAGTCCTGCTTTGTGCCTTTTCTGAATCTTGAAAAAGAGGCCTCTTGGGAGCTTAAAGTCTTATCTTCTACTCTTATCATGGCTGTGCCTACTGGAAGAAGCTCTCACTGGGCAACCCTCAATAAAAAGCCTCTCCCTGTCCCTTAAGAAAATGTCTAAGCAGGAGAAATGCCCTATAGCACAGAGAGCCCTTAGAGGCTGCTGCATTCTTGATTTTGTAGTCTCTTCCATAAAATTTTACTCTCAATGAGTGAGTGGGTCTTACATAAGAACTTACAAATTCCTTTGTATATGTTTACATTTGCCTCAATGATGAGGTTCTCAAAGGCAGAGGACTGAATGTCTTTGGCCCCACACAGACCTAAGCTCCAAAACTGGAAGGTCGAATGATTGTGAACAAGTGACTTTGTGTCTTTGTGCTTTAGTTTTTTGTTTGTAGAATGGGGACAGGACCACCTAAGTCACAGAATCATTGTGAGCATTAAAGACCTGAGACCTTTACATAAAAGCCTCCATATAATCAGAAATACTTTTAATTAATTTACATTTGTGAAGGCAGTATAGGCTAGTGGTCAAGCGTATACATTTTTGGTAGCAGGCCAACCTGGATTTAAGCCCTGACTTACTCACACTAAACTATGTGACTTCAGGAGAGCCATTCACCTTTGTGCCTTTGTTTCCTGATCTGTAAAGTGGAAATAACACCACTCCATGAACATCTATGGGAGATTAATAAGTTTGAGAAAGTAAAGTGCCTAGCACAGTACCTAGTCCACATGTGGCACTGAAATGTGTATGTCTTCCTCCTCTGTTTATATGCATTATTTCTCCAGTATCTACATTGTGCTTTACAAACTGTATGCTCATCACAAAAGTTGCAAATGAAAACTCTATATTCCTGTAGGCACTAATGCAGAACATTGCTGCACACCCTCCATCAGTGTTGGGTGTCATCCTATTCCTCCATCAGGAAGCTTTTCCTAACATTCTGGCCAAGCAGGGACATTTCAAGAGGCTGTTTCTCCTCACTTACTGTTGCAATAGACCTAATTGGGCTGGTAACAACAGTGGACTCCCTTGGTGACAGAAGAGTGGTAAACACCCAAGAGGAACAGTTACAATTTCAAACTTGTAAGAGCTGAGAACTGCTAATTTCCTGCCAGCAAGACTGACATGGCTGCTTTTTAGTTGACCTCTTCAAGGGAAACCTCAGAAGGCCCATTGGGAGCTTTATAATGTACGGTGCAAAGAGGCCCTGAACTGATTTTGTTCAAGGGGAATTTTATTTGTGTTTATATTGGCTACTCATGTGGAGAGGTGTTTGTAAACACACAGAGAACTTCTGTGCAAAGACATGAGGTTATAATTTCAGACTTTACTCCCTAAAGGAGGAACAGAGAGCATTATCTGTGTCTCTATGTGATATTGAATAATAAGCACCTGCTATGTACTAAGCAATGAATTGGGTATTCAGACTATAGAGAGAATAAAGTACAGACTCCATTTTTAAGGAACTGGCCAATTTACAGGGGATATTGACACACATGGTATTCTGTATTCAGGGGCTTAAAATTAATTGCTCTTTCTTCTGTGCCCACATATAACTTGACTTTCATAACCCGCATAATAACAGTAATCACATTATTCTATTCCAGAAATAGAGATCAGTTTTTATGGGAATATTTGACCCTCACAATTCTCAACAGAGCAAGAATAGAGAGAGAATAAAACATACTTTCTTCTTTGGACTTTTCTCCAGTATCCACATGTTCTACTATAAAAAATGTTTACTCTTATACTAAGATGATAAATAAAAAGTGCTATTGTAGTTAAAGGTCAGAAATGGACTAAGGCCCTTGAAGTCATATTTTGGCAAAATGAAAATGCTACAATAAAATATTGATATTTTCTAAAACTAAGTTTAAAAGTACGTAAGGTCCTCCCTTTATTTGAAAGAAATATCTTGGGGGTATAAACTAAAATTGTAGTCTAAATACTTAGGCTGCCCTAGGTTAAGAATGACATCCATGTCTAGCATGCTTATTCAAATGAATGCTCCTTGTTGTCCTTGATTTTTCTGGAATACATATTTTCTAGCACTGTTAAGGCTTCTGGCTTTCAAAAATTAATAGATTGACATAATCAAAGGCAGAGGAAAGAGAACAAGTTTTCGATGATAATTTATTTGAGATGGCAGTGTTTCTGAAAAACTGAGTAGTGTAACTTCATTTCACAGATAACTCAGAACATGAAGGCCACATAGTAAATCACAAAACTAAGATTAAAATTTGTATCTGCCCCTCAAAGTGGTGCCGTTTCCATGAATAAAGTCACTAAACAAATTAGGAATCACAGTTTCTGAAATGTACAAACGAACTGTTAGGGTCTGAGAGTTCTATTACCCCAATGAGTTAATAAAAGTTTATTCATTCACACAATCATTCATTAAATATTTTCAAACTTATTGCTATATGTCAGGTAATTTTCTAATTTCTGTGGACATAAGTGGGGGAACTAGAACTGGTCCCTGCCTTCCTGGTCTAGTTGCACACTGCAGAAGAAGTACTTGGATCTCAATATCAGGCTTTTTAATTTTTTACAAGGTGTGGCTTTACAATGTTCCACTAAAAAACTGAATATAGCTTTCTTCAGCTTGTTCTGCAAGTATCTACCAGAAGGAATAGGAATGTTTTCAAAAGATATGGTGGCCATAAAATGATTCTGTTCTTTCTATTTTACCTTTTTAAAGGACTAAGCCTCGTTATGCTGACTTCCCATTGATGCATCAACTTCATTTTAAGAAATTATAATCAGGAAATAGTGAAAATAAATGTAGGCCAGGCATGGTGGCTCATACCTATAATCCTAGCACTTGGGGATGCCAAGGCAGGAGGATCACTTGAGCCCAGGAGTTCTAGACCATCCTGGACAATAGAGTGAAACCCTGTCTTTACTAAAAACAGAAAAAATTAGCCAGGTATGGTGCTGCACATCTATAGTCCCACCTACTCTGGAGGCTGAGGCAGGAGAACTGCTTGAGCTCAGGAGTTTGAGGCCGCAGTGAACCATGATTATACCATTTCACTGCAGCCCGGGTGACAGGGCAAGACCCTGTCTCAATAAATGAATAAGAAAATAGATACATATCTAAATATGTTCACTATAGCCTCATTTATAAGACAGCAAAAGAAAAAGCAACCTCCATTCTTCATAATTAGAGACTGATTAAATAAAGAACAATACAACAACATGATATAGTACTTTCTAATTGGTAAAAATAATCTTTTAGACAATTTCTTTTTAAATTTTAGGATTATTTTTCCTGTCTCTGTGAGGAATGTCATTGGTATTTTGATAGGAATTGCATTGACTCTGTAGATTGTTTTAGGCAGTATGGGCATTTTAACAATTTTTTTTTCAATGCATGAACATGGACTATTTTTCCATTTTCTTATGTGTCCTCTTCAATTTCTTTCATCAATGTCTTACAGTTTTCATTGTAGATATCTTTAACTTTGTGAGTTAAGTTTATTCCTAGGTAGTTTATCTTATTAATATTAGTTGCTATTGTGAATGGGATTACTTTCTTGGTTTCTTTTTCAGATTGTTTGCTGTTAGCATGTAGAAATCCTAATGACTTTTGTAAGTTGATTTTGTGTCCTGCAACTTTACTGAAGACACAGAATAGCCAAAGCAATCCTAAGCAAAAAAACAAAGCTAGAGACATCACATTACCTGACTTCAAATTATAATACAAAGCTATAATAACCAAAATAGTCTGATATTGTCATAAAAACAGACACATAGACCAATGGAACAGAATACAGAACCCAGAAGTAAATTCATGAATTTACAGACAACTCATTGTTGACAAGGTACCAAAAACATACATTGGAGAAAGGACAGTCTCTTCAAAAACTAGTGCCATCTCCACTAGAACAAGCACTGGTATCCGTGGCTGAAAGACCCACAGATGGTTCACATCACAGGAATCTGTGCAGACACCTCCCAGTACCAGCCCAGAGCCAGGTAGACTCGCTGGGTGGCTAGACCCAGAAGAGAGACAACAATCACTGCAGTTTGGCTCACAGGAAGCCACATCCATAGGAAAGGGGGAGAGTACTACGTCAAGGGAACACCCTGTAGGACAAAAGAATCTGAACAACAGCCTTCAGCCCCAGATCTTCCCTCTGACAGAGCCTACCCAAATGAGAAGGAACCAGAAAACCAACCCCGGTAATATGACAAAACAAGCCTCTTCAACACCCCTCAAAAATCACACTAGTTCACCAGCAATGGATCCAAACCAAGAAAAAATCCCTGGTTTACCTGAAAAAGAATTCAAGAGGTTAGCTATTCAGCTAATCAGGGAAGGACTAGAGAAAGGCAAAGCCCAATGCAAAGAAATCCAAAAAAATGATACAAGAAGTGAACAGAGAAATATTCAAGGAAATAGGTAGCTTAAAGAAAAAACAATCAAAAATTCAGGAAACTTTGGGCACACTTTTAGAAATATAAAATGCTCTGGAAAGTCTCAGCAATAGAACTGAACAAACAGAAGAGAGAAATTCACAGCTCAAAGACAAGGTCTTTGAATTAACCCAATCCAATAAAGACAAAGAAAAAAGAATAAGAAAATATGAACAAAGTCTCCAAGAAGTCTGGGATTATGTTAAATGACCAAACCTAAGAATTATCAGTGTTCCTGAGGAAGAAGAGAATTCTAAAAGCTTGGAAAACATATTCAGGGGAATAATTGAGGAAAACTTCCCTGGCCTTGCTAGAGACCTAGACATCCAAATACAAGAAGCACAAAGAACCCTTGGAAATTCATCGCAAAAAGATCTTTGCCTAGGCACATTGTCATCAGGTTATCCAAAGTCAAGATGAAGGAAAGAATCTTAAAAGCTGTGAGACAGAAGCACCAGGTAACCTATAAAGGAAAACCTATCAGATTAACAGCAGATTTCTCAGCAGAAACTCTACAAGCTAGAAAGAATTGGGGCCCTATCTTCAGCTTCCTCAAACAAAACAATTTTCAGTCAATAATTTTGTATCCAGCAAAACTAAGCATCATATATGAAGGAAAGATACAGTCATTTTCAGACAAACAAATGCTGAGAGAATTCACCATTACCAAACCACCACTACAAGAACTGCTAAAAGGAGCTCTAAATCTTGAAAAAATCCTGGAAACAAATCAAAACAGAACCTCTTTAAAGCATAAATCACACAGGACTTGTAAAACAAAAATATGTGTTAAAAGCAAAAATAAAAAACAAACAAAAACCACAAAGTATACAAGTAACAAAAAGCATGATGAAAGCAATGGTACCTCACATTTCAATACTACCGTTGAATATAAATGGCCTAAATGCTCTAGTTAAAAGATACAGAACTACAGAATGAATAAGAACTCACCAACCAACTATCTGCTGCCTCCAGGAGACTCACCTAACATATAAGGACTCAAATAAACTTAAAGGGTTGGAAAAAGGCATTTTGTGCAAATGGACACCAAAAGTGAGCAGGGGGTAGCCATTCTTTTTTCAGACAAAACAAATTCTAAAGAAACAGCAGTTAAAATAAACAAAGGGACATTATATAATGGTAAAAGGCCTTGTGCAACAGGAAAATATCACAATCTTAAACATATATGCACCTAACACTGGAGCTCCCAACTTTATAAAGCAATTACCAATAGACCCAATAAATGAGATAGACAGCAACACAATAATAGTGAGGGACTTCAATACTCCACCGACAGCACTAGACAGGTCAACAAAATGGAAAGTCAACAAAGAAACAATGGATTTAAACTACACCTTGGAATAAATGTACTTAACAGATATATACAGAACATTTCATCCAACAACTGCAGAATACACATTCTATTCAACAGTGCATGGAACTTTCTCCAAGACAGATCATATGATAGGCCATAAAATGAGCCACAATACATTTAAGAAAATTAAAATTATATCAAGCACGCTGTCAGATCACAGTGGAATAAAACTGGAAATCAACTCCAAAAGGAACCTTCAGAACCATGAAAATACATGAAAATTAAATAACCTGCTCCTGAATGAGCACTGGGTCAAAAATGAAATCAAGATGGAAATTTAAAAATTATTTGAATTGAATGACAATAATGACACAACTTATCAAAACCTCTGAGATACAGCAAAGGTAGTGCTAAGAGTGAAGTTCATAGCCCTAAGCACCTATATAAAAAAGATTGAAAGAGCACAAACTGACATTCTGAGGTCACATCTCAAGGAACTAGAGAAACAAGAACAAACCAACCCCTAACCCAGCAGAATAAAGGAAATTACCAAGATCAGAGCAGAACTAAATGAAAGTGAAAGCAAAAAATACAAAAGATAAATGAAACAAAAAACTAGTTCTTTGAAAAGATGAATAAAATTGATAGACCATTAGCAAAATTAACCAGGAAAAGAAGAGAGAAAATCCAAATAACCTCACTAAGAAATGAAACAGGAAATATTACAGTTAACACCACTGAAATACAAAAGATCATTCAAGGCCACTATGAACACCTTTACGCCCATAAACTAGAAAACCTAGAAGAGATGGATAAATTCCTGGAAAAATACAGCCCTCCTAGCTTAAACCAGGAAGAATTCGATATCCTGAACAGACAAATAACAAGCATTTAAATTGAAATGGTAATTTAAAAATTACAAACAAAAAAAAGTCCAGGACCAGATGGATTCACAGCAGAATTCTACCAGACATTCAAAGAAGAATTGGCACCAATCCTTTTAACACTCTTCCACAAGATAGAGAAAGAAGGAACCCTCCCAAATTCATTTTATGAAGCCAGCATCACCCTAATACCCAAACCAGGAAAGGGCATAACCAAAAAAGAAAATTACAGATTGATACCCTTGATGAACATTGATGCTCCTTAACAAAATACTAGCTAACTGAATCCAACAACCTATCAAAAAGATAATCCACCATGATCAAGTGGGTTTCATACCAGGGATGCAGGGATGGTTTAACATATGCAAGTCAATAAATGTGATACACCACATAAACAGAATTAAAAACAAAAATAACACAATCATCTCAATAGATGCAGAAAAAGTATTCAACAAAATCCAGCATCACTTTATAATTAAAACTCTTAGCAAAATTGGCATACAAAGGACATATCTTAATGTAATAAAAGCCATTGATGACAAACCCACAGCAAACATAATACTGAATTTGGAAAAGTTAAAAGCGTTCCCTCTGAGAACTGGAATAAGACAAGGATGCCCACTCTCACCACTCCTCTTCAACATAGTACTGCAAGTCCTAGCCAGAGCAATCAGACAAGAGAAAGAAATAAAGGGCATTCAAAGCTGTAAAGAGGAAGTCATACTGTCACTATTTGCTGATGATATGATTGTTTACCTTGAAAACCCTAAGGACTCCTCCAGAAAGCTCCTAAAACTGATAAAAGAATTCAGCAAAGTTTCCAGATACAAGATTAAAGTACACAAATCAGTAGCTCTTTTATACATCAACAGCGACCAAACAGAAAATCAAATCAAGAACTCAACCCCTTTTACAATAGCTGCAAAAAATAAAATAAAATACTTAGGGATATACATAACCAAGGAATTGAAAGTCCTCTACAAGGAAAACCACAAAACACTGCTGAAAGAAATGATAGATGACACAAACAAATGGAAACACATCCCATGTTCATGGATGGGTAGAATCAATATTGTGAAAATTACCATACTGCCAAAAGCAATCTACAAATTCAATGCAATCCTCATCAAAATACCACCATCATTCTTCACAGAATTAGAAAAAACAATTCTAAAATTCATATGGAACCAAAAAAGAGCTCACATAGCCAAAGCAAGACTAAGCAAAAAGAACAAATCTGGAAGCATCACGCTACCTGATTTCAAACTATACTATAAGGCCGTAGTCACCAAAACAGCATGGTACTGGGATAAAAATAGGCACATAGACCAATGACACAGTATAGAGAAACCGGAAATAAACCCAAATACTTACAGCCAACTGAACTTTGACAAAGCAAACAAAAACAAAAAGTGGGGGAAAGGATACCCTTTTCAACAAATGGTGCTGGGATAATTGGCTAGGCACATGCAGGAGAATGAAAATGGACATTCATCTCTCACTGTATAAAAAAATCAACTCAAGCTGGATTTAGATGATTTAGGACTCAAACCTAAGACCTGAAACTATAGAAATTCTAGAGGATAAGATTGGAAAAACCCTTCTACACATTGGCTTAGGCAAGGATTTCATGACCAAGAACCCAAAAACAAATGCAATAAAAACAAAGATAAATAGCTGGGACCTAATTAAACTAAAGAGCTTTTGCACGGCAAAAGGAGCAGGCAGCAGAGTAAACAGACAACCCACAGAGTAGGAGAAAATCTTCACAATCTATTCATCTGACAAAAGGCTAATATCCAGAATCTACAATGAACTCAAACAAATCAGTAAGAAAAAATACAATCCCATCAAAAAGTGGGCAAAGGACATGAATAGACAATTCTCAGTAGAAGATATACAAATGGCCAACAAACCAACACACATATGAAAAAATGCTAAATATCACTAATGATCAGGGAAATGCAAATCAAAACTACAATGTAATACCACCTTACTCATGCAAGAATGGCCATAATCAAAAGAATCAAAAAACAGTAGATGTTGGCATGGATGCAGTGAACAGGGAACACTTCTACACTGCTGTTGGGAATGTAAACTAGTAAAGCCACTGTAGAAAACACTGTGGAGATTGCCTAAAGAACTGAACTACCATTTGGTCCAGCAGTCCCACTACTGGGTATCTACCTGGAGGAAAATCAGTCATTATTTGAAAAAGATACTTGCACAAGCATGTTTATAGTGGCACAATTCACAATAGCAAAATCGTGGGACCAACCCAAATGTCCATCAATCAATGAGTGGATAAAGAAACTGTGATATATATATATATGGATATATATATATATGGATATATATATATATGGATATATATATATATGGATATATATATATATGGATATATATATATGGATATATATATATATGGATATATATATATATGGATATATATATATGGATATATATATATATGGATATATATATATATGGATA
Source organism: Homo sapiens (assembly GCF_000001405.40). NCBI lineage: Eukaryota > Metazoa > Chordata > Mammalia > Primates > Hominidae > Homo > Homo sapiens. Next base: position 63,313,923 of record NC_000003.12, on the reverse strand, counting down.
TATATATATATGGATATATATATGGATATATATATATGGATATATATATGGATATATATATATGGATATATATATGGATATATATATATGGATATATATATGGATATATATATGGATATATATATGGATATATATATATGGATATATATATATGGATATATATATGGATATATATATGGATATATATATATGGATATATATATATGGATATATATATATGGATATATATATATGGATATATATGTGTATTAATTTCTGTTAATTCCTTTTTATGGCTGCGTAGTATTTCATTGTGTGTGTATATGTGTGTGTATACACACACACACATATATGTACGCACATACACACACAATGGAATACTATGCAGCCATAAAAAGGAATGAATTAACAGCATTTGCAGTGACCTGGATGAGATTGGAGACTTATTCTAAGTGAAGTAACTCAGGAATGGAAAACCACACATTGAATGTTCTCACTTATATGAGGGAGCTAAGCTATGAGGATGCAAAGGTGTAAGAATAATACAATGGATTTTGGGGACCTGGAGGAAAGAGTGGGAGCGGGGTGAGGGATAAAAGACTACAACAGTGCAGTGTATACTGCTCGAGTGAAGGGTGCACCAAAATCTCAAAAATCACCACTACAGAACTTACTCATGTGACCAGATACCACCCGTACCCCAGTAAAAAATAATACAATAATAAAAAAAATCAGATCAACCTTTCTTCAACTGAAGTGGCCACTTGAGTTAGGAAGATACTCATTCATTTATTCATTCTTTCAATAAATGGTATCAGTATCTGGGACTCTGTGAGACCTTGAATGTATTATTAGATGAGTGATTGAAATAGAGTTTCTGCCCTTATGAAGTTGCTGTTTGTGAAGGAACCAGGCAATAACAAAGGAACAAACTAGAATCCAATAGTTTCTGTTGTGGTCAGTGCTACAAGCATGTTGCAGAGATATCCACTGAGATGGTCACAGAAGCAGTTGTAAAGGGAGGACATCTAAATGTAGATTTGGAAAAGGAGACTCATCTCACCCTGGGGAGAGTGGAGGAAAGAATATTCCAGAACAAGAGCAAGAGTCCTAAGGCAGGAGAGAGGTTGGGCTGTTTAAAAAACTGAGATGAGGCCAGTGGCCCTGGTATGGAGCAAGCTTTAGGGAGCTTAGTGCAAAAGAGTTGGGTGGGGCTGTGCCACCATGGAAGAGGCAGGGATCCCAGAACACAATGGACAGGTCATCATAAGCAGGATAAGGAGCTTATTCCATTACGTCAGGAAGGAAAGAGGAAAGCATGTGGGTAGACACAGGTAAGTCATGTAAGTGGGTCTGGCTGCAGGAAGTTGAAAGAAATGACTTTCTCTTTTTTTTCTGAAAGTAGAAAATGAGTGCATCTGCTGACAGAAGGGGAAGATGGATGTAGCTGAAGTTTAAAGAGATGTGGCAGTGTTTGAAATAGCCCCACTGAAAAACTAGGGAAAGAGAGAGAGAGGGAACATGAGCAAGAGAGAGAGCTGACTAAGGAAATAGAGATTGCTGAGCAGCACCTAGGTCCCAACTGGTAGGAGGCTGTGAATTTATAGTTTTAATAATAGAAATTTAAGTCTTTGGCCAGCAGGTTATAGAACTGCAAGTATGGTCACTCTTATTAATGTAAAATCATATGCATATATCTTGGAGCACATAGGCAAAAAGGGATGTCTAGAAGAAAATTCAACAACATGTCAAACAGTAGCTACTTAAGGGTTGAGTGTTTTTTAAATGTATACATTATTCTTTGTTGTTAGAATTATTTATTATGACTCATTTCATTGCCGGATTTATTTCATTTTTGCACATTAGAATTTGTCATATTGCTAATGGAGGGGAATTTAGATCATCACAGATTTCTAGGTTCTAAAAGGGACCATCCTGTATTACCCTCTCCTTTAAAGATGAAGAAAGTGAGGCTCAGAAGGCAGAATTTCCTTTTTTAAAGTTTTAGATGAATTAACTACAAGGATGGGTATGTCTTAGGTCTCCTAATTCCTACTCAAGGTTCTCTCCTCTATGTTTTGCTGAGTTCAATAGGGTATTAAATTTAAAATAATACATAGAAGACTATGTTTAATATGGATATTGAAAGCACTTTTTACATAATGACATAACCTGTTTGATGACAATACTTCTAAGTATTCATATATGTACTTATTATATATACACATATGTACAGAAATATACATACACACACAACTTTAAATCCAGATTGCATTCTCTGCAGCAGTGGTCCCCAACCGTTTTGGCACCAGGGACTGGTTTCATGGAAGACGATTTTTCCATGGACGGGGTGTTGGCAGGGAGATGGATGGTTTTGAGATGAGACTGTTCCACCTCAGATCATCAGGCCTTAGAGTCTTATAAAAAGCATGCAACCTAGATCCCTCACTTGCACAGTTCACAATAGGGTGAATGCTGCTGCTGATCTGATGGGAGGCAGAGCTCAAGTGGTAATGCTCATAGTGGTCTTTGGCCCGGGGGTTGGGGACCCCTGCTCTACATTATCTACTTTTATAGATAAAAGCTGGCTAAAACTTTATCTAAATTCCACATCTAGAATTTCCATGGAGAAGTTGATCTGGTTATTCCCTTACCACCGTTACCCCCATTATCAGCCAGTGGTTGTCAGGGGAACAGATAAAATTTCCCAAACTGACAATTGAGATTCACAAAATATATTACATCTCATTTGTTTTTATATTGAGATATTAAAGGGAAAATCATAGCTAATTAAAAACACCCAGAAAGCAAATAGATTATTAACCAAAACAACAACAACAAAAAAAAGCCACCACTTTCTCCTGGCATCTGTTCATTCACTAGTACACATTCAACTTGACATATCTGATTTTTTGAAAAATGTGGGAAGGATACCACATAAATGACATCTATGTGTTTTCTGAGTGGTTTTAAGTTAACAGGACACACTGAGAGTACAGGGAACAGCTCATTAATATCCCCTCTACCACATTGGGATAAGTGTTTTTAAGCCAAGCATCCAAAGCAAGATACTCTTAGGGTCTGAGCATGCACCAGGAGTCTCCTTTCTGATTTCTTTCTGGGAAGCCAGCCCTCCTGACTTTCAAGCCATGTGGTTCATATAGGGCTCCACACCTTGTTCTAGGGCTGGAATTCATATCCAGGTCTCAGCCAGCTAGTGCCCCCACAGTAACCTCAGGATTGGCTCTGTGTTGGACATGAGAGGCCATCAGAGCCACTGGGACAGCATGAATATTTTTCTGAGGCCTTGGAGCAAGGAAAGATATTCTTCCCACTGGCCTTGGATCTGAGAGGACATAGGCTGAGGCTGCCCTAGTCATCTTGACAACATCAGCAAGAATCTATATGAAATAGGAAGCTACACAGGTGAAAGCAGACCTGAAAGACTGAGAAAAAAATGATGAGGTTAAAAGTATGAGATTTCCAATTTTTAAAGATCAAAATTGCCAAATAATTTTAAATACATATGGTTCAACTCAGTCAATTTTAATGACTATGATTTGAACTTCCAACCTAAAGGCGGTTATATCCTTGGACTTCTCAATCATGTAAGCCAATAAATTCCCTCATATGTAGGGAGGTTTGCATCCTTCACTTTTTTAATTGCATAAAAACAATAAGAGTCTACTTTCCTCCTCAAAGCTGTCTTCTGAGAAGAAAACAAAACAAATAAGGAGACCAAAGGTGAGAGAGATGAGAATGACTTTGTCTCAACTATACCAATGGAAAAAAGAAGAGTATACGAGGCAGTTGGGAGGGATTCTGGGGTGGGGAGTTGGAGGCAGGAAGCTTGCAGGGCTTGGTAGGGGGTAGCTCTTCCCTAAACTGAGCTGGGTATGGGGTATCTGCTTGAGAAAATATTTACTCAGCCTGAGGGCTGAAGAGTGGGTACACAGAAGAGGGCTTTAAATACAGTCTGTTGTCATGCAAATACCGTCTCAGACACCCACAAAGCAGGCAGAAGATGGCCACTTTACTTATTTGTGTTATACACACAATGCATATGCATGTCTGGGAAACTAGAACCCCTGTAGTTTGCAGGATAGAACAAAAATGAGGATAAAGTGTGTAGCACAGAGAGAACTCTGGAGTAAGCAGTGTAGAGGGTGCTTCTTGAGTATTCAGCATAGGAGTGGTCAGCACATGCATGTGAGAAGGCTGCCCGTGTCTAGGAGAGGACCACCCAACAGATTAGATGGGGGAATATCTGATGCTCACACAGGGCTGGGGTCACCAGCCAGAATGGAAAACCTGTCACTCACAGGCATTTTGTAGAAGACCCAGAAGGGTCTTGCCTCAGAAGCAGGGAGTAATTAGCACTAGACTAAACACCTCTCTGATCCTACTTAACAAATATTAAAAGTAAGACCTGAACAAATGGAACAATTTCCAAATAATTTAACTAATTCTCAGAATAAAGCTTAATAATATTCATAGAAATTTTTTAACATCCAGAATCAAGCAAGGTAAAAATCAAAGTATCTGGCATCCAATCAAGGATGAGCAAACATGCAAACACACAGGAAAATACAACCCACAATGAGGAGAAGAATCAATTGAAATTGATCCAGAAGCAAAATAGATGTTAACATTAGCAGACAAGGACATGAAAACAGCTGTAAGTGTATTACAGATGTTCAAGAATGTGAGTAGAGACATTTGAAGATAAAAACAACCAACCAACCAAAAACCCAAATTGAACTTCTAGGGGTAAAAACTGTAATTTCTGAAGTTGAAAATAGATTTGGTAGAATTAATAACAGATTAGAAGTGTAGAAGAAAAGATTGGTGAGTTTGAAAACATAGCAAAGGAAACTATCCAAAATGAAACACAGATAGAATAAAGAATTTAAAAAATGAACAGCGCATCAGTGATCTGTGGGACCAATTCAAGAAGCCTAATTATGAGAAACTGAAGTCTATAGAAGGGGAGGGCAAAAAGGAAATTCGGAAAATAATGATCAAAACTTGATGAAAACTATAAAATTTATAATTTAATGAAAATTTATAATTCAATGAAAATTATAAAACTATAATTCTATGGATCAAGGAAGTCTAATGAATTTCCAGGCACAATAAACATGAAGAAAACCATACCAAAGTACATCATAGTTAAATTGTTCAAAGCATATGATGAAGAAGAAAATCTTAAATGCACCCAGGGAGAAAAGACACATTATGTACAGAGGAACAAAGATAAGAATTACAGAAAATTTCTTGTTAGAAGTAGTGCAAGTAACAAGACAGTGGAGCAACATCTTTAAAATACTTAAAGCAAAACCCCTTGCAATCTAGAACTTGATACCCAACAAAAATTTCTTTAGAAAACAAAGATGACATAGACTTTTTCAGACATAATAAGGCTGAAAACATATACCACCAACAGACATACACTACAAAAGATGTTATAGAAAGTCTCAAACAGAAGGCAAATTATTTCAGATGAAATGTGGATCTGTACATAGAAATGAAGAAGATTGGAAATGATAATTAAGTAATTTATTATGTCAATTATATCTCAATCGAGTTGTTAAAAAATAAAATATGTCTAAGTCAATAAAATTTGCTTAAGAGAACATCCATTGAATATCCGCTGTATGTTTGATATTTTGTGTTGATGACGTCACCATTAATTAGATATATTTCTTGTCCTAGAATATCTTATAGACCACCCACAATAAATGAGCCCACAATAAAAAGTTCCAACAATTACAAAGCAAACAAACAAAAAATAGTTAAGTTTCTTTTCATCTCTCAACTTAAATGCCAAAGCAAAATTAGGGATTTATTCAAGTATTTCTTGTATTTAATTCATACCCAGACCCTCTTCTTCCTATTCCTTTTTTTCTAATGTTACTGAAGATTATCTTCCTTTTCTCTTTGTCCTTCAAATTCCTTTACTTGGATAAAAGTCCTTATTCATTATTTTCCTCTAATGTGAGCAAGATTAAAAGCCACGAACTATGTTCTTCTCAAGTCTGATATCAGATCTCTATTAGTCCCTCAGTACCAAATGCAATTAGACGAGAGTCCATGTTTTTTTCTCTAAAGCAGCTTTCTAAATAGGCTTCCCCCTAGGAATCTTTTCAACACAGAAATTCTCACTTCATCTCAATGTGTGACCTCTTTTACGAAAACTTAATATATGAAAATCAAAATTTACAGAACTTGTAAATTGAAGGATGATTATCTGAATTAGAAAAGACTCATGAAAATTTCCTTCAACTTTAATGAAAAAATAGATTATTTGACAGAAAGGCTGAGGTGAGGGGATGGCAGGGAAAGGAAGGGTGGTGAAACTGCCTGCTACAGGCTGACAAAGCTGCTAATTAAAGAGCAAGCCAAGAGGAGAAGGAAACATTGCTGAAATTACAATGTCAGTCAATGCTAAAATATGAACGTATTATTATTACACAGCTTCTGGGGAAACATTAAGGAATGAAGGAATTAAAGTAAACTCAGCACTTTGTTAATAATAGTAGTGACCATTTTAAAAGTGATTTTTCAGGAAGACACTTGGTTTGAATAGAAACTTCTCATTTAAGAAGGTGATAAGGGTGATGGGGAACATAATATAGGAACCCCATAATATAAGAACTGGGGATGGGAAGTCAGACTGCCTGAGTTTGAGTCCTGGCTCATTCTTGTAACTTGTGTGTGACTCCAGGTGAATAACTTACCCTCTGGGTCTCTATTTCCTCATCTGTAAAATGCAGACAATAATTCTATCTCCTCTTCTGGATTATTGTGAAAACTAATTTGGACACTGTAATATCCAACACTGAATAAAGTGCCAGATTACTTTCAAGCACAGTTACATGAGTATATTGAGAAAACTCACTAACGAGAGATGTTTCACTCAGCACAGTGCCTAGCACAGACCAAGTATTCAGTATATGACAATTATTATTCTTATTGTCTCAGAAACTTCTTCCAGTTATTCTCTTTACCAAGGAGAATGTAAATTTTGTAATTTAAGAAAACAAGCACAATACAAAGATGACAGTTGAAAAAAAAGGCAAAGCCCAAACAACTCTATCCCTTCCCTAGACCAATGGATGTGCCTTCCTGAAGTCTAAGCCAGGTTGATGTCAAACTGATGATTAACTTCACCTGCCTCCCAAGTGCAAAACCTTTCATTTGTATGAACTCCATCTAAAATTGGGCAAAGAAACTTAATCCTTTTCAAGGATAAGGGAGAGAGAGCTTTGATTGATTTCTTTGCAGTTTGAAGTCATAATTAAGCATATTGAGTTCTCTGCTAACTTTGATCTTTATCATTATAATGAACTCCTTGGTAAATTTTAATGGACCATCTACAAACTAATTTTATATTGTTTTTTTTTTTAATCACTGGTAAATCTGATAGAAAGAGGCAGGGTATGTATCAGTGAAAATTCCTAGGGATCTGTCAGTAGGCTCTGCTGGTGAAAGAGCTGTCAGAAAAGAAGCCACCTGCCTTAGTACAGCTATCCTATTTATAATGACAGCCTCTTTAATCTTTCGAGAGTGAGGACCACAGGATTGCTTTAAATTCAAACATATTGAAAGGGAGCATATGGAGAACCCTCTCCAAGGAGTGATGCTTTCCTCCTTTCCCCAAAGGCTTTGTTCCTGTGGGCTGCAGTCAGCTGGTACCTGAACCTGAAGTGACACCTCGAATCAAGGAGCCTGACATACATCGATGAGATGCATAAGACAGCAGTCCTTGCCTCCTGGGACTTACAAAAGATGAAGAAGGTACAAATGTTACTCTTATAAGATGCCGTAAAAGAAAAGGTGCTTTGAGAATCCAAAGGCTCTCGGGTTAATGGAGGAGAAGCTGAAAATTTGTTGGAGATGGAGAAGTGGCATCTAAACTGGGCCTTGAAGGATGGGTTAGACACTGGTCGGTGAAAATGCAGAGATTGTGGTGGATGGGGCATTTCTGTTGCAGAGACTGGCATGGGAGGACACTGAATGACCAAATATGGTTTTAACATCTTTAGCCATTTTTCCAGGACTGAGGGATTTCTTGAGACTCAGGACTTTCCATTTTATAACGAAGGAAGTCCATGGCAATCCAGGATAAGTTATCATCCTAGGATATGCAAGAAGGGCTGGAAGGGGTTCTGAGAGTATCTAACAACTCGATTTGACAGGGGCGGAGTTTCTGAGAGGTAGTATGTCGGTAGGACACCTGCATCTCAAATACCTGGGATGCTTGTTACAAATAAAAATGCCTAGGCCCCACCCCTAATGTACTAAATCAGAATTTCTGGCGGTGAGACCGAAGTGTATATGTATTAAACAATTTCTCCAGGTTGTTATTTATCACAATGTAGTTTGAAAACTGGTAGAAAACATAAAATTTTTGTAAGGGAAAGAGTCTAAAACAAAAATCTCTTATATGCACTGCTTAAATATTCAACAAGCTTTCAATTGTTTGGAGTACAAGGAATAAACTCTTTTTCCTGTCATAATGCTTATTGGTTGTCAACTGCTGGGTAACGAATTTGTCCAAAAATTAGCTGCTTAAAACAGCAAACATTACTATTCACATAATTTCTGAAGGTCAGGGATTAAGTACTAGTTTAGCTGGATGGTTCTAGCTCAGCGTATCTCATGACATTGCAGTCAAGCTGTCAGCTTGGGCTACAGTCACCCCCAGGCTCAGATGAAGCTGGAGAATATACTTTCAAGGTCACTCATGAGATTGTACATAGGCTCATTCCCTCCCTGGCTATTGCCTGGAGGCTTTAGTCTTTTGCCTCATGAGCCTCTCCATCAGGCAGACCACCAAATCAGTGCAATGTGGGAGGGGACTGCATAAAGATTTGAATACCAGAAGGTCACTGGGATCATCTTGGAGGGTAGCTACTACATGTCATTCTCAAACTGCACACATTATATAGCTCTGGAAACTGAGGCTCCGACAGAATATAACTTTCTCCACTGTTCTATAAGTAATATGGCAAGCTAGGACTGAAATCAAGATCTGTTTGAACCTCAACTTGTAGAAAATCTTTTAGGTTTGCAGGGATACTGGTTTGTCTCATTGTCGTGTAATGTAATTATAGATTTAACATTAAGTTTAAGATTAATATTAAATAAAATTAATTAATCAAATAAAAGAACAGAAATTTAGCTTCTAAAAAGGCCAACTGTTCATGACAAATTCTTTACTTTTCTTCCAGTGAGACTGATGTTTTTACTTAAAAAAAATATTATGGTACTTATAGTCCCAAGAGAAAGAAAATTTGAGTATTCTGCATGAGTCATTCATATGATTCTCACTTGTGATATTTTTAAATCACAGAATTCTTACTGGGAGGCTCCAGGAGAAAGACAAAAATCTTTTCACAAGAAATGAAAGGTTGTAGCATACCCTGCAATTTAGAGAATAAATTCCTTTGTAGGTTATGCCATTTCTTTGGCCTGGTCTCTCTTTTGCTCATAGCAATTCAGACATTGTTAAAAGAGGAAAAATACATAAAAATGACCGGTGATTTAAAATTTCTTACACACACACACACACACACACACACACAAACACACACACACTTTCTTTTTCTTGCTTACTTAGCTCTCAAGGTGATTGAAGGTCTTACTGTTTGGGGAGCTGGACTAGAATCAGTTACGTCTTTCTTTCTCCCCTTAGTTTCCAAATGCTTTCCCTATAAGAGAACCCACTTGCAGAAAAGGATCTTCTAGCAGTCATTTACAACGCAATATAAAATTAACCCAGCTGTTGCTTTTTTCAAAAAATTTTGCCATTTAAATGTATCACTGCTGCAGAATAAACAGCTTTTTAAAACAGTCCTAGAATAAGAAAAGGAGCAAAGGCAAGCCAAAAGCACTCATAGGAGAATTCATGTGATGTCTCAAGGTAAATTTGGAGCAGGTTTTTATAACAGATCCGTTCTACAGCCCTTGGCAACAGTATGATTTTAGCCCTCAACTGCCCAGAATTATCCACTTGGAGGGTTTCATTAACTACATTATCTTGGTAGAACTCAAAAGGACCATTCCGCTCTATGGGAGAAGAACTGGCAATACCAATGATGTAGCTTTTAAGAAAATCTCACCAAAAATTGCTGGCAGAGTCTAAAAGATCATGTTTATGAAGTGATAATAAATTTTTTTTAAAAAGGGGGAATAGAAGAAACAGCCTTCTTCTAGTATTTTACACACGTTTAAATTTCATAGTCAGAATAAATCTATGAGATAAGCATTTCTATCACAGCTTTACAGATTACAATAGTTACAAATATCTGTCTTTTAGGTATAAATATTTACAGATTCAGTAACTTGATTACAGGTTAAGCTGAAACTTGAATGTGAGTCTGTCTGACCCCATAGGATAAAGTACTCTTTGTGCATATAATGAGTTATTGTTTTGTAGACATATTCATACACATGGTTCACATACTATTTGATTTTCAAAACCAGGGAAGCAGGCTGAGCAGGTACTGACGTGTTCATTTTAGAGATAATACCCTGAAGCTCAGACATGGTAGTGGTTTGCCCAGTGTCTCAACAGCTAGTAAATGGCAGAGTCAGGACCTAGATCAGGGTCTTCTGACAAACAGACTCAGGCTCCCTCCCTCTACACCACCCTGCTTGAAAGAAACATTAACAAATGAGGCACTATGAAAATAGCAGTGATATTTAGAAGTGATAAGGTCACATAAGAGCATTTTATTCTCATTTTTTTTTTTTTACCCTGAGTTCAGAATTACCAGGTAGAATATTTCCAAAGCCAGTATTTCAATACAAATGCTTTGCAAATTTTTGTAACCAACAATCTTCACCTCTTAAAACATATGTTTATGAAAATGAATTCTTCACTGTACTTGCTGTTAATTTTTTTATTTAATTTTTTTGGAGTACACTTGATAATTTAATACATTCGCATGATTTGTAAAGATTGAATCAGTATATTTGGGATATCCATCACCTTAAATATTTGTCTTTTCTTTATGCTAGAAACATTCAAATTATTCTATTCTAGCTATTTTTAAATGTACAATAGATTAATGTAAACTATAGTCACCCTACTGATTTATTGAACACTAGGTCTTATTTCTTCTATCAAACCATATATTTGTATAATTAATCAATTTTTCTAAGTTTATTATTATCCATTAGGTTTGTATTTAGAAGAAAACAAAGATTATTTTTAGAGAAACAAACATTTAAAGACATGTTAAATTGCAGCTATTTATTAAATGTGGCCATTAAATATTATTGGTGCCTTATTTCATTAATGAAAATAAATATGTAAAAATTTTAATAAAATGTATGTTTTACAGAGGACTGTGATATATCATATGCCTGGATAATTTGAAGACCATTGAATTAAAGTGAGATAGAAGAAGGCATACTGAACTTGGAGTCAGGCCTACTAATATTTAAATCCTGTTTCTGCAACTTATAATCCATGTGGCTTTAGACTTAATGGTATTTCCAAACTCAGGTTCCTAAGCTATAAAATAATAGCAACCTCACCAGGGTGAGTAGGAGACATAGAGACCTTCACATATTACCTGGCATAAGGAAAACTCTAAAGTGTTTAGTTTTCTTCCTACTTCTCTGTCTGAAGGATAATGGGAATGGATCCCTGCTGTAAAGCCTAGTTTATATCGGGAAACAATGGCACAACTCACACAAGGAGGGCAACTGCAACTCTCCTAAAGCTGGGGAAACATTTTTTTAAATTAAAAGTTCAAATAAACAGAGGAATAACTGGAGAATTTGAAATAATCCTGAAAGATGGGGTAAAATTTCAACTGGGTAGAAAATGATGAAACGAGATGCTGATGAGGAATGGTATTCAAAGTGAGAAAACAATTCATTCATTTATTCATACGTCCATTTATTTAGGAAATATTTGGGTGCCTACCATGAAGTAGGCATAGTTTTAGGTAATGGAATTGCAGAGGTGAAGTTAACAGACAAAGTCCTCATTGTCATATATTCAGTGAGGCTTGTAGTAAGATTCAATAGTAAGAGTGAAATTAATTCATTTATACAACAGGTGAACTCCTGAATCTTTTTGGCTGGAGAAGACAAGATGAGAACTTTACAAAACCCAGAAGTATGAAGAAGTGACACAAATTAGTGTCATAAGCATCCAGCTGCTAGTTACTGCTAAGCTTCTACAGAAAATTCCCTAAAACAGTTCAACTCTACTCATTAAATCATATGTATTTAAGCACAAGCTTGCTGCCATAGATTTGGAAGAACTGTACAAATTATAATATGTCATTTTCAGAAGATTCATACTTTTACTTTTGTGGAGGAATAGTATAGGAAATTTTAATTGTTCATAAATTTCAGTCCAAAATAGATTTTTCAAAATAGTGAATGTTGATGTAGACATCAACTCAATATGAGATTGTAAATAATGCCTTCTACCCATTTCTTCCATACCAATCCAACTTACAAAAATAGCTAAAGCCTTATAATGGAGTCTTTTATAAATTTTGTTCTGTAGTTTGGACTGTCTTTTAAGTTAGCCAATAGTTATAAACATCTGTCTTTTTAGGTATAAATATTTTAAAAATAGCTTCTCAAAATTCACAACACTTACTGAGGGCCCACCCTATATTAGGTACTGCGCTGAACGCATTTTATACCTAACAGTCACCCAAAATATTATCTAAATATCCAAAGTCATTTTTCCAACTTATAACGGTAATACTACTGAAACAAAATATCAGATAAGTAACAGATGATGAAGGAAAGATTAGTATTCTCATTTTTCCAATGAGGGAGCTGAAGCTCAGAAAGAGATGTAAGATGACATGACTCAAAAGTAGGGGAAGAAAGATTCAAGCCTGAATTTTCAAATCCAGTTCTCTTTTCCAAATCATATTTCATTGCATTTAATAGAACTATTTCCAACACTCTACGTCTTCCTTTGCCAATATGGTTTTTTTTAGAAAATAGGGTTAATTTTTTAAAAATACGGTAACATTTATCCTATCTTTGATCAGATTGTCTAGAAGCAAATCCTGAGACAGATTCTAGTGCTCTTAATTTATTGGGGGAGTGCTTTCCAGGAAATAATAGAGAGGGAAGAAGGATAGAGCAGGGGAAGGAGCTAAGCGAGGATATGGTTTCAGATACAGGCTAGCTTCATCCTGATTTCACCAGTTATTCTAGACTGTAAATTATACCAGAGTTGGTCCCACCCTGAGGCAAGGAAGCTAGGCTTTTGTATCCCAGTATTAGACTGTTACTGGCTATGGGCTACCCCTGGGGCAGGATATAAGCTTGGGGTGAGGTGGTTTCATTCAGCCAAAGGCAATTCTCTAGAGCAGGGACTACCTTTTGGTAGTCAACATTCACAACAGCTGTGGGAGGGAGAAAAGGCTATGCAGTAACCTAGTAAAAGGATCTGAGCAGGGGACCAACAAAGTCCCTCACAATTATTTTATCCTTAAAGCATATCTGAATGTTGGCACCAGGTTGGTGAATATCAACACTATGCTACATTCTTTTAAACAAAGTATGTGGCACTACCCTAGGATGAAGATGATTGGTAGATAGATAGATAGATAGATAGAAGCAAAGAATGTTCTAGAATTCACACTCAGAACTCAGAATATAAGCAGTATTTGAAAAGGGGACCCTGAGTAATAAATTTTATAAAAAGCCAATTGCCAAAGTATAATTTGCAAGGTAGATCTGGAGGCAGGTCATACTCCTTCCTTCCCTCCTTCCCTATCTTTTCACCCTCGCCAACTTCTCCGTGAAGAGCTCTTTTGAAACTGACAGGGAAGCTTGGAACCATTATCAAAAACATATCCAAATCACTCTTGAGTACCATAGTGAATAACACATCCCAGTTCTGTAATCAAGGACACTCATCATTTGCTGCTAATTTTAATACTAAGTACCTCTAATGATTAATGAATTCAACAATGCTAAGTTAAAAACATGGAAGTGCTTCATCCTGCTGCACAGGAGATAGTCTAAAGATTAGTATCCCCAACATACAAATGACTGTCACCACCTATAGAGATACCCCATTTGTGCTAGGTTTTCAATTATTGTGAAACTACTATCATCACTCTTCTGTGAGTTTGTGAGTCAGCATTGATTACAAACTGCCTAGGACCACATTTCCTTACAAAATTTGCATTTTCTCACATTTGAAAAAGTTAGTATCAATGTCATTTGGTTAATATCAATGAGACAGCTACCATTTTCTTTCTACCCATTGTTCCTTCTTGAAGAATCTGCCTTCCCCACAACATTGGCTAACCTCTGTGAGCTATGTTTTTCTGCCTGTCTCCCTGTATCTGGCTGTAGGATCCTAGCTGAACCACGTGATAGGTGAGGCTGAGGTAGCCATTTTCTCTCTCTTGAGAATCTGAGTCAAGAGAAACAGCACTGGGCCCTCGAACTGTGAGCTTAGAATCAGGTTTGAGACAGATACTGTCTTCCTTGAATACAAAAAACAAAACAAAACAAAAACAGAAAACAAAAAACGAAACAAAACAAAAAAACAAAAATTGTGTAAGACCTTCACAGTAAGAGTCAGAGAGATTGGGCAGAGACAAAAAGAGTAGCAAAGAACAGATATAAAAAGGGCTGGAATAATGATGCTAAAAAAAACTCTTCTCTAGTTTTCCAGCTTCCAGATCTTCTCTCCCTCTCCCTATCCCTCATGAAACCTAACTTAACTCCTTGCCTTTTGATAACTCCAATTCTTTCCAATATATCCTTTCTTTTCCTAAGCTATTTTGAGCTGATTATTGCTTCTTGCAATCCCCAACATATTGAAGGGTCAGAATAGATTTATTCTATTTTTTTAATATAAGCTCAGACAAAGCAAGGTGGAGAATGCAGCAACTATTTGAGGAATATCTGTTGTCTATGTGTGTCAGAGAGGGAGTTCCTTCCCAAAGATTTATTCTCTACCTCTTTCTTAACAAGTTTTGTTGGAGGTCTCAATATGCCAACTGAAAATTACATTTTCCTGCTTCTTTTGCAAACAGGGGCAGCCAGGTGACACAATTGTAGCCAAGGTATGTTCTACACCGGTCCCAGAGTCCCCAATGGGATTAAGAGCCAGTTGCCAACATTTTAGATCAAGTACTCACTATTGCTTTACTTCCATTCCCTGTCTCATGTCTCTACTCCCTTACCAGTGTTTCCTGGGACTACCTCCCAAATAAGGTACTTGAATCCTTACCTCAGAGTCTGTTTTTGGGGAATCCAAACTAAAACAGGAGTTAACTTCCACCAGATCACTCTTGACCCATAAGGAATGGAAGTGGAAAGCTTACTGTGTACCTTTTTGTCCCTAAGGCAGAGAATTCTGACATGCATTGCTCAAGGCTGCTCAGGAGGCCCTGTGAGTTTCAGCACACAGGGAACAACTACTCCATCATAGGCTCTTGTATTGGTTTTGTCTCATTCCCTATTACATCACGCTGGTTCTTCATTCCTATTTCCTGGGATCATTTCCTAACAAATTACCCTCATCGGTGCTTTTAACTTAGGTTTTGCTCTCAGGGAAATTCAAAGTAAGGTGATGTATATAACTAGATCACTTGGCAATCTCGAAAATTTCATTTGAAGGAGAGATGAAGATGAAACCACCTTTGCAAGAATTACAACAGTGAGATAAATCTAACCTAACTGACCCCATCTTGCTTCTAACCTCCAAGTTGCCCTTGCTCATTCCTGAGTGTAGGCCAAACCAACAATTGGAGGAATTTAGTTTATAGTTTAACTTTAAAACAAAGAACAAACTCCTTCCTAAAACTAATGATAGGCCACAAGATTAGAATTATGGGAGGGGCCTGAATTCTGCTAAAATATAGGTGTCATTAAATGATAACCAGCTATAGTTCCCTAGCCCGCTTTCCTATAATTCCTTGCTGCTTGGGAGTCATACGGCCAGAGGTCGCAAGGTCTGTAACTTTCCTGCCATTACCAAATTGTTCCTATAGATAACATAACCTAAGATTGGTCTTTTGAGATGTTTTTCAGACTTTCACATTCTGGCAACCAACTGACTCCACCTGGACCCATGACTCATGACTCAACCAGTCCTGTGGCCCCCAGCCAGACACAGATTCAGCACATGAGGTCCATTCACCCCATGATTGCATCTCCAGCCAATCAGCAGCACCCATTCCCTAGCCCCCTGCCCACCAAATTATTCATAAAAACCCTAGCCTTTGAGTGCTTGAGGAGGTACTACTTAAAGATAACCGTTAAAGTATTACCAGACTATCTTGCTAATTATAGAATAAATAAATGTCTCAATGCGCTTTTCTGATAGCTAAACCTTGATGAAACTATTTCTTTGTATCACATAACATTGCACAATCTTTGTGACTTTTAGTCTGCTTCCCAAATAAAAGTATACCATTATTAAAACATAACTATTTTTATGGGATATACTGCTAACAAATTAGCACCAATTTTGACAAATGTCATTTTGCTTCCTATCAGAGACAAATAAAAAAGGTCATTCGTTTTATATTTTTATTTTGATGTTTAAAATGATCTATAAATGCATAAAATTCATAAACATATGGAAATGCATAGAATGCATGTAAAACATAAAGAACTGGCAAAGTCTGGAAAATACAGGGTCTTATAAATTTCTAGAAGTTGCCTTGAAAAACTCACTGCCACCAATGTTGTGTGATGTGTTGAACAATAAATGTAAAAATGAATGTTTTAAATAACAGAGCCACTTCACAGTGAACATTTTCTAGCGCATAATAGCTAGTCCCTAATCTAAATTATTTGCTTAAGTTTAGCACATTCCCCTTGAAAACCAGATGCATGGGGCAATTCTCTACACTTTTGCTGTCCAATATTGTAACCACTAGCTATTTAATTTTATTATTAAAAATAAATTAAATTAAAAACTCATTCCCTAGCTTGCTTGTTCCCTAGCTTGCTTAGTCACACTAGCCTTATTTTAAGTAAAGTATAGCCATATGTAGTGAGTGGCTATGGTTTTGAACAGTGAGGATATAGAATATTTCTATGATTGCACAATGTTCTATTAGACAGCCCTCTTTATATATAAATAGAGTCATACCTCACTAGGATTCATTTATTTATTGATTATTTAAATTATAAACAACTAAACTGTACTTTTAAAGAGTAGAATTAATTATTTGAGATTCCACTGGTTGACTGAGAAACTCAGTTCTTCTCAGTACATTACATGGTACCTGAAGCTGTATTACTAACTCAACTTTTATTGCTAATATGGGCCACTGCCCCCATTTCCATTAAGGTTTGGGCCCAAGATGTACTCCCAATGTTTTTATGCTTCCTAGATGTTTATCTGAAGTCAGGCAAAGGAGACCTTTGGAGTCACTAATTCCATCATCTCAAAAACCAAGCTAAGGTTAATTTCCAAACACCAAATTTCTCATTCATCCACCAGACTAGGCTCCTGAGAACCTCTTGCGTAAGAACGGGGCCAGGTCCTTGAAGATGCAAACACAGTCCCTGGGGAAGGCAAGATGCTGTGGTGCGGAAGGAACAAGCTGGAGACTGTGGGCCACGTCCAGAATTCAGCCACATTTTGTTTATTCTGGAAAGGATGGACCTCACAATGTTTGAGAAATAGCATTTCTAACATTAAAACTTCATACTATTAGCACTAAAATCCTTGTTTCTTTTTTCTTAAGAAAAGTGGAAATATCTGGAAGCACTGGGCTTGTATTACCACTGACCAACAGCTGGCCAGGGTGGAAGCAGCTACTCCTATAGGCAAAAACCCCTATGCTGTATGCCACACCTCTTATCACTTGTGTTGCCTCATATGATGGCCCCATGCAGGTTTCCTCCTGCATTACCTGCCTGGCTCCCAACAGGCCTGGTTTGCATTCTGGCCCCAACATTTACTGGCCAGATGGCCTTGTGCATGCTACCCAGGTTCTTCAAAGGCAGGCTAACCAACCTGGGAGAGGAAACTGAATCTCTCCCAAAACAAATAAAAAAAGCAAAAGATATACAAGCTCAAGGTGCTTTGCAGTTTCATAAGTAGATGGGGGCAGGGTTAAGGAAGGCAGGGAAATTACTGATGGAGAAAAACTGTGGGAAACATCTAATCTCATGGCTCTAAGTATTTCCCATCATTTGCCTAGGCAACTGTGGTTTCGATTTATACAAATAAGATCAATTCAGATCAAATCAAGATCATCCTTTCATTTGTTGTTTTATCAAGTATATTTATAAGAAAAGAAGTTTTAAAAGTACTTGCTTTGAACTTCAGAGAAATTCTCTCTGCCTGCTCATGACAGAATTCACCACCTGATTGAGACAGGTGATAAGCAGTTTCTGTGAAACCACCACCTTGGTTGATTTTGCCCTGCCAAGTACTGGCTCTTGACAAAGGAATTGAATCTCTGGGAGCGGTTCGGAATTTTTCTTCCTGTGTTAAACTGCTAGGTTAACCACGGAGGGTCTTTTTTTGAAGCTCAGCAGACCCAGGATTAAATCTCAGCTCTGCTATTATAAACCATACACACCTAACCATTACTTGTTTTTCTAAGCCTCAGATTTCTTGCCTGAAAAGAGGGAAAATAATGATGCATACACTTTAATAGAGTTGTTAGAACTAAATGGCATAACATGTAGAAAATACTTAGCACAGGGCCTGGAGCTCATTAAATATACAATGAATGTTAACAACTGCTTTATCATTCACAGGGAGGCCGACATAGCCCAAAATAGCAATATGTGAGGCAGAGGCTAAGCGAATCCATAATGCTATCTCAGTTAATTGCAAGTGTGGTCAGGAATATGATCTGAGAAAGAGAGGAAATACCCTTGACATCAGGCAGCTTCTGGATTTATTTTATTTTATTAATAGTCTAAAAGTCAGATATGCCTCAGATTCCGCAGATGGTGCAATAACACTCTATCTATTCTGCCTTTCTATCAAAAGAATTATTAAAATTTCAAGTGCCTCAAATCCATTTCCAAAGTAGGCATGGTATAAATTTGCATATATGTGTCTCAGCCACATATATACATGAAGTGCAATTTCAGAAAAGTACTGAATATGCACTAACATTTACGAGTATTATTTAAAGTAAAATAATAATGTTTCTTAGGATACATTAATAAATAATATAAATAAGACACGCAAATGGCAAACTTATGTTATAGCATTGTTTAGCTTATGAAAGATTTATAACAACAGTAATTACCTTTGACATTCTAAAAATTACATCTATTTTTATATAATGAATTCAGAGAAAGAAAGCCTCAGTACTTGCCTCTCTGCCCAAGTCAAAGAACAACAATCTAAATAATTTCCAAGTGGTGGAGTAGTACGATGACCTAGAAAGAGATTAAGGTAACAGCTTATGTAAAAGTCCACGTGAACAGCATCATGAGTTTGGCAGCCTTGGCTATTGCTTTATGAATCCGTTCTGTTCATTAAAATATTTCCAAACGAAAATAAGAATATAAATAATTTTACCCAAAAATGTACAATCTCATTGCAAAATTAGAGTACAAAGTCAATCAAGATTTCATTTCCACTATCAAACTGTAAAAACATTTAACTGGTAATACCCAACTGATAACACCTCATTGGAGGGTAATTTGGTAATTCTTCTAAATACCTTAAAAATGTATAATCTTCTGAGCCAGCAATTCTACATCTAAGTTAATAACAATAGAGGCATAGTAATTATTTATCTTTAAAGAGGAATTCCTTGCAGGTTTTGAAAATAATATACATTTGAAAACTACCTAAGTTAGGAATTAGTTAAATAATCTCCAAGAGAGGCATACAGCATAATCACATATAGACATTAAAATTATGGGAAAAAAATATTTTATCTAATGGCATAGAAAAACAATTCACAATATATTAAGGAGAATAAAGCAGGTGACAAAACAGTGCCTCTTCTAGGAACCCATTTGTTAGGGGCTAAATTGGGTACTCCGAAGATTCATATGTTGAAGTCCTCACTTGTGGCCTTACTGTGAAAGAGGGACACTGCAGATATGATTAGTTAAGATGAGGTCATATTAGAGTGGAGTGGGCCCCTAATTCAATATGACTGGCGTCATAGAAAAAGGGAAATTTTAGGCACACACACACACACACACAGTATAACCATGTGAAGAGGAAAGCAGACATCAGGACAATACTTCTGTAAGCCAAGGAACACCAAATATTGCCAGCAAACTTCCAGAAGTTACAGAGAGGCATGAAACAAATTCTCCCTCAGGACCCTCAAAAGGAACCAACCTTGCTGGCACTTTAATCTCAGACTTCTAGTCTCCAGAACTGTGAGAAAATACATTTCTGTTGTTTAAGCTACTTAGTTTGTAAGTCTCTAGCAAATTAATACATTATGTGGTTTGCCCTAGCAAACTAATACATCATTTTTGTAGACAAAACATTCATGAACGTAAAAGATATCTAAAAGTATATTTCAAAGTATTAAGGTTATCTCTCAGTGGAAGAACACTGGGTAATTTTAATTTACTAATTTTTGCTTATTTTGTGATTGTTAATAAACATTTCACTTATGCATAAAACGGCTCTACATAGCATGTCCAAAAAAACCCTCCACCCCAAAGACAAATATTCTTATTATATTTGGCAGCAAAGCAGACATGGGAAAGGCAAGAAGTCAGATAGATATGATTTGAAACCCTGCCTTGGTCACTTACCACCTATGTGACTTGAGGCAAGTGACCTTATAAGGTCATTACAAGATCTGAATGAAAGTATGTAATGTAGGTAGCACAAACATGGTACAGCCTGGCATGTAGCAAGAACTCATTAATGTATAGCCATTGTAGTGAATTTCTACTATTGTGGGGCTTTTTTTTTCTCTGAAACAGACAATTATGTTATCCCCTTCAGAAAACAGCTTCATAAATTCATGATCCCCTTGCCAAAGCCTACAGACGGCCTGAGGCTATGGTGTGTCTGGGATGCTGATCTAGAACTTGACACTCTGGTCTAATCATTCTTTCCTTGCCAACCACACCTGCCTAATTTTACTGTCCCACTCAAATTCATTCCAGTTACGTAGAACTGCTCTTTATGACCTTTAGTACAAAGAACATATGTGTGCATGTGCATGTGTGTGTGCATGCGCACATTTAAGAGATAACTGGAGAAGCAGAAGACTCTCGTGAATTTTCCAATGCTTTCTTTGCAAAGTTTTGCAGTAAAAGAATATTTGGAGGAAAAGAAGGAAAATACCTTGTTTTAAATGTTTCCTATGTGCCACTAATCTTTGCGAATGTTATTTAATGAACACAATAATTATGCCTGCTAGTTATCATTATTTCTACTCTTATAAATATGAAAGGCCCAAAGAGGTTAAGTAATGTGTCCAAGGTCACATAGCTTGTAACTAATGGAGCTGACAGTCAAATCCAAGTATTTTTTCTATTACTAAATGAGAATATAGTGAATAAAATCAGGCATTTTTTAAAGGTAGCACTACAGGATGACTATAATAAATGACAATTTATTGTGTATTTTCAAATAGCTAGAACAGATTTTGAATGTTCCCAACACAAACAAGTGACAAATGTTTGAGGTGATGGATATGCTAATTACCATGATCTGAGCATTACATGCTATATACATGTATTGAAATATCACATTATATCCCCAAAATATGCACAATTATTACATGTCAATTAAAAATTTTTTTAAAGCACTAGCAAGTTAAAATCATGCACTGCATAATGATGTTTTGGTCAATGACCAACCACATATATGATGATGGTCCCATAAGATTATAATACTAAATTTTTACCATATCCTTCCTCTGTTTAGATACACAAATACCATTGTGTTACAGCTGCTTACAGTATTCAGTACAGTCACATGCTGTACAGGTTTTTAGCCTAGGAGCAATAGGCTGTACATGTAGCCTAGGTGTGTAGTAGGCTATCCCATTTAGGTTTGTGTAAGTACACTCTATGGTGTATGCACGATGATGAAATCACCTAATGATACATTTTTCTCCAAACCTATTCCTGTAATTAAGCAACATGTATTTATATATGCACATGAGAGAGAGAGAGAGAGAGAGAAAGAAAGAAACTACAATATTTATACTTCAAATTTACGTACTGTTGCTGGTAAACACAGCCTTTTCCCCCAGAATAGCTGGAGTTTAATGCCACTATCAATTTCACAAACATTCTTTTTTTTTCACCAATGAAGCACTTGTCTTTAAAAATAAATTTCAAATTCATCTCCTGGGTGAATGGTGGTCACATAATAATCATGCTTTGCTTTCAACTGCTTCAAAATAGAATCCATGAATCTGACAACAAAAGTTCTTACCTAAACTCTAGTTGATGATTATGACACAGAAAACATACCTCTCTCCTATCCTCACAAACCTCCAGCTGTAGATGGACATTAAAGGTAGCCCATCAGATATTTCTCATATGGGAAAGATTTCCCAGATATCTGAGCTTTAATTTTCTGGGTTTGAGGACAGTCAACCTTTACCGAGCCCTCTCTGATAAAGTGGAGGGGAACTTTCATACACATAAACTCATTTTATTTCACAACTCTGTGTTACAGTTGTTTATTCCCATTTTATAGTTCAAGAAATTGAGAGGCAGAAAGATAAAGACATTTACCCAAGGTTTCTCAGCCATTAATCCATTTTTATCATTAAAAAAACACCTTTGATGTAGGTAAAATCCCTGAGAAACTTGAGGTTCAATGATGTTGATCTGCCCATGAATATACCCAAAGTCTGTGGTTGAGACTTAGCTTGCATGGCTTCAAATCCAGTACATTCTAAATCACAATAATAATCTCTATTCATCCAGCTACCCCCTTTTCCCACTGAAATACCTCTCAGGATCTCCATGCTTCACTCAGATCATGGGTTTGTGCTCAGTAATTTTCTAATATCTCCATGCCAATCTAACTCTTCTATCTTCTCAAGTCTCAACCGGAAAGATCCTGAAAAGTGTGCCAACTGTCCATCAGGTGTAAGGTGAAGCCAGTGCATAAAAGGCCAGCCAGAAAATCTCAGAGTAGACCAGATGGATGAGTGAGAACTTCCTGTTAAAGCACACAAATGCTTCCAAATAACAGATCCAAAGAATGACGACTCACACACACACAATGGACAAAGTTTATTTACTTCTCCATCATCCATGATGGAAGCTGCCTGACTTAGGAATTTGGATGTTCATAATCTTACTAAATATCCATATCCTTCCTGAATTCTACAGATATTTTTGTTTGTATCTGCATGTTTCAACAACGTATTTCTGAATTTGAATTTTTTATACAACGGATCAGTGAATAAAGATTTTGTTAAAAAAAAAAGATACACAAGTTCAGTAAAATTTTCTCAAGGAGTGGGAGTGTTTTCGAGAAATAAAAAGGTCACTGAGAAGGTATGAACATCCTTAGTCATGAGGGCATTTAAGCTTTGCTTTGTCTATTAGTAGCATGAGGTAGCATAAAGGGAACTGAATTAGGAGTTAGAAGACATGACTTTAATAAGAAATTATGTATATTGTCCCTGCTGTTTTCAGTGGGAAATCATTTAGCTCCAAGACCTAGGAGTAATGAGTGATTACTATTAATGGAAGACAATGCAGAAAAATGGTTAAGAGCATGGAATCTGGCATCCAGTTGCCTGGGTTCAAATCCTGGCTCTCTTAACATACTAGCTATAGCTGTATGACTTTAGGCAAGTAGTGGGATCTCTTGAGGCCTTAATTTTTTCATATGTGAAAAGGAGTTTTTTTGTTTTTTGAGACGGAGTCTTGCTGTGTCACCCAGGCTGGAGTGCCATGGCGTGATCTCTGCTCACTGCAAGCTCTGCCTCCTGGGTTCACACCATTCTCCTGCCTCAGCCTCCCGAGTAGCTGGGACTACAGACACCCGCCACCACGCCCGGCTAATTTTTTGTATTTTTAGTAGAGAGGGGGTTTCACCATGTTAGCCAGGATGGTCTCGATCTCTTGACCTTGTGATCCGCCTGCCTCAGCCTCCCAAAGTGCTGGGATTACAGGCGTGAGACACCGCGCCCGGCTGAAAAGGAGTTTTTTATTAGTCTTTTGAAAGTAACATGAAATTATATGAAAAACATGTGCATAGCACTTAATAAAGCACTTGTCTCTACATACTATTTTAAACATTATTGTGTTTACTTTATGATCGTCTTATGCTATAGTTTGGATGTTTGTCTCCTCCAAATCTCAAGTTGAAATTCGATCCGTAATTTAGGAGGTGGGGCCCAATAGGAGGTGTTTGAGTCATGGGGGCAGATCCCTCTAGAATAGATTAGTGCCCTCCCTAGGGGAGGGGTGTGTGAATGAATTCTCTCTCTGTTAGTTCCTGTGAGAGCTGGCTATTAAAAAGAAACTGGCACCTTCTCCTCACCTTTTGCTTCCTTTCTCACCATGTGATCTCTGCACACACCAGCTCCTCTCTGCCTTCTGCCATGAGTGGAAGCAGCCTGAGGCCTTCACCAGAAGTGGATAGTGACACCAGGTTTCTTCTACAGCCTGCAGAGCCATGAACCAAATAAACCCATTTTCTTTGTAAATTACTCAGCCTCATGTATTCCTCTACAGCAACACAAAGCAGACTAAGACATCTCACAATCAACATTCTTCCAATGGAGAAATAATGGGAACAAAAAACAATGTAACAATGCTATATTGAAACCCTTTATGTTTATTCCAGTGCTAGAAAGTTTAGGAATGCTTGATTGTGTTTGTAGATACATCATCAACTTCAACAACCTCTTCCTCAGTTACAGTTAGAGAATCTTGGTATAGACCAGACACTGCTGGAGGTTTTACTAATATTATCTTACTTAACCATCACAACACCAAAAGACATGACTCTTATGGTCCTCATTTGATAGTTATGGACCCTGATTTATGCAATCTGCTCTGTGTTCCATGGCTGAAAAGAAGAGCAAAATTTTTGGTATAAAATGGACCCCAAAACTGATGCTTCTTTAAGTTCCAGACTGCCTTCTACATTTTTCCAGAGGTATTTGCTCATCAACAAATTCCTCTTTTTCCCCTCCTCAAAGAAACAGCACCTATCACACAAGGCAATCCAATGACTCTTCCATGAGTAATTAGTTTCCTACTACATTAGTAAACACTTACACACAAGAAATGAATATAATAATTAATGTAGTCTTCTAACATAAAGGGCCAGAGCTGAATTTACCAACAAATATGTGAATAAAAATGAAGTACATGTGGGTTTGAGGGAATACATTTTTATTCACAAATCATCTTATCATTAGGCAAAACCTAATCATTTCTCTTAAAAAGAGGTTTTCAACAAATGGACAAGATCACACAAGCTAGTGGAGGCCCATGTGCTGAAGAGCCAAAGGTGTACCTCTTTGGATAATATTATCAGTGTGAATCCACTCAGCTATCCCCTAATCAGAGAGCATTCCAAGAATACTGATGCCAAAATCTCAAAGGTGTAACATCTTGAGAAAATTACCAGTGCTACTTCAATAAAAGAAGTACTGGTTTAAAAATCATTTACTTTTAAACCAGACATGTACACTTCTCACTGGGTCTGTCCTCTTAATGACTTAAAGGATCGTCATGATCGCTGCTCCAGCTGAAAGAAGAGACAAAAGGGGAATGTTTCGAATATCATGACCCTTTTTATTCAGGCCACAAGTGACAGGATAGCAGTGGGCATTTGATCTATGGCAACCAATTTGTAGACTGGCTATTGACTTATGATATTGCCTGGGGTTGATAGTTGTGTCCAAACTAAAATAATTTTTTTGTTAGTTGAACCAATCATATTCTTTCTGTTAGGACATTAGATAAGAATAATGACAAGAATAAATGGGAAACAGAAAGGGAACACAGAGAGAGGGCAGGCAGGACAGTGACAAAGACATAATAATAGTGGCACTCTTGCTAAGGCATTCTTGCTGCTCATTGACGTGAACCCAAGATATGAGACCTGAGCCTGTTTCAGTCCTTGAACTTTTATTTCTGTAAAAGTTCTCCACCATTATCATGCAGTGGGTATCCCTATAATAGCCCTGTTTCCTTGACAGCGGTGCCTATGTGACTTACTCTCCTCCATAACCAAGCTAAACAATTGTTTCCAGGGAAAGCTTCACAATTCCACTTCACAATGAAGACCATTAAGGGGAATTTACATCTCATCCAATGTGTTACCAATAATTCATTTACATATTCTTTATTCCCTTTCTTCCCTCCTTCTTCTCTCATTTTCTTAACCAATACTTTCTAAGCACCTACTGCCTGGGTGTTTTGGTGGAGATTGCCGATGTCCCTGATGTTGGCCTTACTGTGTGTTAAGCACTGTGTTAGAAACATAAAATGCGCTGATGAGCAGGACCAACAAGATCCCTGCTCTCACACTGCATTTACTCTGATTGAGTAGCTAGAATGAAAAGTCATTAAAAAGTGTGGTCTGGGAGCCGTCAGAAGGCTGACCTTATCTAGTAAGACCTCCCTAGACAGTGGTATCTACATTGACACTGAAGGGAGAAGAAGAATTCATCAACTAAAAAAAGGTGAGCAAAAGGGAGAGGGAGCATTCTGGGCAGTGGAAGTGGCATGTACAAAAGTTCATGAGAACAGCAAGAAACCGTCACCAGGCCCCTAAAACATCAAGAAATGTGAAACGTGTACAGAGCAAGAAATTGTCTCTTGGTATGAGAGTTAAAAGGGTGAGGATGGACCACATTCCCCTCTCCTAAGGAACATTCCCCAGTAAAGTTTGGATAATTCATTACATTCGACTGGCAGCATCATCCTTTCTTGTAGGCTTCAAAGAGACCAAAGAGACTGGCATGGAAGGCAGAGGGTGATAAGTGGTTGGAAGGACTTAGTTCCTTAGGGAACAGAGATCAAGTTCTTACACTTCACACCTCACCCTGTGCTCTGTCCAGTAACTATATTACGCTGCCCAGAGTCATTTAGGTTGGAAAAAGGTATTTCTTTATCATCACCATCATCATGGTCACAATTATCATTTACTTTAGAAGGATAGTTAACAGTTTGCTAAACACTTTTTCATGCTTGATCTCACTTAAAATTTTCAACACTATAGGCAGGAGATATTGCCCCCAGTTTTCAGGTTAGGAAACTGAGGTCTTTAAAGGAGCCTAAGCTAGTACATTGAACAGGAATAATAACAAATACAACAAAAGTCAAATACATCCCCACAGAAGATGAAGACTCAAAGGAAGACCGTGGTTCTGTGCACATACTCCTTAGAGATTTTCTACTTTTCTTCTACTAGCACATGACTGTTTTTCTTCTGTCCCCATACCTCAGTCAGTGAGAGATGTGGGTCGTCTGCAGAACAAAGAACTAAGGATGGTGTTTCTACTTCAGCATAACTCCAGGGTTTTCCCCAGTTTCTATGGGGGAACACCCAAGGGCCTGGAGCACCTGGGCATTACAATGTGGTTAGTAAGTGCCTGTATCTGACCCTATAAGGACCCTCAGCACATCCTGGAGAATTCAGTTGGGGCCACTGTGTCTCTTTCAAGTGTACGAAATTGTCTATGGATTGTTATTTGAGAAAGACCAGGAAAAGTATCTCTTCACACCTCTACGACAAACCCCTGAAGGCCAAGTGCTTGCAATTCTTCCATTAGACGTTCTCGTTTAGGTTCAATACTGGCCTTGCTGGAATTTTCTTTGAAATGTGAATATTCCAAGGAGCAAGCGCCTGAAGAGTCACTCATACTATGGTAAAAATAGACTTGCCAGTTTGAGGGCCCTCCACAGTGGAATATAGAGATAGAGGGGCTAAAAAGAGGTATGAGCAAGTCTGGATACAAATTTCTACCTCAGAGTTTTGCCAAGACTTTAACTTGCAAAAAGTTATCTGTAATTTCCTAAATTATCCTTTGATGAATTTCTACTTTCTCCCTTTTCATCACCGTCATAACCGCTGGCATCGTTATCATCATCACCTTCATAATCTTTTATTGAGCACTTATCACAGTGTAGGTACTAAGCAAGGTACCTTACTTGGATAAATCATTAAATCATGATAGCATCACTTTGAAGTAGGAACTATTATTAGCCCTATCTTATAGATGAGAAAAATGAAGCCTAGTGAATTTAACTTGCCCAAGGTAACAAAGCTAGTAAAAAATAAAATCTGAATTCAAATCCATAAGAAGCATTCCTGACCCTTTTCTCTTTTTTTCTGTACTTGTGAGGCCAAATACCAGTTGTCTTAATACACTCAGGAAAGCATTAAGTGATGAATCCATCTGGACACTGAGGAGCTGCTTGTTTGTTGTGCACTTATTGATTCATACTCCAATTGCACATGATTGTTGTCACCAATTGAGAGGCTAGAAGGTTGTAATTAAACCCACATTAATATAGCTTTAAATTACATCAAACTGTCAATCGTAGATTGCTGCTCACGATTTAAATAAATTTTCTGTAAGAATTCCCCGTCTTGTTTATACACAGGAAGAAAATGAGTTCTCTGACTTATGCACACTTTTTTTAACAAAAGAGGAAAAGATAAAAAATGAGATTAAATTATTGCCTTTGTAATCGAAGTCTTTTTCTACATATTTAAAATGAAAAGTACTGGTTTTTAATTGGAATCAACTCTACCTTGATTAATTAATAACTAACAGAAAATAGAAGCCAAATATAAAAGACAGTTGATGTCTGTTGAATTCATCTCTAAATACAAATGTTCCTTGGCATTTTCAGAAAAGACCTCAAATATGTAAGTTGATGACTGAGATAAACACTGTAAAATAGGATAACATCTGCTTTTTAAAGCTTCTTTGAGGATCAGGGATAAGATATGGCAAGTGCTTGCCACATTGGAAAAAGCAGGAGTGTAGCATTTAAGAGAATGAAGTTGGGAGTGAGGCTGCTCAAATCTTGGCTTTGGCATTTCCCTCAATTTTGTCCCTGATGAGTTGGTTAACATCTTTGAGCCTCCTGGAGAAACGGGAATGTTAAAGTTACACAGATTCAACACAATGATGTAAGAAAAACACAGTAATATAGTCCCCCATATGATGCCTGCATGACAAAGGTAGCTGTTATTACTTCTCTCATTAGGAGTTTAAAATGATGGCTACTATAAAATTGTATTTATTGTATGTTATGACGACACATTTCACTTTGTTGTTATCAATAGCATAAATTATAAATGTTATTAATATTAAGAAAGCAGTATGATATTTGCTTGAAAAACGTGGCTTAGAATTTAAATTCAGGAATGAAGATTATATAAATGCTAGTGTCTCCATTTAAATCAAGTAGACCTATACCTCACATATCGACATGCTGCATCTTTGGATTCACTGGCCGCCTTGGTTAGGCAGGGAGGTAGGCTGGAAAGGGAAAATGGTGATGTGAAACCCAGGGTTATAGCAGAAGGTATTGCAAAATTAGGGATGAATGTCAAAAATAAGGATTAGAAGAATTAGGCAAATTGAGTCAGCAGTTTATTCCATAGGCACAGAATCTAGGGCTGCAGCATTGTGTTGGAGAACTATGCAAGCCACACAAATATTGTTTTGGAGAGTTTAAGTTCTTTTGATGACCTTAAGTCTGCACCAGTGTAGTTCTGAACAACATGGATGTGTGGAGTCCTCCACTTTTCATTTCACATAAATCTACAGGTACAAATTCAGTGCATTGCATATAGTAAAGAAAGAATTACTAACATCATTTTTTAGAAGAAAAGGGAAAAAAAGAGACCAAAGGTCAACTGGCAAAATACTAAAGTAGCAAAATAAGAATTACCTGTGGGTCGGGCATGGTAGCTCACGCCTGTAATCCCAGCACTTTGGGAGGCCGAGGCCGGCAGATCACGAGGTCAGGAGATCGAGACCATCCTGGCTAACACGGTGAAACCCTGTCTCTACTAAAAATACAAAAAATTAGCCAGGCGTGGTGGCAGGCGCCTGTAGTCCCAGCTACTCGGGAGGCTGAGGCAGGAGAACCCGGAAGGCAGAGCTTGCAGTGAGCTGAGTTGGCGCCATTGCGCTCCAGCCTGGGCAGCCTAGCGAGACTCCGTCTCAAAAAAAAAAAAAAAAAAAAAAAAAGGTAATTATCTGTGGAAGGACTATACCAACTTAGTTTTCCAGAGTAGTCTGAAAATGGGGTAAGTTTAATATGTACATTTTGCCATTTCCAAATGATAGTTTAAGAGATTTGCTGGACCTATTTTATCACTGCCCTCCATCGTGGGTGACAGAGTGAGACTCCGTCTCAAAAAAAAAAAAAAAAAAAGAATTATCTGTGGAAGACAGGACTATGCCAACTTAGTTTTCCAGAGTGGTCTGAAAATAGGGTAAGTTTAATATATACATTTTGCCATTTCCAAATGATGGTTTAAAAGATTTGCTGGACCTATTTTATCATCAGGGAATAAATGTAAAAGACCACCAGAGTCAGTGCTATGTCCCGACTTTTCCGTTTTGACCTAAAAGATAGTGAAAAGTACCCTGACCTCATTTAAGTAGAGATTAAGGATGTGGGAGTTTTGCCTGCAAGTCTTGAAATTGGCTAAAGCTTTCCCCTCAAGGCTGGACTTTTATATGTTATTAAGACTTTAAATCTACTGTATCCGTGAACCCTTCCTAAGGAAAGAACACGTAAATAAAGTGGATTTTTTCCCCAGGCTATAAAATCCAAAAGTAGAAGATGACATTAAAGGTAATACCAGTTCATGTGGGTAATCCATAGAAAATAATGTAAAATATGAGCTATTTTAAAGAATTTCTTGTGTGTGTGCACAACTGTAGACAGGTGATAGGCCCACAACTCTTCCTGCATACCACAGTTTACCATCAACCTCTCCCGTTCTCTACCTACTGCATCTCAAATTACACCCTTCTGAAAAAATCAATTTTAACAGTTCAGTGCTTTATATCTACACTTCCCTCTGTGTTCATACAAATTGCACACACGCACACTCACTCACATACAAAACTATATTTTTTATTTGTGCAAATACAGGACTCTGTATATTATTTTGAAATATGATTCAATAAATTATCTACATGTTTATTCAAAGGATAAATACTGGTTTTTCCATTTAGCAATTTTATCAAATACAAAGAATGAAACTTATGTTTTCTCACTTAACAATTTTATCAAATACAATGATATATTTACCTGCAGGTCAATGCATATTAATTGAATTCATTCTTTTTTTTTTTTTTTTTTCTGAGACAGTGTCTCACTTTGTCGTCCAGGATGAAGTGCAGTGAAGTGACCACAGCTCACTGTAGCCTTGACCTCGTGGGCTCAAGCGATCCTCCCACCTCAGTTTCAGAAGTAGCTGGGGCTATAGGCATGCACCACAATGCCTAATTTTTTAAATTTCTTTTCCTTTTTTACAATCTCACATTATTTTTATTTGATCATAGTACGGACAATAAAAATGTATTCCTATTCTTTTTGATACTAACAGTTTTACTAAATTTGTTTTCAGTTTCTCTCAAATAACACATAGCATATCTTGTTGATATGGAACTTCATATTCATTTAGATCCAGTATGTTCATTAGAATAATATAGCCTTCTGATTTTAAAAGCAACTGATTGCTTATAGAAAAATGATATGCATCGACATTTAGTCAGAAAAAGAAACATGAGAACATGTCTTTTATGTTTGATATCACTTAACTTACAAGATGATGTGAAAATAGTTTGGTTATAATTTTAACAAAACTAAAACTCACTTCAACTAATGAAAAAAATCAAACACTGAAGAATCAAATATCTACTGACTTAGCTGGTATTCCTGTCAAAAGACATGTCTTCTGCTGCACTGAATATTAGAATTAGAAATTCACTATATGTTAAGCCATATTTTAATTAATATGTTCCAGAATTGCACAGCTTCCCTATGTTGGCTAGGCTGGTCTTGAACTCCTGGGCTCAAGCAATCCTCCCATCTCAGCCTCCCAAAGTGCTGAGATTATAGGCATGAGCCACCATCCCTGGCTAATTCATTCTTTTTGATGGCAATATAATATTTCATAACATGATGAATCATACTTTAATTATTTTCTTATAATGGACTTACTAGTTATTTCCAGTTCTTTTCACTACAGATGATGTTGCAATAAATATTCTTGAGAATATTGCTATTATCTGAATGTTTATGCCTCCCCCCAAGTTCACATGTTGAAATATAGTTCCCAAAGTGATGGTCTTAGGGGGTGGGGCCTTTGGGAGGTGATTAGCTCATAAATGTGGAGCCCTTGTGAATGGGATTAGTGTTCTTATAAGGGACAGACGAGATCAGAGTTCTTCCCTTCTGCTATGAGAAGACACAGCAAGAAGGCTCCATCTGTGAACCAGAAAGTAGGCCCTCACTAAACAACGAATCTGATGGCACCTTGATCTTAGACTTTCCAGTATTCAGAACTATGAGAAATAAATTTCTGTTGTGTATAAGCTATCCAGTTTATGGTGTTTTGTTATAGCAACCCCCAAAACTAAGATACATATATCTTTACATGCATGTTTATTTCTACAGCATGGGGAAATTGCAGCTTAAAGACACTGTCAAGTTTAAAGCTGCTCTCCATTGCTTTGTAAAACTTTCACAGAAACAGGATAAACTGGGATATTTTAAGTGCTCTGTCATTACCGGTTTACAATTTTTGCTGATTACTTGCTGTTTAACCAAGCGCTATGAAAGGAACCAGTGAGGGAAACAGAGACAAACAGAAGAAATGTTCTACCATCTATAAGAAATCACATTTCCTGTCATTGTCAATATCTCCTACAGAAAAAGATACCTCAGAGTGCCTCCTCAAGCCATTGTGTGCACACAAAATGTATGTTCTTTCCCTCTGTTCACTACTAGCTTTTTCAGCAACTAGTACTCTCTCCTCATGTCTCTAGCTCAGCTCTTTTAAAATGTAGGTCAACCAACTAACTTATCTAACTTTTAAAATTTGCTTTGTCCATTATTCATGTTCTTTTCCACAAATGAGAGTCTAATTACTGAGGTACAAGCAAAAAGCCCTTCCTCCTTC
Source organism: Homo sapiens (assembly GCF_000001405.40). Taxonomy (NCBI): domain Eukaryota; kingdom Metazoa; phylum Chordata; class Mammalia; order Primates; family Hominidae; genus Homo; species Homo sapiens. Next base: position 63,280,859 of record NC_000003.12, on the reverse strand, counting down.
GAGCCTTAGAATCCTGGAAGAGAGAGGGGAAGGACTGCAAATAATTTAAATGTAGTAACTTAGTAACCTTTATTCTATTTCACTCTTTCTCTCACACACACACATCACCTGTGCACACACACACACACACACACCCCTCCCCCAAGGGGGGGAGCTATAAAACGGTATTTTGCAGTGTGATAAATTCTTATGAGTGAATGAATAAAAATCTAGTGGAAGTTCAAAGAACGAGGTGAATCATTCAGCTTGGGATAGAGGAAAGAGGAAGGAATAAATACGAGAAAAGTCTTCATTGAGGAGGTAACATTTAGTTGAGGTAAAAAACAAACATTTTTTTTTTTTTTAGGCTTGGAAGGTGAGGACATTCCATACAGTGTGAATAGAAATAGCAAGGGCACTGAGGTAAAAGGGGCTTTTGAGTTTTGGAGGGATCTGGTATAGCTTAGAGTGGTGGTTCTCCAATTATAACATGGATAAGAGTTACGCAGGGAGCTCATTTAAAATGCAGATTCATGGGCACCCATCTTATCAATATTTTGATTTGGTAGCCTGAAACCTGTAATTTGAACAAGTTCATCCAGATAACAAACACCTTTTTATATAGCAGTAGAGGCTGTGTGAGGAACAATGGCACAAAATCATGTTGCCACAGTATTGGTGTGTACACGAACTAATATTTCAGATAGGTGAGCGTGTGAGACAATAAGAGATTATGTCAGAAAATGATGTCAGCTCTTTGAACTTGGTTTTGAGAGATAATAGCTTGACAATGGAGCTATTATTTTCTTCCCTAAAGGCCACTACTTCACAGGAAATATTTATTGAATGGCTGAATGAATGAATGCGGGCAGAATTCTGAGAAAGCAAACTGAAAGTTTCCAGAACTGTGAGGATTGCTTGCTTGTTTAACTTGACTGTAAGGGAAACAGTTTCAGAATAGCCAGCTCTGAACCACTAATTCAAGCCTTCCAAAAGCTGTCCTGGTGTATGCAATATTGATATACGCATACATTTTCATTCAAGTCTACAAACAAGGTAAATGTAATTATCTTGTAGATCATCCGTGTAAACAATCATCACAGTTATGTAGCCACTGCCAGATATAAGCCCTTGGAGCTAAGATCTGGGAACAGAGAACAGGCTCTTACATAATTTCCCAGCTAGTCAGTGTTAGGGACTCTGATTAATGCTACATGACAGGCTTTGAACTTTCTATTCAGATAGGTTTGCTTGCCTTTTGGAGTTCCTAGCAAGACGAAACGTGTGACCTGCAGATTTCATTCTGAATAACCATCATCCAGCCAACAACACTGACATGGCTCTGTGGCCCTGTGGGTAACCGTTTCTGTGCCTCACTCCTCTGCCCATAGACAAATTGCAATAAGAGCGTCAGGGTGGTTTCACGGAAGTGGAATACAACTTCCTAAAGCCCAGTCGCTGAAGAAAGCCATGGCAAACAGGCTGGTGGGCTCTTCTGGGTATAATCAGAAAAGCCCTAGAGGAGTGGCCAGAGAAAAGAAACTATAGTAGGGAAGGAAGGAGTTCTGCTCTCTACCCGCCGCCGTTTATAACAGTCTGTAATAGCTTCGCAGCATCTTTCCCTCCCTGAAGCTCCCGCGGAGCAGTTGAACACGCGCTTCCAGCATCCCAGTCCCGCAGAGGAGCTGTCTCAGTTCTGACCAACTTTCTGAGCTTGGCCAAGTCTTCCCGGCTCCTCCGCTCAACTATGGGTCCCTCCACCCATCCCCTCATCCCCACGAAGGTCCAGGTGAGGGGCCAGAACCCAGCGGCAGCCCTTCCATGCGCCCCCCTCCCCTATCTCCCAAGGGGGAGGTTTCTTTCCACAGCCCCTGCGCGTCTGCAAGCGGTGAGGTGAGACGACACTTGTCTAAGCCCCTGCAAAAATGCGTCCACACTCCCGCCTCCAAGCAGGGTGCCTCGATTTTGTCCTCACCACCTTGGAACGGCATCTTAGGAGGGGGCAGGATTGAAATCCCCGGCTTGAGGGTTGAATCTCCGGCTTGGAGCAGAACTGAGCAGGGAGCACCCCATCCGACCTCTCCTCACCTGATAGCTGGCTGCCTGGCGCCCCTCCCTGCACACACACTGCTACTCACCAATTCCAGGGCTCGCAGGAAGGCAAGGGGCTCCTTCAGCACCCGGAAGGTGCCCGCAGAGGCCAGCTTTGGGGGAATGAGGCGAGAGAGAGAAAGCAAAGCGTGAGGAAGGGGCTGGGGGCGCCTCTCCCAAGCCGCGGCATCCCCCGCCCCCTGCTCCCAGCCAGCCGCCCTGCCCAGTTCTGTCTCACCTGACTCACAGGGTCCATAGCTCGCCCTCGCTCGCTCTTCTCATCCACCAGTTCTTTTTAAAAATGAAGTTCGCTTGGCACCACCGTCCTCAGGGCCAGAAGCCCCTTCGGGAGCAGCCAGAGGAGCGACACCCTGGAGCAGCCCGGCGAGGGCAGGGGGCCTCGGGGAGCCCACCCGCTAACGCTGGGCTCTGCGCTCCGGGAACCCAGCGCGTCGGGGAAGCGAAGCGAGTCAGCGAGGGGTGGGCAGGGAAGAGCTGGGGCAGGGTAGATACAACAGGGGAGGGGGAAACCCATGGAGCCAGGGGAAGGCTGTCATTGGCCAGCCGCGCTCCAGAGGGGAGGGCGAGGAGGTGGGCGAGGCAGGGCCCACAGACATTGGTGCAGGCTCAGCCGTGCGCCCGGTGCCCTCTGGCTCCGGGGAAACTTTGGGTCTGTTGGTTTGGGAAAGCGGGCTTGGCACCATCAGCAAGACGGCTGTCCACCTGAAGAAGGGGTTTCCAGGTAGGAGGAAGACACCCACACTTTACCTGAGACATCTGTGTGAGTTCTGATGACTTCCAAACAGCAAAATAATAATAATGATAAATACATAAAAATAAAAAAATAACTATTTGTTGGCTCTTTCATTCATTCCTTCAAGCCTTTATGGAGCATCCTTCCTGTGGGCAGGCAGTGCTTAGGTGCTGGGGTACATCAAAAAAACAGGATAAGCATTGTCACTTCCCCCAGGGGAAGCAAAAGGGGAAAAATAACTTGCAATGTGGTCTGGACAGTGGCGCAGAGCAGAGCACAGGGGCCATGGGCACAGGGCAGGGGATCCATCTTGGCCTGTGGATGCCAGAGAGAGGACCAGGACAGAGGAAACTGCCTGGAGAGAAGAGGTGGAAACAAATTAATCTTGAATGTGGGACCATGCGCCAGTGGAAAACAGATTTAGCAAGGATGAAATGGCCAAGGTAAAACATCTCATGAAAGGCTAAACAGGGAATGAAATTTAGGTACCTTTCAAACTCATTTTATTTCTACTGAGATCTTTTGCCTGATATCTGACCCCCAAATGAACTCCCTTGTCAAACTCATAAATATAACACTGGGTCCCTCCTCCAAAGTTAGACTGTTTTCTTGAAACTTAGTGAAAGGTGGTTCACGTTGTTTACTCTTAGTGGGCTAATCTTGCTGAATATAATAAAAACAACAACAACCAAACAAGTGAGTTCTTTCTATGAGCTGAAAACTGTGCTAAGGGCTTTACAAACATTACTTCATTCAATATTCACAAACCCCCATAAGTTAATAATAATATTATTCCCATTTTAGAGATGAGGAAATTGAGGCCCATGGAAGGATAGTGGCCTGCCCAAGGTTGCCCAGCTAGCAGGTAGTGAAGTCAGAATTGATTTTTTTAAAATCAGAAAAACAAAAGAAGAAGAAGGGGAAAAAAGGAAGAGGAGGAAGAAGAAGAAGGAGAGGAGAGCTCTTAGCTACTACATCAAGTAGTGATATGTCCTCTTCCTTCTCACTCCCTTTGGACTGGATTCCATTTATGAGTGGTCTCCCAGCAACACAGATAGTCCATCTGTTTACTATAAAGATTTGCCAAAAAGGTTTGGAGTTCATGGGTGTGTATGTGTGTGTTGGTGGGGGGGGTGGGTATTTGATATGTAGAAGTAGATGAGAAATACGGAAATCAGTAATTTGCTGTCTGGGAGGGGGAGGCAGCTTCTAGTGTAAATGCCCCCTGCTCATGAATTTTGCTGCAGAAAAACTAGAAATTTAGAGAGTAGGAACTCCAGTGGACTGGTTGCACCATCTGCAGTCAGCCAGTTTTGTTCCTACTGCTCTTCCTACATGCAGATAGAGCCTAAAACAATTAGAAACAGTTGTTTCAAAAATAAGCCATTATGCAACTATGGGGGAGGGGTGGGGGGAACTAACACTATCAATTACTTAGTGTGTACCCTACCATGTATGTATATGATCTTATGGGGGAAGTTACTTAACCTCTTCAAGACCTCAGTTTGTTTCTTTGTTTTAATCTGTAAAATGGAGCCAAAATACCTATCTTAACTGTTTTTTGTGAGAACCCAATGAGATTTTGCAGATAGCCCATCTAGGGCAGTCTGCATTTCATAAGCCCTCAGCATGTATTAGTTACATATCACTTCTATAGAAGCAAAGGGGAAGACTCAGAGGTCCATATCAGAGGCAGGGTAGATTGTAGCAATGTCCTGCTGCCCTCAACAGTGCACCTCAACATCTATATATCCTTGCCCTTTTGGACCCAGCAGTAGCCATGTGTCTTGTTTTGACCAGTAAAATGTGGGCATTTTATTGGTAATGTGTGCATTTCTGGGCAGAAGTTTTAAGAACCACCAAGTGATTTGCCAACTTATTTCCTTCTACCACGATGAATATAATTTCTATATAGAGGTTACTCTGACAGCTTGGGTCCCAGTGTAAGGATGACATAGGCAGATCTGCAACCAGACCTTGATGGACATGAAGCTGAGCAAACAAAAAATGCATTTTGGGGTGTAAGCAACTGAAAAATTTAGGTCTTTTGTTACTGCAGCACAACATAACCTAAGCCGACTGATAACACAGCTAGTAAAGTAGCCGAACCAAAATTTCACCCTAGGTTCGTATGATCTCATGGTCCTTGTGTTCATCCTCTTTGCATGGTAGTCAACCAGCTTACAGGGTATGACATCTCCTCCATATGCTTAATAACGATAATTATTATTGTAATACCTATTACCAGTTTAGTTCCTGCTACCTGCCAGGCATTGTGCTAAGTGCTTTATATACATCATTTAAGTATCATAATAATTTCCCCTTTTCTAGATAGTATATCCAGCCTTAGAATGGCTATGTAACATGCCTAAGGTCATCTACATATTTATATCTCTTTATACAGGGAAAGAGACTTATTTAAAATATTGCCTACTTGCAGATTATTTGAATTGAAAACTTGGCACAGAGGAAGTGTGATTACTGAGCCTATTCCCTCAGGGCTCTCTTCACACCCAGTGTTCCTTCTGACTAATATGGTGGCATATTTTTTTCCAGTTCTCCAAACACCATGTGAAGGAAGTCAGAATTGTGGCAAATGGCAGTGTAATAGCTTAGACAACAATTGCACATTGTCAGAGGATGCTTTTCCTATTCCAGAAATGTATGAGCTTCCAACAGCTGCATCACCAAAATAACCCAGAGTTTCATATCACATTTGCAATGTTAAATATTTTGTAGACTTTGGGTTAGAACCTCTGTATTCAGACCTGGAAATAACATTGGGTTCCCTAAAGAACTAGATTAGGGGAGATAGGACAGATGATATAAACACTGCCACAATATTACTATCAGTGGTTAAGGGTGACCCATTATCTTTTGCCCCAAGATGATGAAAGATAATTTCCCTCTTACTATGATGAATCTATCATGATAGATGAAGGATAAAGTTAACTTTGGTGGGGCATAAATGATCCATTTTAGTGGCCAGTGTTGATTATGTAAATCAAATAATTTCCAAATTCTCTTTTGTTTTGAGCCAGGGACCCATAGCTATGAATACTTCCTTTGATATGCCAAGGCAATCCATTTATTTACTGCAGTCCTCTGGTTCTCAATAGAGGGTGATTTGGGCCCTTCCCGCCACTGGAAAACATGTAACAATGTTTGGAGACATTTTGATTGTCACAACGAGGTGGGGGCAGGGGATGGAGATGACACTACTGGCTTCCAGAGGGCAGAAGCAAGAGATGCTGCTCAATATCCTACAATTCAGAGGACAGTTACTCAAAACAAAGAATTATCTGGAAAATGTCAATGGTGCCAAGGTAGAGAAACTTCAGCAAGTAAGGGCTGAGTGCCTATTGTGCCCTGGTACTGTTCTAGATACTGTAAACAGCTTGCCAAGTTTCCTGTCTTCCCAAAGCTTACACTGTAGTAAGAAATACATTCAGCCCAATTTAGTAAAGCTCAACATTTGCTAAATCAGCAAATGAGAATCAAGTTACAAACCAACCATTTTGAATCTCAAAGAGGGTTAATCTTGAGTCAAACTATACAAACCAAAGTACCAATCTGCAATAGAAGAACTTGCATTATTCAGGCAAATTAAATCTTGTTCTCATAGGAAAATATACCTTGTTCGCAAATGAAAATCAAGTAACAAAACCAAGCATTTTGAATCTCAAAGAGGGTTAATCTTGAGTCAAACTATACAAACCAAACTACCAAGCTGCAATAGAAGAACTTGCATTATTCAGGCTAATTAAATCTTGTTCTCATAGGAAAATATACCTGGGTTTCATATTCCCATGTCTTTTGTGACAAAGACAAAAAACTAATTTAAAACTTTATCTGCAGCAACTTAATACAGGAGGAAACACTACCCGTATGTTATGAAATCTAAAATAATGGAAATGAGTGGAAGTCTGTCAAAATGTTGTATATTTAACTCTCTGCTCATGCTGCTAACCTGAAATTTCCAAATCTTTCCTTAGGTAAGTGAATATGAAAGCAAAGGCCAATAGCATGCCTGTGCGTTTATTTGTTTGTGTGTTTGATCTTGCATAGGGCCACTGGTACACAGGACAGGAGATTGTGTGGAAATATTTTCAAAAACTCTAATGTTAGAATAAGTATAGCATTATCTCTCAATCCAAAGATGAAATAAAGCATTTTTACTTTCTTATGTTCCTGTGTCTTAATTGGATGCAAAAAAACATGCAAGAATATGTATACATGTTTGTTTAGTTTAAAAGTTCATCACATCATAAGATTTCATAGGCTTCTTATGAAAATCTTAGCATTCAAATAGGATCATTCTTAATTAACAAATACAACTGATATAAAAATTCATATATGGATGGCCAATGTGAACTTAAATTATAAAATGCTTTTACTATTTCTGTTTCCATATTTGTTTCAAATGAAATAGATTTTTGTAAGTTATGTTAGGCTTGAATACATGCAAATCAGAGGACCAAAACTAACACCAAAGGATTGGATCCATTGACCCCAGAGAATAATAATAGCAACAGTAATTATAATAAGGGCTCTAATAATACATTAAGTATTAATATTAAGTAGATGCTGGACAGAATGCTAAGTGCCTCTATAGGCATAAATTCTTTAATTTCCTCATCAGCCTTGTAAGTATATACTACTGTTACTTCCATTATGCAGATGAGAAAACACAGTTCAAAGAGACTAAAAATCTCAACTAAGGTCTTATAGAGAGTAAACAGCAGAGTCAGGATTTTCCTCCTACTCCCGTAACTTTCCAAGAAAAAGATGATTTGCAGTTTTCATTGCAATTTTGAAAATGTCACAAGCTTTAGGCAAAAATATTTTTCTTGCCGAAACATAAACAAAATTTCTCTGTAGAACTGAAGTAAAGATGGGCACCATTTTCTACAACTACTGCTAGTATTCCAGGAACGTACTAGAACACAATTAGAAAAAAATCTCTTCCCCCTTCTCAAATGCTCAATCATTGTAATTTTTATCTTTCATCATTAGCTGTGTATTTCCAAAATGCTCATCATTTTTAACATTCTCCTGAGATCACTCCCATGTTTTTGCAGATTCATGAAGCACAACATCTTTGAGTTAGTCTCACATTGTTACCAAAACACCAGAGGTTTGGTCCAGGTCCTGCTGCTTGCCACACAAAAAGCCAATCACTGAGACAATGAGTATGCCAAGGAAGAAGGCTTTAATCTGGTGCTGCAGCCAAAGAGATGTGAGATTAGTCTCAAATCCATACCCCTGACCATTTATATAGCAGGGAAGAAACAAAGCTATGTGTGGGAAAACAGAAACCAGGGAGGGATAAGGACAGAGGAATGAAGGTATGGCATTTCATTGTCTGGATGCAGTGATCTGGTGAGTTTCAATTATTTGATACTTTTATTGAGAGGCCTGTGGATCATTTCCTGAGGAAGAAACCTAGATAAAACAAGTGTTACTTTCAAGCTTTAAGACCACAAGGGACAATTTCTATGTTTATCCAAAAAAAAAAAAAAAAATGCCCATGGAACGATTGGGTCAGTTTTAACACCAGACACTGCAATTTTTGAGTGATGTAAACAAAGCCCAAAGAATGGAGGCATCTTGCCTAGTCTTCATCCCAAGGAAACAGTCTAGCATAAAGGTGTTGACACAAGTCCTAGAGTCAGTTCAGCTGAGTTCATCATATCCTGGCTCTATCATTTCCTAGTTGTATGACCTTGGGAAGTCACCACCCTCTTGTCGTTCAGTTTCCTTATCTGTAAAACGGAGGTAATAATTTTTACCAACTCCATCACTTAGCAAAAAGGAATTAATGAGTTAATGCAAGTAAGGTACCCAGAAAAATATCTGGCAGCAGATGAGTTAATGTAGACATCTACTAAAAGTCTAAGAAATATGACCGACAGCAATGGAAAGGAGATGGTCTATGATATTAACACCCTGTGTGGTTATCAAACATCACTACTGACAACATATACTTTTAAGAAGTCATTTATTGTCTTTTCTTTCCTTCTTTCAAAATTCTCATTTCTTACTTGTTCCCCCAATTCTCTTTTCTTCCTTTCTCTTTGAACCCCTAGGCCATCAGTTGATCTGGGAATTTTCCTTGGAGGTTAGCAAGAATATTTGGTCATTCAAAACATTCTTTTGGGGGATGTACGGATACACATACACATACATTATTGGATAATCCTAAAACTATAGATTAAATATATAGATATATATAGATGCTATATAAATGAAATACATATAATCCTAGGATTATATAATACAGCATATTTTTTTATTTCCCTGATGATTATAAGTTGAGCTTTGGCAGAGTTTTTTATGCTTTTCTTAAAATGAGTTTTGCTTTGCAATATGTACAATCTCTAATAATTTTACTTCTGTTTTAGGGAAGATATATTTATATATGTAAAACATATAGATGATGAAGATAGGAAAGATCAATGGATTCTACCATATACTTAACAAAAGTATGTAATCCAAAGTATACTGCATGCATTCACTTTATTATATTCTCCAGTCTTTAGACCTTGCACTTTAATATGACAAAATAGTTTTTGCATCTGCTCTGAATGAGGTAAAAGAAAACCTTACCCTGCTCAGCAATTAAAAGGATCATTTCCTTATTCCTTCCTAACCTAAACCTTTAAGAAAAGTAAAATTCACCTTAATTTAAATATGAAGATATTAGAAAATGGACTCCTTTGGCACTCATGGTTATAATCTCTGCCTGCCTAAGTTCTTTCACATAGCTGGGCTAACGTGAGGATACTGCCTAATCCACCCACACACAGAGAAGACGCATGAATCCAATACCTAAAATTAGGTTTTTACTAAATTATATTGCACTGCAGTTTTACACCTGCTTGGCAAATAGTACTCAGAAGAAAGGTACAATTACATAGGTTCTTCGCCAGAAATAGAAAACAGATTAAAATGATAAACACTTAAAAGAGAGAAGGTAGAAAGGAAGGAAGAAAAGAAGGAAGGAAGGAAAGAAGGAAGGAAGGAAGGAAGGAAAGAAAAGGAAGGAAGGAAGGAAGGAAGAAAAGAAGGAAGGAAGGAAGGAAGAAAAGAAGGAAGGAAGGAAAGAAAGAAGGAAGGAAGGAAGGAAGGAAAGAAAAGGAAGGAAGGAAGGAAGGAAGGAAGGAAGGAAGGAAAGAAGGGAGAGAATTTTTTCTCTAAACCATGATCAAAAGATATTATCAACAGTCTCATTGTAACTCACTTTTATTCAGAATTTACTACATGCCAGGCACTGTGATAAGCTCCTTATAACACTATGAAGTAGTTATTATTATCCACATCTTATAAATAATGGAACTGAAGCATAGATAAGTTAAATTACCAGCCCACATTCATACAACTAAAAACCAAGCCAAGTATGAAGTCAATATTTCTCAAGAATTTGAACAAATTTTATACCTTCTAACTGTACAAAGTATAAAATATACATCTCTCAGATCACAACTGGAATCTGAAGATATTGATGAGGCTTTTATTTAGCTACCAGTCAGTCCCAACTGCCTAATTAAATATTAGGGAACTGGTTCACCCACATTCTCAATCGGTGTATGTCCCTTGGTTTGATTTATTTTAATCTTACTACGGATGATTTTTGCAAAATCATTTGATCTTAAGAAATGCATTGTTTTCATTTTGTTTTCAAAATATCTTAAGGAGTGCTTGTTTTATCTTAGAGCTATTCTCACTCCCTGATAGCTGGGGAGCAAGAGCAGCCACCTTGGAGCCAAAGATGAAAGTCATGTCTGGTGGTCCATAGGTTTATCTGACACTGTATTTGTAATAAGGCAGTACTTTGTTCATGCTATTATGTTTTGGAATTGGTTTTTTGGTTCCGAGAGTACTTTAGACTATCCCCTAATACAAAGCCCCTCAATGCTCAGTTCAAATGGCATCTGCTTTGTCCAGATTTCTACCTTCTTTAGTCATTTTTATCCTATGCTCTTTGTATCTGAAAATATTATTTAAGCATTTATAATCCTCTGGTTTTACTACAGTTATCTTAATTTAGTGTCTGTTTCTAATCTTAGAAGCCTTACCTAATGCTCTAGATTAAATTAGGTACCTCCAACTCCCATAAGAAATCTGGCACATAATAGGCACAGAGAAAATGTTTGTTGAATGAATAAATGATCTCCTTGAAGGTAGAAAATATGGACTACTTATATTTGCAGCCCATTAGTTGCTAAGCTCAGTGTCTGGCACATATTAGGTGGCCAATAAATGTAGAATGCAACAAACTCAGTTTGAATAAGATGAAATAGGATGAAATACAATATGGAGTGCTTAGAATATCGGTTCTGTGTAGAGCAGTAGGTAGATATTTGTGGTACAGAATGTCCTTACAAAAGGCTTACCTAGCAGTGTTTCTATGAGCAAATATTTTTAAATTCCTTTTCATCTGAGACACAATTGGTGCTAATAACAATAATCACATTAAAAGAGCCAAAGAGGAGTGGCTGTTACATAAATTCTAGGATTGGTCTTCATTTCTTTTCCTTTTTTTTTTCTCCTTTTTTGAGATGGAGTCTCACTCTGTTGCCCAGGGTAGAGTGCAGTGGCTCACTGAAACCTCTGCCTCCTGGGTTCAAGTGATTCTCCTGCCTCAGCCTCCCAAGTAGCTGGGATTATAGGTGCCTACCACCACGCCAAGCTAATTTTTGTATTTTTAGTAGAGATGGGGTTTCACCCTGTTGGCCAGGTTGGTCTTGAACTCCTGGCCTCTAGTGATCCATCCACCTTGGCCTCCCAAAGTGCTGAAATTACAGGCGTGAGCCACTGCACTTGGCCTGGTCTTCATTTCTTAGAAGCAGTTGTACACATATTTGTTTCAACTTGAACTCCCACACCCACCTTTCCATGGTCAAGCATTTGTGAGAATAATTTTTTTATTCATAAGCAAATTATATACTTATGTTATTAGGAAAATAGAATTTATGCCTATATCATAATTGAGGAAATAAATATGAGGGATACTTAAATATATAATGGTTTCTCAGTGATTTCTTACTATTGAAATTATAACAAAAGTCTCTTCACAAATATTTCCTGTGAGTAAAATTACCTAGAAATTGAAATAAATTTCTAGCATTCGCACAGTGCAAAAATGTCAAAAGATAGTACAATTGGAAAATTCACTTTCAGTGCCAAATAATTCCATAAACTTCCTTGTAATAAAATAAGTTTGATATTAAGTTTTCTAAATTTTCAAAATACAGTTGATCCTTGAGTAACATGGGTTTGAACTGTGTGAGTTATTGTACATGTGGATTTTCTTCCACCTCCACCACCCCTGAGACAGCAAGATCAACCCCTCCTCTTCCTCCTCCTCCTTCAGCTTACTCAACATGAAGAAGACAAGGATGAAAACCTTTATGATGATCCACGTCTACTTATAGTAAATGTATTTCCCTTCTTTGTGATTTTCTTAATAATATTTTCCTTTCTCTAGCTTACTTCATTGTAAGAATAGAGTATATTATATATTTAACATACAAATTTGTGTTAATAGATTGTTTATGCTGCCGGTAAGGCTTCCGGTCAACAGCAGGCTATTAGTAGTTATGTTTCAGGGAGTCAAAAGTCATACATGAGTTTTGGTGGGGGGTCAATACTCCTAACCCACATGTTATTCAAGGGTCAACTGTTTTCCATATTTTCTATAAATATTTAAATAGAAACAGAAGTTATCACAATTAAACACATATGCTGTATGTATCAACAGTGGATCAATTGATTTGATCAGCTATCCACAACATAACCTAATGATTTCCTCATGTCATCTATGACTTTCCTTTTATTGTCTGGATGGCATGTAATCAATGAATCTTTAATAAAGGCTGTCTTTGGGGACTTCCCCTCTCACTTACACCTTGGCACACAGAATCATAAGTTAAATTCTGTGCTCATTTTGCTTGCTTTTTTCCATTAAGAGCAATTATTCCACAGTGTGAAACAATGAATATTCAAGTGACTGGAAATCTGAATTTGTGAAACCATGTCTGAAGTTATGAACTGTTTTAAAATATTTCTATTTTTGCTGAAATTAGTGATACTGAACAAGTTGCTTTTTTTCAGACTTCCATAATTCTTTCAAAATTTATTTAGCAGGGGACTCAGGGAGGGAAGTTTCCTCAGGCTCCTGAAAAAAACCTCAGGCATGACTCTTGATTACTGCCTTAATAAAAAGGTGTACGGTCATTTAAAATGATCATGAATCTAAAATGTGTAATTCTCAGTCCTATATAATAATCAACATTGCAAAACTGATTGAAAGTTAAATCTTCCCCTATTCTGCAGCCAGGGCCTAATGGAGGCAAGAAGCCTGCACATAGTAGAAGATGCTGGGATTTGCTTCTTTCTCTCCTGGTGTCTCTTCCTGTCCCTCTTAACTAACAGCTTCTGATAGGAATAAAGAAGGGGTGGTGGAGCAGGAGGGCCCTTAGTTGATTGACACTGTCATAAATTGGCTCCATCCTTTCCCATCCTAAAAGATTTTCTCTTATTCAGAAAGATGCTCTCAACTTCCACTATTGGGGACCACTTACCTGCCCCTCTTTGACTTCAGCAAAGGTTATTCTGCTTCACGGTTCACTTACTCCTTCTGCAGCTGGAAGTCCCCTCAGGTTCTCTTCTTTTGAGGTCCTATTGACACTCCAGGAAAGCCCTTTAAGGCAGAACCTAAGAGGACCCAAGATGGTTCCTTGACATGTGGCCCATGGTGGTTGGTGGGAAAAACTCATGTATCCTTTTCCCCAACAAACTGAGAGAGCAAGTCACTCAGACTTTCCAACTCTCCTTTGATTAGTCCACCATTAGTTAACCTGATACATTTTCAAACATCAGCTCACTTTTTCCAACTTCTGGGGACACACATTGAGCTCCATTTTTATGCCTATAGGTTCTCAACGAGCTCAGTGCACTTCTATAACTTTGCACATCAGTTCTTAAAGCACCCAAGAAAATCCCAGGGCCACATTATGACTTTCATAAGGCCTATCTCCACAAAATTATATTAACAGTTGCATTTTTTGACTGTATTGGTAATAAAGATGAATATAACCCAAGCTGATTACATTCATTTTTTTTCCTTTGGACTTACAAAATGAAAATATCTTAATAATTCCCTAAGAGTACCATGGACTCCCGGCACCATGGCTACTGGGTCTCGTGGAGAAGCCAGCCCTGAGTGAGCCTCCATAAATATAACCAGCATGTTGACAAGTGAGACACATGCGGATGCTACAACAACACGACTTTATTTTTGTGGTTTTTTGTGTTTTTTTTTTTGAGACGGAGTTTTGCTCTTGTCGCCCAGGCTGGAGTGCAGTGGCGTGATCTCAGCTCACTGCAACCTCCACCTCCCAGGTTCAAGTGATTCTCTTGCCTCAGCTTCCCGAGTAGCTGGGATTACAGGCACGCACCACAAAGCCCGGCTAATTTTTTTTTGTATTTTTAGTAGAGATGCGGTTTCACCATGTTGGTCAGGCTGGTCTCGAACTCCTGACCTCAGGTGATTTGCCCACCTTGGCCTCCCAAATTGCTGGGATTACAGGCATGAGCCACCGCTCCCGGCCTTTATTTTTGTTTTATTCCATTAATAATTTATTGAGCACCTACAAGATACTAGGCACCATAATATTAAATACAACAAACACCTGAGTTTTCAACATTTGAATGTTCTAAGTCAAATAGGCAATGTAACAATAGTGAAAATAGTAACAGGGCAATGGTGCTAAAAAAAAAATAGAAAAAGAAATCAGAAATAATTAAACTAGTTTATAACTTCTTCTCTTTCCTGTGCCAACTTCTAGTTAGGGAACATGTGCACACTTTGGTTTGTTTCCCTTTCACATCAGCAATGAGTATTATTTTGTTCACTTGGATTGGGAGTTACCTGGTTTGGATCTTTGCAGCATCTGTGAACTTTGGCCAGGTTTGCTAGAGTCTGTGTTTCTAGAATCAATTTTTTCACTTGTAGAAAAAATTTAGGAGAGATGATGTTTAATACTCTTCCTGCTCTATAGCAAATAAGGGAAGTGAGGTAAAACGCAATATTAAATATTGATGCATCCACTTTAAATCCATTAAGTGGACATGGACTATATGTCTAAATATCATTTCTTAAAACAAATGAAAAATCTCATTCATTCAATAATGGTTTATTGAATGTCTACTCAACATAAACACTTCACTAGGTATTAGGACAACAGTGGTGATATTCACAGCCCACATGGAATGTGAAAGTCTAGTGATGAATAAATTTTCCTGCTTCCTACATTCTAGTGTATGGAACATTATGAAAGCATATATTTTTATTACTAGAAAATAAAACTTGTCCTTATATTGTTTCTTAAAGCTAAAGAAGGAGGAAAGGTTTTGTTTGTTTTTGTTAATGTATATCTTTTGTTAAAAGGTATACATTTCAAACTTAAAGAATGCCATTGACTGGGCGCAGTGGCTCACGCCTGTAATCCCAACATTTTGGGAAGTTGAGGCAGGTGGATCACTTGAGGTCAGGAATTCGAGACCAGCCTGGCCAACATGGTGAAATCCCGTCTCTACTAAAAATACAAAAATTAGCTAGGCATGGTGGCAGTTGCCTGTAATGTCAGCCACTCGGGAGGCTGAGGCAGAAGAATCACTTGAGCCTGGGAGGCGGAGTTTGCATTGAGCCAAGATTGTGCCACTGCACTCCATCCTGGGCCACAGATTGAGACTCCATCTCAGAAAAAAAAAAAAAAAAAAAAAAAAAAGAATGTCATTAGAAACCAAATTGCCACTAATACTGTATACTTAAAAACACATTTAAATTATTTCTATAGTTTTGAAAGACTCATATATCTTCTTTCTTGGAAGAAATGTGTTCAATCAAAAGCCAGTAATGTGCCTGCACGCTACAGAATTTTAAACTGTTTTTTATTTTCTTTTAGAGAGCAAGGGCTATTCTCATAGGGTAGAACTGAGTGATATGGTTCGGCTGTGTCCCCACCTAAATCTCATTTTAATCCCCATAATCCCCACGTGTCAAGGGCGGGACCAGGTGGAAGCAATTGAATCATGGCTCCCCCATGATTCTGAGAATCAGCTGTTTCCCCCATGCTGTTATCGTGATAGTGAGTCTCGGGAGATCTGACGGTTTTATAAGCGTCTGGAATTTCCCCGGCTTGCCCTCACTCCGTCCTTCCACCCTGTGAGGAAAGTGCCTGCCTCTCCTTTGCCTTCCGCTACGATTGTAAGTTTCCTGAGGCCTCCACAGCCATGCAGAACTGTGAGTCAATTGAACCTCTTTCCTTTATAAATTACCCAGTCTGGGGTATTTCCTCATAGCAGTGTGAGAACTAACTAATATACCGAATTTCTGTTGAATGTCAGGCTACCACTTACTTCACGGAAAACAAAAATATTAGGCCCTATTGAACATTTAGTTCTGGAGACACAATTTTAAAAATACACACATATGCCTGCTATGTGCTGATAGGAGTTGTTTCCGTTTATAATAAAATTGCCCTTCATATAGAGCACTTTCTCTCTTAAAAGCTCGAGGAGTTTCTCTGCATGCTTAATAGATATGTGCATCTCTATTTGAAATGATTTTTTTCAAACAGGCTTGTAAGAGTGCCTTTCAGGTATATTATTGTTTCGCTTAAATTCAGGCATCATATTCATCACCGATCTGCTAATCTTTTCACTGTTTCTTTGGCAGATTACTGAGCTTCTTCACTTTTTTTAATCTACCCAATATCAGATAGAATCTTTACCTATATTTTTCTCAATGTATGGAACCCCTGGGTTCTTTACCCTCAGGCAGCAAATCCATGCTATACATTCTGAACTATGTGGAGTTTTATATACACTAATCACAAGAAGACATAGAACAGCAGAATCACCGGAGCCTGGGCTTTGTGGAGACAGAAAGACCCAGACTTAGGCCTTAGATGACATGTAAGGGCTGTGTGACTTTGGGTAAATTACTTAGTCCCTCTCTGTGTCAGTTGCCTTGTTTGTAATATTGGGATGTATTAATAGCCAGTATTGTGATTGTTCAAAGATGTGGCAGTTTTGAAACACGGCCCCAAAATTGTATGACACTTCCCATCAGGAAGTGCAGCTGATTTCTTTTCCTATTTAATCTGGGCTCTGTGACTACTTCACCAATGGCATATCTTGGGCAGTTTCTAGGCTCTTAAGAAATGGCAGCTCCCACTTGCTATATCTTAAGATGCTTTTTCTAGGAAACCCACTGCACAGCCAGGGTAAGAAGAAGTCCTAGATGCTCATGGTGAAACCAGGAAAAGTATCTGGTGCCCTTGCCCTCAGCTGTGGCCAAGCTACTGGCTGGCAGCCAGCACCAACTCACCAACTTTGGAAGTGTGACTTCTTGGAAATGGATCCTCTATCCTTGGTAAAGCTGCCCCAACTGACACCATGTGGAACAGACGTGAGCCTCCTCTGTTGATTGCTGCCCAAAATTCATGAGCTAAATAAATGACTGTTGTTGTGTTCAGTCACTAAGTTTTAGAACGGTTCATTATGCAGCAATTTTAATTGGCATAAAGATTAAATGAGATAACCTATGTAAAGTGCTCACACAATTCCAGTACACAGTAAGCACTTAAAAAAGTATCATCTGGCAGGGAAAACCATGAAAAGGATATTACACTTTGGGGAATGTGAAGGCTAAAGAATCTTTGAGATCATCTAGGTGAGAGATGACCAACTGGTGGTCCAAGTGGCTGACAGATGTATTTTGCTTGGCTCATACAGTGTTTTCCAAAAAATTGAACAAACATTTATAAATATGGATACATCTCATGAAAATGCAGACTTCCAGCTTCTCCCCTTAAAAAGGACTGCATATTTGGCAAAACTAAGTCCGTGTTCCCATCAGGAGCTGCAGCTATGTAAGGCTGCCCTCTTCATGTAAACATTCACTCAAGTTTACTCCATCTCCAGCCTAACACATTCAGAGGTAGCCAATCCTTCAATTTGTATTTATTGTCTGGCCACTGTAAGCATTTGACTTTTCAGTCTCTTCTCTTATCCAATTTTATTAGTATGCAAATAAACAAATGGAGACCCAGAGAAAAGAGAAGGTGTATTGCAGTCAAACCTGCCTTGGGTCAGATCTTCTGACTGTGAGCCCAACATAAGTGTTACCATTGGAGTTACGGTGGTCTCTAACTCAGCTAGGCAATCCATATCATTTGTAGTGAACCTTGTGTCTGTGCTTCCTTGGATATACTTGGACCTACTTGGCTCTGGACTTTGGCTGCTTGGCCACTGTCTCCATACATTGGTGGCTGCCTCTGTCTTCTGTGGGACTAGGGCTGGGCTTTGGCACGGTCCCCATCACTCTTGCCACAGGGAGGACCACAGCACTCAGTCCACCTAAGTGGACTCACATTTCCACCACTGTTGGGCCCAGGTAACACCCTGCCCTGTGGAAAGTAGGATCTATTCTCACCATCAGTGTCCTGGAAGGATACAGTATCACAGTCTAGAAGTGCAGGGGAGTTAATGCCTTATGGAGCAAAATTTGACCAGGAAAAAAGACAAAGGAAGAAGCCACTAGATAACTTCCTCATGGTTTCTCTCCCTACCACTCCCAAGCACATTGGGCCTCAGAGCAATGATTCTTTTTGTCTCTCAAGAAAAGCCTTGCATGACCAACCAACCAGCTGTGCTTTCTGGCAAGCTGTGGCCAGCATGGTCATGTATCACTTTGTATTTGCTTTTCCACCTATTTCTTCCTCACTTCCCTTTCCCCACTGTTCCAGTCCTAAAATTGCATACCCCAATTCAGCGGTGGCATGTAAATTTTGCCTCAGGCTTTGCATTCTAGAAAACTTAGGTTGAGTAACCATCCTTGTAAAATGGTTTTTTTTTTGTCCTTAAGAAACAACTCTCTAAAAATGAAAACTGTAATGGTAAATCCCTAATAGAAGTCATGAGTTTGTTTTTTTTTTTATTATACTTAAAGTTTTAGGGTACATGTGCACAACGTGCAAGTTTGTTACATATGTATACATGTGCCATGTTGGTATGCTGCACCCATTAACTCATCATTTAACATTAGGTATATCTCCTAATGCTATCCCTCCACTCTCCCCCCACCCCACGACAGTCCCCGGTGTGTGATGTTCCCCTTCCTATGTCCTTGTGTTCTCATTGTTCAATTCCCACCTATGAGTGAGAACATGTGGTGTTTGGTTTTTTGTCCTTGCGATAGTTTGCTCAGAATGATGGTTTGTTTTACTATTATTATTATTATTATTATTATTATACTTTAAGTTTTAGGGTACATATGCACGATGTGCAGGTTAGTTACATATGTATACATGTGCCATGCTGGTGTGCTGCACCCATTAACTCGTCATTTAACATTAGGTATATCTCCTAATGCTATCCCTCCCCCCTCCCCCCACCCCATGACAGTCCCCAGAGTGTGATGTTCCCCTTCCTGTGTCCATGTGTTCTCATTGTTCAATTCCCAGCTATGAGTGAGAATATGCGGTGTTTGGTTTTTTGTTCTTGCAATAGTTTACTGAGAATGATGATTTCCAATTTCATCCATGTCCCTACAAAGGACATGAACTCATCATTTTTTATGGCTGCATAGTATCCCATGGTGTATATGTGCCACATTTTCTTAATCCTGTCTATCATTGTTGGACATTTGGCTTGGTTCCAACTCTTTGTTATTGTGAATAGTGCCGCAATAAACATACATGTGCATGTGTCTTTACAGCAGCATGGTTTATAGTCCTTTGGGTATATACCCAGTAATGGGATGGCTGGGTCAAATGGTATTTCTAGTTCTAAAGCCCTGAGGAATCACCACACTGACTTCCACAATGGTTGAACGAGTTTGCAGTCCCACCAACAGTGTAAAAGTGTTCCTATTTCTCCACATCCTCTCCAGCACCTGTTGTTTCCTGGCTTTTTA
Organism: Homo sapiens; assembly: GCF_000001405.40. Lineage (NCBI taxonomy): Eukaryota > Metazoa > Chordata > Mammalia > Primates > Hominidae > Homo > Homo sapiens. The sequence continues at coordinate 63,261,048 of NC_000003.12, read as the reverse complement.
ATGATCACCATTCTAAGTGGTGTGAGATGGTATCTCATTGTGGTTTTGATTTGCATTTCTCAGATGGCCAGTGATGATGAGCATTTTTTCATATGTCTTTTGGCTGCATAAATGTCTTCTTTTGAGAAGTGTCTGTTCATATCTTTCACCTACTTTTGATGGTTTTTTTTTTTCTTGTAAATTTGTTTGAGTTCATTGTAGATTCTGGATATTAGCCCTTTGTCAGATGAGTAGATTGCAAAAATTTTCTCCCATTCTGTAGGTTGCCTGTTCACTCTGATGGTAGTTTCTTTTGCTGTGCAGAAGCTCTTTAGTTTAATTAGATCCCATTTGTCAATTTTGGCTTTTGTTGCCATTGCTTTTGGTGTTTTAGACATGAAGTCTTTGCCCATGCCTATGTCCTGAATGGTATTGCCTAGGTTTTCTTCTAGGGTTTTTATGGTTTTAGATCTAACATTTAAGTCTTTAATCCATCTTGAATTACTTTTTGTATAAGGTGTAAGGAAGGGATCCAGTTTCAGCTTTCTACATAATGGCTAGCCAGTTTTCCCAGCACCATTTATTAAATAAAGAATCTTTTCCCCATTTCTTGTTTTGTCAGGTTTGTCAAAGATCAGATGGTTGTAGATATGTGGCGTTATTTCTGGGGGCTCTGTTCTGTTCCATTGGTCTATATCTCTGTTTTGGTACCAGTACCATGCTGTTTTGGTTACTGTGGCCTTGTAGTATAGTTTGATGTCAGGTAGCGTGATGCCTCCAGCTTTGTTCTTTTGGCTTAGGATTGACTTGGCGATGCGGGCTCGTTTTTGGTTCCATATGAACTTCAAAGTAGTTTTTTCCAATTCTGTGAAGAAAGTCATTGGTAGCTTGATGGAGATTGCATTGAATCTATAAATTACCTTGGGCAGTATGGCCATTTTCACAATGTTGATTCTTCCTACCCATGAGCATGGAATGTTCTTCCATTTGTTTGTATCCTCTTTTATTTCATTGAGCAGTGGTTTGTGGTTCTCCTTGAAGAGGTCCTTCGCGTCCCTTGTAAGTTGGATTCCTAGGTATTTTATTCTCTTTGAAGAAATTGTGAATGAGAGTTCACTCATGATTTGGCTCTCTGTCTGTTATTGGTGTATAAGAATGCTTGTGATTTTCACACATTGATTTTGTATCCTGAGACTTTGCTGAAGTTGTCTATCACCTTAAGGAGATTCTGGGCTGAGACGATGGGGTTTTCTAGATATACAATCATGTCATCGGCAAACAGGGACAATTTGACTTCCTCTTTTCCTAATTGAATATCCTTTATTTCCTTCTCTTGCCTGATTGCCCTGGCCAGAACTTCCAACACTATGTTGAATAGGAGTGGTGAGAGAGGGCATCCCTGTCTTGTACCAGTTTTCAAAGGGAATTCTTCCAGTTTTTGCCCATTCAGTATGACATTGGCTGTGGGTTTGTCATAGATAGCTCTTATTATTTTGAGATACGTCCCATCAATACCTAATTTATTGAGAGTTTTTAGCATGAAGGGCTGTTGAATTTTGTCAAAGGCCTTTTCTGCATCTATTGAGATAATCATGTGGTTTTTGTCTTTGGTTCTGTTTATATGCTGGATTACTGTTATTGATTCGTGTATGTTGAGCCAGCCTTGCATCCCAGGGATGAAGCCCACTTGATCATGGTGGATAAGCTTTTTGATGTGCTGCTGGATTCGGTGTGTCAGTATTTTATTGAGGATTTTTGCATCGATGTTCATCAGGGATATTGGTCTAAAATTCTCTTTTTTTTGTTGAGTCTCTGCCATGCTTTGGTATCAGGATGATGCTGGCCTCATAAAATGAGTTAGGGAGGATTCCGTCTTTTTCTGTTGGTTGGAATAGTTTCAGAAGGAATGGTATCAGCTCTTCCTTGTACCTCTGGTAGAATTCAGCTGTGAATCCATCTGGTCCTGGATTTTTTTTGTTGGTAAGATATTAATTATTGCCTCAATGTCAGAGCCTGTTATTGGTGTATTCAGAGATTCAGCTTCTTCCTGGTTTAGTCTTGGGAGGGTGTATGTGTCCAGGAATTTATCCATTTCTTCTAGATTTTCTAGTTTATTTGCATAGAGGTGTTTATAGTATTCTCTGATGGTAGTTTGTATTTCTGTGAGATCAGTGGTGATATCCCCTTTATCATTTTTTATTGCATCTATTTGATTCTTCTCTCTTTTCTTCTTTATTAGTCTTGCTAGCGGTCTATCAATTTTGATGATCTTTTCAAAAAACCAGCTCCTGGATTCATTGATTTTTTTGAAGGATGTTTTGTGTCTCTATTTCCTTCAGTTCTGCTCTGATCTTAGTTATTTCTTGCCTTCTGCTAGCTTTTGAATGTGTTTGCTCTTGCTTTTCTAGTTCTTTTAATTGTGATGTTAGGGTGTCAATTTTAGATCTTTCCTGCTTTCTCTTGTGGGCATTTACTGCTATAAATTTCCCTCTACGCACTGCTTTGAATATGCCCCAGAGATTCTGGTATGTTGTGTCTTTGTTCTCATTCGTTTCAAAGAACATCTTTATTTCTGCCTTCATTTCGGTATGTACCCAGTAGTCATTCAGGAGTAGGTTGTTCAGTTTCCATGTAGTTGAGTGGTTTTGAGTGAGTTTCTTAATCCTGAGTTCTAGTTTGATCGCACTGTGGTCTGAGAGACAGTTTGTCATAATTTCTGTTCTTTTACATTTGCTGAGGAGTGCTTTACTTCCAACTATGTGGTCAGTTTTGGAATAGGTGTGGTGTGGTGCTTAAAAGAATGTATATTCTGTTGAATTGGGGTGGAGAGTTCTGTAGATGTCTATTAGGTCCGCTTGGTGCAGAGCTGAGTTCAATTCCTGGATATCCTTGTTAACTTTCTGTCTTGTTGATCTGTCTAATGTTGACAGTGGGGTGTTAAAGTCTCCCATTATTATTGTGTGGGAGTCTAAGTCTCTTTCTAGGTCTCTAAGGACTTGCTTTATGGATCTGGGTGCTCCTGTATTGGGTGCATATATATTTAGGATAGTTAGCTCTTCTTGTTGAATTGATCCCTTTACCATTATGTAATGGCCTTCTTCGTCTCTTTTGATCTTTGTTGGTTTAAAGTATGTTTTTTATCAGAGATTAGGATTGCAACCCCTGCCTTTTTTTGTTTTCCATTTGCTTGGTAGATCTTCCTCCATCCCTTTATTTTAAGCCTATGTGTGTCTCTGCACGTGAGATGGGTTTTCTGAATACAGCACACTGATGGGTCTTGACTCTTTATCCAATTTACCAGTCTGTGTCTTTTAATTGGAGCATTTAGCCCATTTACATTTAAGGTTAATATTGTTATGTGTGAATTTGATCCTGTCATTATGATGTTAGCTGGTTATTTTGCTCATTAGTTGATGCAGTTTCTTCCTAGCCTCAATGGTCTTTACAATTTGGCATGTTTTTGCAGTGGCTGTTACTGGTTGTTCCTTTCCATGTTTAGTGCTTCCTTCAGGAGCTCTTTTAGGGCAGGCCTGGTGGTGACAAAATCTCTCAGCATTTGCTTGTCTGTAAAGGATTTTATTTCTCCTTCACTTATGAAGTTTAGTTTGGCTGGATATGAAATTCTGGGTTGAAAATTCTTTTCTTTAAGAATGTTGAATATTGGCCTCCTCTTTCGTCTGGCTTGTAGAGTTTCTGCTGAGATATCTGCTGTTAGTCTGGTAGGCTTCCCTTTGTGGGTAACCCGACCTTTCTCTCTGGCTGCCCTTAACATTTTTTCCTTCATTTCAACTTTGGTGAATCTGACAATTATGTGTCTTGGAGTTACTCTTCTCGAGGAGTATCTTTGTGGCATTCTCTATATTTCCTCAATTTGAATTTTGGCCTGCCTTGCTAGACTGGGGAAGTTCTCCTGGATAATATCCTGCAGAGTGTTTTAACTTGGTTCCATTCTCCTCATCACTTTCAGGTACACCAATCAGATATAGATTTGGTCTTTTCACATAGTCCCATATTTCTTGGAGGCCTTTGTTCATTTCTTTTTATTCTTTTTTCTCTAAAGTTTTCTTCTCACTTCATTTCATTCATTTGATCTTCCATCACTGATACCCTTTCTTCCAGTTGATCGAATTGGCTGCTGAGGCTTGTGCATTCGTCACGTAGTTCTCGTGCCGTGGTTTTCAGCTCCATCAGGTCCTTTAAGGACTTCTCTGCATTGGTTATTCTAGTTAGCCATTCGTCTAATTTTTTTTCAATGTTTTTAACTTCTTTGCCATGGGTTCGAACTTCTTCCTTTAGCTCAGAGTAGTTTGATCATCTGAAGCCTTCTTCTCTCAACTCGTCAAAGTCATTCTCTGTCCAGCTTTGTTCTGTTGCTGGTGAGGAGCTGCGTTCCTTTGGAGAAGGAGAGGTGCTCTGATTTTTAGAGTTTCCAATTTTTCTGCTCTGTTTTTTCTCCATCTTTGTGGTTTTATCTACATTTGGTCTTTGATGATGGTGACATACAGATGGGGTTTTGGTGTGGATGTCCTTTCTGTTTGTTAGTTTTCCTTCTAACAGTCAGGACCCTCAGCTGCGGGTCTGTTGGAGTTTGCTGGAGATCCACTCCAGACCCTGTTTGCCTGGGTATCAGCAGCAGAGGCTGCAGAACAGCGGATATTGGTGAACAGCAAATGTTGCTGCCTGATCCTTCCTCTGGAAGTTTTGTCTCAGAGGAGTACCCGGCCATGTGAGGTGTCAGTCTGCCCCTACTGGGGGGTGCCTCCCAGTTAGGCTACTCGGGGGTCATGGACACACTTGAGGAGGCAGTCTGTCCGTTCTGATATCTCCAGCTGCGTGCTGGGAGAACCACTGCTCTCTTCAAAGCTGTCAGACAGGGACATTTAAGTCTACAGAGGTTTCTGCTGCCTTTTGTTTCGCTATGCCCTGCCCCCAGAGGTGGAGCCTACAGAGGCAGGCAGGCTTCCTTGAGCTGCGGTGGGCTCCACCCAGTTGGAGCTTCCTGGCTGCTTTGTTTACCTACTCAAGCCTTGGCAATGGCGGGCGCCCCTCCCCCAGCCTTGCTGCTGCCTTGCAGTTTGATCTCAGACTGCTGTGCTAGCAATGAGTGAGGCTCAATGGGCGTAGGACCCTCTGAGCTAGGCGCGGCATATAGTCTCCTGGTGTGCCGTTTGCTAACACCATTGGAAAAGTGCAGTATTAGGGTGGGAGTGACCCGGTTTTCCAGGTGCCATCTGTCACCCCTTTTTTTGACTAGGAAAGGGAATTCCCTGACCCCTTGCACTTCCTGCTCACACTCGGTGCACTGCACCCACTGTCCTTCACCCACTGTCTGACACTTCCCATTGAGATGAACCTGGTACCTCAGTTGGGAATGCAGAAATCACCCATCTTCTGCGTCGCTCACACTGGGAGCTGTAGACTGGAGCTGTTCCTATTTGGCCATCTTGGCTCCTCCTCAAGTCATGAGTTATTAATCTCACCTCTGCCACTGATGGAATGAATGATAGCAAATGATTATTTAACTAAGTTACTTCACATTTTGCCCATCTAAAAAGTGAAAGGGAGTATCATAAATCAGTATTACTCAGCCTTTTTTCCTTCACAGCATACATAAAATTTGTATTTGTGTAGTACCTTGGCATAACTGGTTCAAGGCCTGACATGGCAGGCCCAGGGATACCGTCTTTCTAGGCTATTCAGGCTAAAGGATCATCAATATCTTAGTACATCTGCCACCCAATCATTATGTCCCAGAGTGTTGTGGCAGGGTTGAAAGCTGGAAATTTTCAAGTTTTTTGACAGCAACACACAATGAGAAACTCACTTAAATATTATTAGCAGTACAATCAGATATGTCTAGGTGATGGTTCTCAAGCTGGAGGTTATTTGACCGCCTCCCCAGGAGAATTTTTGGTAATGTCTGGAGAGATGTTTGTTTGTCACGACAGGGGAAGGTGTGCTACTATCACCCAGTGGGTAAAAACCAACAAGGGCTGCCATAACAAAGTACCATGGACTGGTGATCTTGAACAGAAATGTATTTTCTCGCTGTTGTGAAGGCTGCAAGTCCAAGATCAAGGTGTCTAAAGGCAGGTTTCTTTTGAGGCCTCTCTCCTTGGCCTCTTCCATGGATGGCCATCTTCTCCCTGTGTCTTCACATGATCTTCCCTCTGTTCCTGTCTGGGCCATTCTTATAAGAAGACCATTTATATTGGATTAGGGCCCACCCTAATGCTTTCATTATAACTTAATTATATGTAAATTATACATAACTTAATTACCTCTTTAAAGACTCTGTGTCCAAATACATTCCAAGGTACTAGGGATTAGGACTCCAACGTACAAATTTTGGAGGAACACAATTCGGCCCATAGTACCAAGGATGCTGCTAAACGTCCTATAATGCATATGACAGACCCCCTTCCCCACCAATCATATACACAATAAAAAATTATCTGGCTTGAAATTCCCACAATTGCAAGACCCTTGTCTAAAACCTTGGTCTAACACGTACTCAGTGCTCAATAAATTTTCACTAAATACATAATATATCATAAAATTGTTTAACTGAAACAATTTTGATAAAATAATAGTGCAGCAGCTTATGATGTAGTCTGTTATTTTCTCTTCTAATTTTTTAATGTTGGTTGCAACTACTAAATTGATCTCACGACGTACTAGTAGATCTTGACCTACAGTTTTAAAAGTGCTGATTTAAAGTATTAACCAGCTTTAAAATGTTTTTTTAATTATTATACTTTAAGTTTTAGGGTACATGTGCACAACGTACAGGTTTGTTACATATGTATACATGTGCCATGTTGTTGTGCTGCACCCATTATCTCGTCATTTAACATTAGGTATATCTCCTAATGCTATCCCTTCCCTCTCCCCCCACCCCACAACACGCCCCGGTGTGTGATGTTCCCCTTCCTGTGTCCATGTGTTCTCATTGTTCAATTCCCACCTATGAGTGAGAACATGCGGTGTTTGGTTTTTTTGTCCTTGCGATAGTTTGCTGAGAATGATGGTTTCCAGCTTCATCCATGTCCCTACAAAGGACAGGAACTCATCATTTTTTATGGCTTCATAGTATTCCATGGTGTATATGTGCCACATTTTCTTAATCCAGTCTATCATTGTTGGACATTTGGGTTGGTTCCAAGTCTTTGCTATTGTGAATAGTGCCGCAATAAACATACATATGCATGTGTCTTTACAGTAGCATGTTTTATAATCCTTTGGGTATATACTCAGTAATGAGATGGCTGGGTCAAATGGTATTTCTAGTTCTAGATCCCTGAGGAATCGCCACACTGACTTCCACAATGATTGAACTAGTTTACAGTCCCACCAACAGTGTAAAAGTGTTCTTATTTCTCCACATCCTCTCCAGCACCTGTAGTTTCCTGACTTTTTAATGATCGCCATTCTAACTGGTGTGAGATGGTATCTCATTGTGATTTTGATTTGCATTTCTCTGATGGCCAGTGATGATAAGCATTTTTTCATGTATCTTTTATTTAAAAATCTTATACATCAATATTTTTAAACAAATACAATATATAGAATGCTGCTATAAATCAGTTAGGCTTATTTTTAACAGACTAGGATTTATTCATCAAAATTATTATTTCAAGGTAGTCTTTAGGAAGGCAATGCAGTTGTCCAAATGATGCTACAGTTGTTTAAAACATTCAAGAGTTTGTTTTGGAGGATATGACATTGTTTCCTTCAGAGCTTGGAGAACAATCATGTTTTGTAGTTACTATATATGTATTTTTTTTTACTGTGAATTTATTATCCAAATTGAGTGACTTTCTTATTTACCATACTTGACTCTAAATGGCCTTTAGCTGCTATTAAAATTTAAATCCACCCTCAAATGGTGATTATTTGGCATCTGAACATTCAAAAGAATGTGCCATAAACTCTAAAAACAGTTCTATAAATGGACTTGCCAAATATTTTCAGTGGTTTAGAATAACTGAAAAAGAAAAATGGAACTATTCTTTTTTTTTTTTTTTTTCTGAGACAGAGTCTCACTCTGTCACCCAGGCTGGAGTGCAGTCACATAATCTCAGCTCACTGCAACCTCCACCTCCCCATTTCAAGCAATCCTCCCACCTCAGCCTCCCAAGTAGCTGGGACTACAGGCGAGCGCTACCATGCCTGGATAATTTTTGTATTTTTAGTAGAGACAGTTTCACCATGTTGGCCAGGCTGGTCTTGAACTCCTGACCTCAGGTGATCTGCCCTCCTCAGCCACCCAACGTGCTAAGATTACAGGCATGAGCCCCTGTGCCCAGCCTGAATGGAACCATTCTTATCTGCATATATAAATTCTGGTGATTTGCTCAGTGTCCATTAACTGCATGCATGACCATATGCTAGGGGGTATGAAAACGCAGGATTTTGTGCAGCTTTTCAAATCATGCCTCCTTGTTCTGTTATCAGCACATTTTTAGAAATGTTTTCTGTACCTTTGTGGTGAGAGAAGTTGCATGTCCACGCTTACAGGAATGATGAAGGAAAGTTTTCCTTAAAGGCGCAGTGTAACACTCTTTGTAACTGAAAAAAGAAAACGAAATTAATTCTCTCTGGCAGATTTATGCTACAGCCAAAAAATATTTAAGACACAATGTTTTCATCCTTTATTCTGAAATTATAGAAATAAATGCTTCATAAATGGAATTCAAATTCAATGTAATGGATCACTAAACATGATGTAAAGACAAGAAGGATATTTTATTATGTATTATAAAAGGAATACGTGATTTTAGTTTATAAGAAACCTTTATAAAATAATATGAAATGAAACATCTCAGTCTCTAGAGAAATTCACAGTTGACTGTGTCATTCATATCCTTGAAACATTTAGAACACATAGCATTTTTCTGCAAATAGAATACACATTATTCAAATTGTTCTTCACCTTGTCTTTTTTAATTTAAAATTTATCTTGCAGATCTTTTATATCAGAGTATATTTACTTGCCTCTTTATTTTTAATAGATACATAATACTCCATGGTACCCCCATACCATGGAGTATTATGTATCTATTAAATTGATAGAGACTATCTCATTTCACTAACTCAAGTATGGAAGACATTTAATTGCCTTTATTTTTCTTTTACTCAACCTGATTTTATCTTAGGATTCTATTCTCCTGAGTAGTCAAAACGTGATCTGTGTGAGTTCAGGGTTTTCCTTCATGGCATTTGTCTGAGTTACCTGAGGTTTATATAGAACAGAGGGTATAGGGCATGAGTATGGCATCTTCTCCTTGGTTGTTGTCTTTCCAAGCAGACGGATGCAGAGGTGTGTATTGTCCTATCTGGTCCTCGGTCACTGATTACGTAGATCTTTGCTGATCATCCCGGGATCGCATTTCAGTCCTGTCAGAACCTGCAGATCTCTTTGATATGTCTACGTTGCTCTCAGACACAGGGAATTACTCTGCCATGCTGGATTTGGGGGAAATCTTGCAAGCTCTGTCAGATTTTAGTTACACCACACAGCTCTTCCTACTCTATTCTTTCAGCATTATGTCAGGACACTGCCAAAATTGTGGATCTTGTCATTTTCCAGGCAAAAACAAGAAGCAAGTTTTCTTTTCTCTCAGACTTCATTACCTCCCACTCTTGAACCCCTGAATTCAGTCTTAAATTGAAGGCTCCTTTCTGGGGCACATATATGCTTTCCTTCTAACTCCTCTTCTCCCAACCCAGGGATTTTTTTTTTGATACCAGGATTATTTTTTTATTTAGCAATATGTCTTAGAGACTTTTTCGTGGCAGGACAATAAATCTGTCCCCATCTTTTGGGCAGCTGCTTAATATTCTATTGTGTGGAATTTCATGCATATTTATTTCTTCTTTCGTCCTTCAATTTCCTTGTTTTATTTTTGCTTTCTTTAATTTTTTTCTCTGAACGAAACAATATAGATGCAGAAAATGTACCCAGTAGTACAAAGTTCAAAATATGTGAAATAAAAAGTAAATTTTTCCTTTCTGTCCCACTCCCCAGAGACCACAACTTTTAACAGTTTCTTATTTTTGTTCTTTTGGTGGTTTCTATTGTAATTTTAAGTGTTATGCTTCTATTTACTTTTAAGTCTTTATCAAAATACTAGTTTCCATAGCTAAAAAAAAGAAAACAGCCAAAAAAATACTTATAATGAGTAACATTAATTTAATGGGTCCATAGGATGGATCAGAAGCTTAAACACATGCTCAGCACATCATCTTGAACCAAAAGTCTGAGTAGGCAGGTTGACATCATGGTTAACGTGAACTCTACAGGCAGTCTGAGTTGTAATTCTGGCTCTGTCACTTTCTGACTGTGCAGTCTTGGTCTCTGTGAGACTCATTTTCCTCATCTTTAAATTTAAGCTAAAATCATACCTAGCTTATAGAGTTTTCCTCAATTAAAGAAAATGTTTTGTGTAAAATACACCAAAATTTGGATTCCACTTATGGCACCTACTAACCACATGTTGACCATGTCACCTTAGACTTGTTCTCAGACATCATTAAAACTGGGACTCGTAAGAGCTCTCTCCCAAAAAGTTGTGTGAGGATTCCCTTAATGAAATATGGATATGTAAAAGTGCCTGGTATATAGCAGGCACTTCAGAAAGGCTAGTTTCTATTTTTCAGTCCTGTTAGGAATGAATAATTGCCCCAGGCGTGGAGATCTTGGATAATTTTATTTTTATTTTATTTTATTTTATTTATTTTCCTTGTATTTTTAGTTGACATGTAATAATTGTACATATGCATGAGATACTGACTGGTATTTTGATACATGTATATCAAACCAGAGCAATTAGCATATCCATTACCTCAAACATTTACAATTCCTTTGTGGTCTGAACATTCATAATTCTTTCTTCCAGCTTTTTTGAAAATATACAATGATTTATGGTTAGCCATATTTATCCTACAATGCTATAGAACCCTAGAACCTATTCCTCCCAGCTATATGTAATTTTGTATCTGTTAACTAACTTCTCCCTATTCTCCCCTCTTCCTTACCCTTCTGGGCCAGGGAATTTTTAATCCATGGTTGCAGGTAGGTAAGTTTCTCTTATTCACTGTTCAAGCTTCCAAATATTTTCTTGATGTCAGAGTCTAGGCTTTTGGAACTCAAAAGCCAGACATTCTCTATTTATGTGTTATTTGCATTCTGCTGTGTCATTCATCCCCCAAAGCAAGGCATGCAATCAATATACCAGCTGAAAAAAATTCAAGCAAAAAATAAAAAAGCTGACATTACAGAATGTTACCTTATTACACGTATATATGTCCTATTTATGATTCCCTACAGGAAGTCACTTATGTTGTTTCCATTTTTGTTGTAATTATTTTTCCATAAGTTATTGGGGTACAGGTGGTATTTGGTTACATGAGTAAGTTCTTCAGAGGTGATCTGTGAGATTTTGTTGTGCCCATCACCCGAGCAGTGTACACTGCACATATCTGTAGTCTTTTATCCCTCGCCCCCTCCCACTCTTTCTTCTAATTCCCCAAAGTCCATTGTATTATTCTTATACCTTTGCATCCTCATAGCTTAGCTCCAATTAACATCCTTGCCCACATAGCTTAAGAATTTATGTAAGAATATAGACAATAAAAATCCTAGCATTGGAATTCCTGGGACAAAGGGTAAGTGTTTTTAAAATATTGATGAATATCACCACATCTCCCCTTCAAAAAGACTACACTATCGCAATCTTGTATAGAAGTGCCTGTCTCTCCATAGCTTCATTTTCTAGGGTTTATCACATATTTAAACTTCTTTCACTCTGATAGCTGAAAATATGATCTCTTGGTTTTCTGATTTTCCATGTCTTTAGTTATACGAGTGATTGAACATATTCTCACAGATATTCTGGCCTTTTGCGTCTTACATTCCCTGAACTCCTTACTGATGTGCAAAATGTTTTGTTACATAATCTTAAAGTGCATTAAATAGAATTTTAAAAATCATATATTTATTTACTTTTGTTTGGGAAGGCAAATTACACAGAATTTAAGGCAACTACTTCCCAGTTTCTCCTTCATTTGACAGCAACTGAATATTATATAGGGATAGGTAAAAAAAACAAAACTGAGGATGAAAAACTGAGTCACTAACACAGAGCTAACAATTATGCGTTGACAATGTTATCATATCTTCACACTGCAAATGCAGAGCTAATTCTCATCAAAATGGGATTTGTTCTAATACTCACATGATAGCAGCCATGAGAGACAGCTAACGTAATCAGTGAATGTCCCTTGAGCATGTGTAATTATGCCAAGATTCCAATAACTAATTAGCACAATGGATTTTGGTTTCAATTCAAATGTTGCAGAGCATCTATTTCACATATCTTATGTTGTCACTGTCTCAAACAGTTTCCACAACAATCGATAGAACTCCACAAAGAGAAGCTAAAAGAACACACATATAAACTTCAGAATGAACAAATGAGTACTGATTACCAACTGCATGATTAATTTTTTCTCAACACCTCGATTCTGTAGCATCTAAAATATCTGATTTCTCACTCTTTCAACCTTCTCTGTGTCCATTTATTATATTTTGTAATTCATACTTATGCATCTCTTACCCAAATTAGCATACTGTCTTCCAGCTAGAAGGCACCTTAAAATCTGAGAAACACTTAGGTTCCCTGCAACCACCACACTTCACCCGTATCTTCATCACAATTGCTACCATGTCCTGAAGCCATACCAAGTGCCAGGCAATACTGCGAGGTATTTATTGCAAGTCCTATTTTATAAATGGAGCCTCATGTTCAGAGAGGTTAAAAAAACTTGCCCAAAGTCAGCATTTGGTAAGTTGCAGAATCAGCATTAACAGGTTTTGGGGGTCTGATGAATTCTGCAGGGAACAAGGAGGGAGTTTTTAATACAAGCTGTGGCATTTCTTGGAACAGACCTTTCTGGAACTGCTACTTAATAGCTCTCAATCCCAAGGCCCCTCTGTGCATCACCTTTCCCCTGGGCAGTTAGGTATCCCTTCAGTGCTCTGGCCAGCTCTGTTTAATCCTACTTACATTGTAAGGTGGGTGAGGCAGCTTGTGTTAAATAATTCAAACACCAAGGAAGACACCATATGAGGCATCACCTGGGTTCCTGATTCTCTGCCCCATGTTTTGGCCACATTCTCTTCATGATGGAAATGGCCCTAGATGGACTCCTTTCTCTGCAGCTGCTCCTTCTTCGTCAGAAACTGCACTTCCCAGTGTTCTGACCCTTCACCTCACGGTATTTAGGCTGACTCGCTGAGAGAGCGGGTAAAATGCCTTTCCCTTAAGAGGCAGAAAGGGAAGAAATGAGGTTTGGGAAAGAAGGATTGGAAGGAGAATTAATCCAGTGGAAACAGACCAGTGGTCATCCAAGTGTTAGAGCTGGATGACGGAGCCCTTTGAAAATATCTCAAGCCAACAATTTGGGGAAAGCAACACTCTCAGGTATACATACACTGGGCGACCTTTTGGGATAGTGCCTTGCCCAGCTCAGCACACTCCATAGGCAGAGACGCCCTAACCACTGAACTTTATGCTTCATAATTCAGCTCTAAGCAAGCCTGATAGTTGAGTTCTTCCTTATCCTTACCAGAAGTAAGTCTAAAATTTCACCCAGGGATTTTAAAACATGGGGAGTAGCTGTCATCCTACTTGGAGGCTTTAGATTGAACATCCCTGATTTTATTTAATTTCCTAATTTGCAAAACCTAAGGTTCATAGAGGAAAAGCAAGTTGTGCAGGACCAGACAGGAAAAAAAAAACATTTCTTATGTAATAATAGTCAAATAGTATTTAGAAGACTGAATTTGGATCCATTTTAACATTAATGATCTATTTTATGTCTAAATGTTGCAGAAAATTTGTTTCTTAGAGAGGCATTTTTCCCCTAAAAATAGCTAACATTTATTGAACTCAGCACAATGTCAGGTATTATGCTAAACTTTTTTTTTTCCAACTTCTAAGTTCAGGGGTACATGTGCAGGATGTGTAGTTTTGCTACATAGGTAAACATGTGCCATGGTGATTTGCTGCACAGATCATCCCATCACCCAAGTATGAAGCCCATATGCTAAACTTTTTGCCTATACTATGTCATTTAATGTTTACGATAATGCTGGGAAGAAGAAAATTGTATAAATCAATATTGTGTAGGTGATAAAATAAAGGCTCAGAGATTACAAATCATTTGTAAATTGGTAATATATAAAATCTTATCCAAGTTTTGAATTCCAAAGCTCAAGCAAGTTCTCAACTACTGTGACATCCTGAGGCCCCGTACAGCATTTCAAGTATTTACAGCAAATAAAGGGCCCTGCTTCAGAGGGTTTGCATATGCTATTCCTTCCACCTGGAATGCTCTTCCTCCAAATACCTACAAGGTTTAAACTCTCACTTCAGGTCTGTGCTCAAATGTCACTTTATCAATGAGAACTTTTCTGACCACTTGGTATAAAATACCTACCCCCTGCATCTAGATTAGGAGATTCTTATCTCCTTCACTCTGTCTCATATTTCTATATAGAATTTATGATCATATCACTAGAAATAAAATCTCCATGAGGTCAGGAACCTGAATCTGTTCACTGCACCTCCAGTGCCAGAAGAGTGCCTGCTACACAGTAGGTGCTCACTAAATATTTCTAGAATGAATGTAGGGATGAATGAGTAAATAAATGGATCAAACAAGTACAATCACACCTCCAACATCAGCTCTATAAGATGTCAATAAAAGGAGTATCTGGGGGACTCCAGGGAGTTTGATTTAAAAGGTATTTGATTTTGTAAAGAAATCTAATTTAACAAAAGAATATTTAATTATGTCAGTGCCTGCTATTAAAGCATGCAAGGGGATACATTTTTTCTTTGAGCCTAGACAGCTGGGAGAAGAATGTACCAGTCTGTTCTCCTTGTCTGCCCTTGTGTTCCTTCTTTCTTGCATAGCTCTGTATATTTAAAAGTCATTGGAGGCACTTATCCTAAGAAATGTAGAAAAAGCACTTTTTTCCTTTTCATAAGCCAAACACTTATTCCCAGTGGGTAACATTTAGCAATGAAATGTTTTTGACTCCAGCACTTATCAGTGTTTCTGAAATATACAGGATAATTAAATTACTCAGAGGTCGTGCTTTAATCAGGAGCAAATTTAATGAATATTCAGACTGTTCATTGTTAGAAAATGGGAAAAGATTGTCAGAATATTCCCATTACAGAATCAAAAGTCACCCAGAAGAGGGTGCTAATGTTCTTTATAAAATATACCACACACACACACACACACACACACATACACACACACACACACACACACACACACACTCTCTCTCTCTCTCTCTCTCTCTCTCTCTCACTTGACAAAGCTTTCTTAGGTAACTGATCAATTGGCACTAACTATGTACTGAGCATTAAGTAGAAAATATAAACACAAGCAATTCAGAAAGTCAAAATCATTGCCCACTGATAGCACTAAAGTTCTTAAAAATTAGGGCAGTTTATAAAATTTACCCCAATTCTGGACAGGTTAGTTAACTGTATCACCACTGAAAATAATATATTTTCTATCACCAAAAATGCCCACCAGAGTTAATGTTGTAATATTTCATTAAAATACAAACCTTTATCAAAGCTAAGAGAAGATGAACCAAATATAAACATTTTGGCTAACATTTATTATTATAGTCAATGACAGATTTTAAATAAAAATAACATTTCTTTCATTTGATTAATTGCATATTCTTTATTCAAAGGTGTTTCTTTTGAGGGTAAATAAAGTTGATTACCAAATATTGCTTTATTGTGATTCAGGAAAAATCATATTCTAGATTCTGGTTATGTACTCCAAATGAAAACAGAGATTTGACACTGGCATCTTTTCTAGTTCACACGGTCAAAAATAAAATTTTGGAAAGAATAAAGCTTCTGCAAACCAAGTAATTCTCAAAATCCCTTTCCTTATGCTTTGGAGATGTAAGTTGAAGATAGCCATGGCAGAAAACGTCTTTCTTTTATGTTTAAAATGTATCCTAATGTCTTTTCCTTATCCTAGTTTTTCCGAGCTCCTGTTTTTATAGTTCAAGCAATTTGTATTTTGATTATTTCTTTGAAGCAGACCAGTCATGTGAACTGTACATTTTCTGTAGGCAAAATGAATGCAAATAAGAAGAGCTTTCTATGTCTGCCTAAGTGATTTTACTTAGAATACAAATAAGAAAAGCCGTGCAGACAGCGAAAGCTATTTTTACATTCCACTATTAGCTTCTAGGCATAGCAGATTTAAGAGGACATCTGTATTCCAAAAAGCTCAATAGATTGATAGTCCTAAATGAAGTTGCCATCTTGCAGAGCTTGTGGAACAGGGCTATCATTGGAAAGAAGCAGTGCCTTTGCATGAAAAGAGTCAGCTTAGTCATTCACACACAAAATGCATGCGCCATTTTCAAGCCAACACTGACTACCAAGCTCAAGTGGAGAAACACAGGCAGTTGGATGAGTTAAAGAATAGAGCAGGGATTGAACAGGCCTGTGACACCAAACAAGTCTGTCCTTAGACTAAAAGCCATTACAGCATCTCTACTCAATTCACAGATTGCAGTGAGTTGTCATCACTCGACTGTTCTCAGATCCATTCTCTGTCCTTCTCTAACTGGTTGTGTATTGCAGGAAACTACATTTTCCAGCCTCTGTTGCCTTCTGATTCCAGATGGGTTTAGCTAAGGGAAGACTCTAATGGAAGTGGGGAGAGCAGGGGAAGGATAAGATCCAGCATATCTACCCCACCTCAATCCATATTAGATACATTATCTGTGTGGCTCCAGTTCCTTCAGGTTGGTCTCTACCTCCATGGCCTCAGTTCCCACCATGCAAGCCCATCAGGTGACCTTGCCCCCTGAGCTCTGATGCTTTTCTCACTCCATTCCTAGGTTGGTGGTGGCTTCTTTGCTTTCACTAAATTCAGGGTTGCCTCATAATGCTACATGGTTCCTTAGCTATTCTATTACCTTTGTAAGCAAGTCCTTGTATTAGATTCCTTTGGTTTGAAATACTTAAAGGGCTCTTTTCCCTGATATAAGAATCTATAGTTTGTGTTATAAGAATATTTTGAAAGGACTCACCTTCCTAGCTTAGCCTGTTTTTTTGTTTTGTTTTTGTTTTTGTTTTTTTTATTCCACAGCTCCTTTAACTCAATCTGGGTGGGCAGTAAAAAACAAAAGAAAAATTGGTTAAAAACATAGCTTTTCCAGCACTTTCTATCCTTTTCATTGCACACACAAAATGACCATATACGTAATTCTGAGGAAGTTATGACAATATAATACTCCTTACATGGTTACACTGAATGCATATTTTGCATTATTATTTAAAACTCTTTAAATGGACTATCAAATGTATCAGTCAGGAAAGAAACAACCAACCTCCAAGCTACATGCTTGATAAAAGTTTGGCAGGAGTTAGCATTATTGGAAGAATCATTTATGACTCACCACTTTCAATACACTATTCCATTGTCTTTTTCCCATTGTTCTATATCTATCTGAAATAGGAATAGCAGAAGTATCTCCCTCATTAGATTGTTGAGAACACTAAATAAGACATGCTTACAATAATGTCTTGTCCACAGCAATTACTCAACAAATATTAGTTATTATTGTTGACTCTGTCTTTTGTCAGTTTAACAATCATTCTTTTGTAGAAATATGTCTTTTAATTTTGGTAGCCTTAAAATTTTTTACCTGTTTCTGATATTCTGCAGTTTAACTATGATGATTCTTCTATATGTAAGCTTGTTTTTCTTTGTGCTATTTAGAGTTTAGGGTGCTCCTTGAATCTTAGAATTGATTACTTTTGTCAATTCTGGACAATTCTTGATTATTTTCTCTTCTAACATTAGATATCATATATTCACTTTACTCTCTCTCCCTAGAATTTCCATTAGACATATATTAGATGCTGTCTTCCTATTTTCTGCCTTAACTTCCCTTGCTTTTTCTTCTCTTCCATATTCTAGGTCATTACCTTGGATCTATATTCTAATATGTACATTTTTCCTCATGGGTATATGCGCTATTGTTCAACCAGTTAGCTGATCTTTTCTTTCAGTGAGTTATAATTTTTATTTTCAGATTTCCATTTCATTCTTTCCCATTTTTCAAACCTGTACTATTCATACTGTTTT
Source organism: Homo sapiens (assembly GCF_000001405.40). Classification (NCBI taxonomy): domain Eukaryota; kingdom Metazoa; phylum Chordata; class Mammalia; order Primates; family Hominidae; genus Homo; species Homo sapiens. The sequence goes on along the minus strand of NC_000003.12, from coordinate 63,242,856 downwards.
GTGCTTGTTTTATCTTTTCTATTTCCTTTTTTACCTATTTAAACATCTTAAAAATAAAGTCTTTTTCAGATAATTCTATTTGTTCTTATTAGTGTGCAAATTCTTCCTTTTGGTTGCAGCATTTCACTCCTCATCCAGCAATTCACTTCCTTTCATGTTTTGAATCTCCAACCAGGGGCTCATCTTTAGCTGAGACTGATTTCTGTGTGTAGTCTGGGTTTTGGAGATATGAAGTATCTCTACTGGGTGACTTTGTCTCTTCTGAGGGTCTGTGAGTTTCACTCATTTGAAGTCAGTTGATTTTTCCACCAGGAGTTTCTGTTCCATACTAGTGGTGTTAATTCACACCTGTTCATTCACATAGTGATGGGTTCACATTTCCAAGGTTAATTTTTTCTAGCCTCAACCCTGGATATATAGCAAGTTTTCTTGCTGCTTCCCCTAGCTGGTCGGGGCAGAGTTTTCCCAGTCCCTAGGAGTCCTGGTTTGTTGCAAGTATCTCAGCTCTAGTTCCCTGTATAAATAGGACCTGTGTCCTGGGGTACCCTCTCGGTACAGGCATGCCAACTCCCATATCCAGCCATTAGGGCCTGTACCTGCTTCTCATAGCACTCTGATATTTTTAAGCAAAGCTCTGCTCATGTCTTTGATTTTTGAGTTTGCTTTCCATTTCTGGAAATGGGTATTTCTGTCTTTTGGTTTTGAATTTGAATTCACATTATCTTTTATTTTCTTATCTATTTTATGCATTCAGATTCTAATTAGAAGGGGTTCTTTCCTCGCTTTTATTCCTCATATTAATCATGTTGAAAGAAAAAGTATGCTTATAATTACAGAAAGATTCTTCCACAATGTATAGTTTCTGTAATTTCTGAAACATGTGAAAGGGGGTGTAGCTATAGTCCATTACCAGGAAGAAAATAATATAACTTTTAGCTGATTATGAATCCACAAGGAGTCTGTGACATGATCCAAAAACTTTTTAAATTTTCCATCAGATTATTGATTCTCTTGGTATGCTTTTGGCTGGATATAACAAAAAACCCAACTAAAATTGGCTTAAAAATAAAAAAGATAAATTTTCTTATCTAACGAAAAGCTAAAAATAGGATCATTTCAGGATTGGTTAACTGAGTGGCTCGTTATTGCCTGAGTTTAAATTCTTCATAAATCTCTTAGCTTTCCTCTTACACTTATGAGATGATTGTAGCAGTTCCAGGCGTAACAACTTTAATGTATATCAAGATATAGGAAAGGAAGGAAAATAGTTTATTTATTCTTTAGGTCTCTTTTTTTAAGTGAAAGGAAGAATTTCCAGAATTCCTGGTGGTCTTACCCCCAAATCTCATTGATTAAAAGTGCATCATATACCCATTCTCAAACCAATTAATGGCAAGAGAAATAGAATTACCATAAATGGCAAAGATCAAATTAGTCTCATTCTGGGGTTGGTAAGAAGTCCAGGCTTCCCTGAAGCACAAGGCTGCCCAACAACTGAACAATATCAGGAACCTGTTACCTTGGTAAAGAGGAAATAGCTGTTGGGTAAAGAGCCAATAATATTTGCCATTTTCACCTTTCACCTTACTCAGAGTCAGTGTTAGGGGAGAATACGGAGGTCCATTCTCTGGTCTCCTTGACCTCTCCATTTGCCATCCCTCTTTCCTCCTTTGACCTTTCCAACGCAAGCTCCTGCTAATGCTCTTGAGCAAGGTGGGAGACTGCAATTGTTTCTGTCTCTGTCCTGTAACGGTGAAGGTGGATCCTGATAGTGGGTACCTTCTTACAGCCTGTGCAAAGCATGGATTTTTTTTTTAATGTCTTCAGACTGAATTACCTATAAGATAAATAAGGGTCATTTTACTATCCTGCTTTAGAACTTGGTCTTTCTGATGTTCCATGGCGCTGTCAAAAGATGCATGCATGGGTGTGGTCAATGGGGAGAATACAAAGTCTCATGGCACAGTGGGATTCTACCACAGGGCAATTAGCTGGTGATGTGCTGGCATGAATGGAGCAGAGTTTCCTCCTTGTATAGACTGGAGTCCCAGCTAGGACAGGCTGCATGACTTGTATTATGAAAAATGGGATATTCTCACTCACACAAAGAGTATGCGTGTAACTGGCAATGACTCCAGCACAGTGCAGGTCATGGCCCTTGCAATAATGTCCTTCGCAATGATGGATATCTCCCTTCATTCACAGTGCATGTTATGAGTTACAGGACAATAGCTTCTTGGATAAGTCCCCTTGGGTGAAGTAATTGTCATTTATCAATCCTCTCGCTTACTCCCCCACCTCCAGACATATTGCCACACCTTATTCATTGCTCCACACAAAAGACCGGTCTCCTCTTTCATTTCCTTCTAGACTTCGGAGGCCCCCATAGCAAGAGCACAGATCATTAGCCACAGGAAAAAGCCTCTCCCTTCTCATGAGTGTAGGGAATGCTGTAACATTTTCCAGATGGTGAGAGAAAACATTTGCTTTTTTTCCTAGAATGCCGTCTATGAAGGCAAGTGCCCTGTTAAAATGGGATGGGTGCTTCTGATGCAGGAAAAAAGTAAAACATATAATAATATAATTAACTTTACAAGTTAAAGCAGATTGAATGTTTTTATCCTGTTAAATAAACCAATTTATTGTCAGTTTGAACTCTCTGTTTCTGTCTCATCAGTTTGTACTGCTTTGCATGTTAAGTCTCTAATGTGTTTTATATTTTCAAAAACTAACAAAACTCATGAGGAGTAAGGAGATAAGATACAAAGGGAAGAAAGGGATGCAGTAGATCAAATAACCTCCCCTGTCTCACATATAATCCCAGGCTAATTAAGCTGAATTACTTAGCCTTATAGAGATAAGAAGAGATAAGTAAGATTATCAAGGCCTTAAATCCATCTGATAATCTATTTCCATCTTATAAATCTTTTCATTGTTAAACAGTTGCTTGACAATGGTATGATGGGTGACAATGGTAGGATGGGTGCATGACACACTTGACAATGGTGGGATAGATGACAATGGTAAGGTGGGTGTGTGACACATTTGACAATGTTAGGATGGGTGTGTGACATACTTGACAATGGTAGGATGAGGGTATGATACACTTGACAATAAAAAGAGGGGTGACAATGGTAGGTTGGGGGCATAACACATTTCACAATGGTGAGATAGATGACAATGGTAAGGTGGGTGTGTTACACATGACAATGGTAGGATGGGTGTGTGATACACTTGACAATGATAGTATGGGTGACAATGGTAGAATGGGCACATGACACACCTGACAACGGTAGGATTGGTGACAATGGTAGGATGGGTGCCTGACACACCTGATATCCTACCATTGTTACCCATTCTACCATTGTCAGGTGTGTCATGTGCCCATTCTACCATGCACTCATGGTAAGGTGTGTGTACATGACACACTGGGCAATGGTAGGATTGGTGACAATGGTAGGGTGGGTGCATAACACACTTGACAATGATAGGATGGGTGACAATGGTAGGATGGGTGCATGACACACCTGACAATGGTAGGATGGGTGACAATGGTAGTATGGGTGCATGACACACTTGACAATGGTAGGATGTGTGTGTGACACATGTCACACTTTACTAGTCAAGGGTCAAGAAATGTAAATTTTGAAGAAACTGTGCCAGAGTGTTAGATGAAAATGTCAGCAAAGACATATGTTGAATCCACATCTATAATGAGAGTGCTAAAACAGATATCACAGCTCAGTCTCAGTTGAGAGGAGCCTGTGCACATACAACCTAATTAATGGTCAGCTCCATAGGAAGATGAAGTTTGCGTCATTTCATTATCCAAAATAATATTGCTCAATCTTGGTTGTGTTTAAACCAAAAAATCTTACTAATTCCTTTATTTTTTAAATTAAACAATACAATATTATGACTTAAAGTGTAATACAGCAATGACAATTTTAGAATCCATTCTTTAAAGATAACACAGCCTCCTCCAAGATACAGTTATACCGAATTACCCTACTACCACACATCAAAATCACTGTTATGAAATAACATCCTCACTTACTAGCTCTCTGAAATTATGCCTTCAGGGCTCTATTTTGTTTCACTTTGATCTGTATTAAATACAAATAACCACAAGAATGTCAAAACATATAAGCTCCATTAGTCATTAAAATTAAGTGAATGAATGTCAGATCTCTTCTTATTTTATATCACAGAATTAATTTAGTAGCACTAAGAAAACCGTGAAAATTTGCTTCCTATTTACAGCTCCATTTGTGTTTAACCTAACAAGAAGGTTCTCCTGTTCTGTGTTTCTGCATTCCCTACCACTAGTTTTTCATGTCTAAAAGTCATTCCAAAATTATATCTCAGCAGATGGGAGAGGGAAGGGGGACGCGGAGAGTAGAGGGTGGAGGGGAAAATAAAGGAAATGCTGAGGAGAAAAGAAAGCCCGAACCAATCAGACCCTCTTCTCTCTGGCAGGTAGAAACTGAATCACAGAAAAAAAAAATTGAATGATTTGTTCAAACTGAGTTTCTTTCTTTCATTAAAATGAAATAGGTTCATTTCTGTCAGGATAAAATGACAAAGAGTTTCTCCCTGCTCCTCTCCAACTGTGCACAACTATAAACCCTGGAAATGGCACAAGGGACAACCAAAGGTGAATGCTGAGAGATAGTAAGCAGGAGGCAAGACAGCTTCAGACCTCAGGACTTAAGGAACTACATAGTACCAGGGTGTCATGCCCCTCACTCAACTTAAGAAGCTGACCCACACATCATATCCCAACCCCTGACCTAACAAGATAAAGCATCTCAGGTTGGCTGATTTTTCCCCTAGACCAAGAAGGAGTCCCACCAACAACATCAAGCAAGTCCAGTGGCATAGGTGGGGAGGAGCAATTGAGAATTCTACCAAATATTAGCATCTGGGAGCAGCACTCTCCTTCTCTGCCAAGCCTTAGATGCTCCAACCCTCCCAGAGACACCTGAGGCCAGGCCTGGAGAAATCCCTACCAGGTCCTCAGGAAACACCAACCAGAACCAGTGGGAGCTTCTCAGGCACCATTTAAACCAAGCAGACCAAAACATCACCTCAAAAGCTCTGAAAATTAAGCTGTCATTGACATCACAGCCGACAAAACGAGGCCAAGATCTCTGTATTAAACTTAAATGTGATAAAATGAAGATTTAACTAGGACCTTGAGTCCCCTAACATAATAGACAAAATGTTCACAGTAGGATTGAAAGTCATCCGTCATACTAAGAACCAAGAACATCGCAACTTGAAGGAGAGAAGACAACCAGCCGATGCCAACGCCCACCGCGATAAATCAGGTGTTAGAATTAAATGACAAGGATTTTAAAGCAGTCATCATAAGAACGCTGTAACAACAAATTATACATTCTCTTGACGCACATGAAAATTTCAGCAAAGAAATAAAATTGTCAATTAAAAAGAACAAAATGGAAATCACAGAACTCAAAAATACAAACACACGAACAACACTCACTGGTTGGCCTCGGTGGTAGAGTGGAGATGACAGAGGATAGAATCAGTAAACTTGAGGACACAGAAATAGAATTTCACTCAATTTGAATGAGAGAGAAAATAGGCTGAAAAAATATGAACAGAATATCAGGGACCTGTAAGACAAGAACAAAATACCCTGTATATACAACATTGCCATATCAACAAGTCAAATCATGATCGTATGAATTGACATAGAAAAAGCATTTGACAAGCATCTGACCCATTTATAATAAATGTATAATAAACCCCAAAAACCTAACCCATTTATAATAAACACTGTTACCAAGTTGGGAGTAAAGGGGAATTGCCTTGATAAAGAGCATCTGTGAAAAATCTACAGCTAACATCATACTTATGGTGAAGCACTGAATGTGTTCCTCCTAACATCAGAAGTAAAGTAAGAATGTCCACTCTCACCACTCTTCTTCAACATAGTATTGGAAATTCTAGCCTCTGAAATGAGGCAAGAAAAAGAAATGAAAGGCATACAGATTGGAAAGGAAGAATTAAAACTGTTCATATTAGTGGATGACAGAATTATCTACATAAAACTCCCAAATAACCTACAAAAATACTCCTAGAACTGGAAAGTGAGTATAACAAGCTTGCAGGATATAAGATTAACACACAAAAATCACAGACATTTTTATATACTCACAATGAACACAGGAAAATCAGAATTTAAAACAATACCTCTAAAATCAAATACAATGAAATACTTAGGTGTATACTTAATATGTACAGGATGTGTATACTGAATATTACAACATGTTAACCTAGGAAATCAAAGAAGACCTAATTAAATGGAGAGGCATACCATATTTGTGTAATAAAAGATTGAACATAATAAATACATCAATTCTCCCCAAATTGAACTATAGGCTTAACACAGTCTCTGTCACAATCCCAGCAAGGTTTTTGTAGATACAGACAAACTTATGCTAATATATATGTAGGAAAACATAGGCCCTAAAATGGTTGAAAGTATCTTGATCAAAAAAAATATAGTGGGAGGAATTACTCTTCCCAATATTAAAGATTACTAGATAGCCACAGTAATCTGAACAGTGTGATATTGGTAGAGAGACTGATGTATAGATCTATGGAAAAGAATAGAGAACCCAGATCTATACCCGTACAAAAGACCCAACAAATTTTTGACAGAGGCAAAAAAGCAATGCATTGAAGGAAGAACAGACTTTTCAACAAATGGAACAAATGGTGCCAAACTAATTGGGCATCCATAAAGAAAAAAAAAAAAGAAACCTCAGCTTAATATGGCTTGTACAAAAATTAACTGAAAATGGATCATGGAGTTACATGTAAAACACAAACTATAAAACTTTTTGGAAAAAAATATAAGAAAATCTTCAGTATCCAGGGCTAGGTAAAATGTTCCTAGACTTAAAACAAAAAGCATGATTAATAAAAGAAAAATTGATAGATTGGACTTCATCAAAATGAAAAACTTTTGATCTGTTAAAAGACAAGCCCATGTGATGAGAATGAAAAGAAAGTTTACTAGACTGTGAGAAAATATTTGCAAACCTCATATCCAACAAAGGGCTAATATTTAAAATATAAAGACCTCTCAAAATAAAATTTTAGAAATGAGACCAAATAAGTGGTCGCTAAAGGTTAGGTACAGAAGGGAGTCCATGGGGGAAGGAGAGAGGTAGGAGTTATTAAAATTTTGTTTAAATCATCTCAATGCGTGGTTCAAAGACTTAGGGCCTTGCAACTAAGTGGTTAAACACACAGCTTCCTGGAGTCCCCTCAAGACCAAATCAACCATGCTATTCAAGAGTGGGGCCCAAAAATCTGTATGGTTAACAGACAATCCAGCAGATTCGTAAGCCCAGTGGAATTTGAAACCACTGTTCTAGCTCCCTAGAAGATATAGTATGGATGTGGGCATTATCATAAATCTAGTAAATTCAAGTTCTCTTTTCTTCAGCTCAAGGTTTAAAATAGGTGGACAGTAAATTCTCTAATTGTTCCGTATGAACTTCAGGATAAGGATTATGTTCCTTAGCATAGCACACAAGGCCCTCCATGGCCCAGACCCTACATCTCCAGCCAACAGGCCTGTTTCCTGTTATATTATAAACAGGAAATATGAAAGATCCTCACTGTGTTGGTGCTATTCAGTATCTCAACTGTGGTGATGCTAAATGTTGTTTTGCTTTGATCTACCCAGGTGGTAACATTGTAAAAAACTTAGTACACACACATACACACACAGATGAGTACAAATAAAAACAGGGAAAATCTTGATAAGTAGATGGTATCAATATCAGTGTCCTGAATGTGATGTTATGCTATAGTTTGCAAACGTCCTCCATTGGGGGGAGATTGTAGACAAATTGTAAAAGGATTTTTTGTATTGTTGGTGACAGTTGCACATGAATCTATACTTATCCCAATAAAAATGTCATTTAAAATATGATAGAGCCTCTCATTATTTCCTTAATACATTTTCCCCACTGCGTTAAACTATGTCATATCCTGTTAACAAATACAAAACAGCATCTTTTATGAGAAACAGCAGATTGGCACAGGCCCACTGGCCCCGAGCAGAACATGCTACTTTCTAGTAACAAAAACTCTGACTACAGGCAAGCCTTCATTTCAATAGATATTGAAAAATACATTTTGGAGCTTAGAAAGTCTACTTCTTTCATTTTTCATTTCCACACAGGGGCAGCACACCAGAATTTCTGTATAGCTGAGATTTGCTACGGACAATTCTTGTTCATTTTCTAAACTGGGGAGAATTAACCTACTGAAAGGGTATACAGCATTAGAATATGATTCATTTTCTTCCATCTTGACCCCAAAACAATGAAGGCAGCATTTCTGGGTTGGTGTGCCTGCTATGTAGTTATAAACCTTTCCTCCAGTGGGAACCCAAAGATCCAGTGGTTGTGGAAGAATGCAATCCCATTGATATGATTTGGCTGTGTCCCCACCCAAATCTCATCTTGAATTCCCACGTGTGGTGGGAGAGACCTGGTGGGAGGTAATTGAATCATGTGAGCAAGTCTTTCCCGTGCTGTTTTTGTGATAGAATAAGTCTCATGAGATTTGATGTTTTTATAAGGAGGAGTTCCCATTCACAAGCTCTCTCTCTTTGTCTGCTGCCATCCATGTAAGACGTGACTTGCTCCTCCTTGCCTTCCACCATGATTATGAGGCCTCCCCAGCCATGTGGAAATGGAAGTCCATTAAACCTCTTTCTTTTGTAAATTTCCCAGTCTCAGGTATGCCTTTATCAGCAGTGTGAAAACGGACTAATACACCCATTTCACCACACACCTAATGTATGTGCTCCAGAACAGGCTCTTGTCAGAAATAAAGTTGACATTTTAATCTTTGTTTATCTTTCTCCTGTGTCTGTCTCCTCAGTCATTTCTAAACTTAGGTAAAGAAGGAAGGGACTTTGGGTCAGGCATATAATTGGAAGGGGAAAAGGCCAATGGCAACATTTCCTAAGGCTATCTCATAACATACATACTGTTTTATTTGGATTGCATATCTATACAGGATGACTTGAGGAAAGTGGCTTATAGAGATGGAATAGGCTAAACACAGCCTGGGAGACAACTCTTAGCTCTGTCATTTATCTCAAGTTTACGTAGTATTATTCTTTTCAGTTTTACTGATAATTACTAAAAATAATGTGATGTTTCTAATCAAACTTAGGTTGAGTGCAGACATATTCCATGCAGAGTAAAAGAGCCTCTTCAAAAATGCAGAATCAATTGCATAGAATCTTTTAGGAATTCTAGAGTTCCACATGGAATTTAGTAATGGCAGTGGTATCCATATGTGGTAAAGTCAGAGTAATGGGAGTATCAAGGCCTGTTGGCTGGAGATGTAGGGTCTGGGCCATGGAGGGCCTTGTGTGCCATGCTAAGGAACATGATCCTTATCTTGAAGTTGACAAGAAACAATTAGAAAATTTACTGTCCACCTGTTTTAAACCTTGAGGTGAAGAAAAGAGAATTTGAATTTACTAGATTTATAATAATGCCCCTATCTGTACTATATCTTCCAGGGAGCTAGAACAGTGGTTTCAAATTCCATTCGGCTTAAGAATCTGCTGGGCTGTCTGTTAACCATACAGATATTTGGGCTCCACTCTCAAATAGCATGGTTGATTTGGTCTTGAGGGGACTCTGGGAGGCTGTGTGTTTAACCACTTAGTTCCAAGGCCCAAAGTCTTTGAACCACATTTTGAGATGATTAAAATTTAAACAGAACTCTCCTTACTTCTGTCCTGTGAACAAAAGATCTGAATGCACTTTCAGATGAAATTAGTAAAGTAAGTTCTAGTCACCACTAGAGGGTAGCATATCAAAATTTTTAGTTTTGAACAATTCTTTTATAAGAATCACAGTTTAAAACATTTTTAATACGATTTTTTAAAACATGGAAGTATTCAAACAAAAAGCATTCTTTGGAAAACTCTTCCGCATCTTTGTTTTTTTCTAGTTTAATCAAATGACTATATCAAATTAAAATATTTCTTCAGTTACTAACACATCCTCATTCTGGGTGATGACAGCAATTATAGGATGTTAAAGATAACTGAGCCCATTCCCGTTTTACAGACTAGGGACATGAGCTCTGAGAGGTAGCTAGCTCAAGGACTCTACACTTCACAGCACAGTTGGGCCTAGATTCCAGGTGCCCTATCAATTCAATAGTATTTCCTACAAGCCATCCTAAAAACATTAGATAATTTTGGAGGTGCTGAAGATGGAGAAAATAATTCTGCATTATCACATTTTAGTTCTTTTAATATACTCAGAATCTGGGGCAGGGCACGGTGTGGCTCACGCCAGTAATCCCAGCACTTTGGGAGGCCAAGGAAGGCGGATCACTTGAGGTCAAGAGCTCGAGACCAGCCTGGCCAACATGGCAAAAACGCTGTCTCTACTAAAAATACAAAAATTCACCGGGCCTGGTGGTGCATACCTGTAATCCCAGCTACCTGGGAGGCTGAGGCACGAGAATCATTTGAACCTGGGACGGGGAGGTTGCAGTGAGCCAAGATCACGCCATTGCACTCCAGCCTGGACAACAGAACAAGACTCTGTCTCAAAAAAAAAAAAAAAAAAAAAAAAAAAGTCAGAATCTGAAATACTCACTTGAGACAGCCCTTGAGAACTTTATGAAGTAACTCTATTTAACATCTTTCTAAATCCCATATATCCTCCTGCAGATGAAGTACCTCATATCTCCTGTGCTTTTTTCCACTGTATTAGACCAGCTCTGAGTTATAACTCTTTGATTTCTGCCTTTTCATCTTGATCACAGGTTTGTTTTTAATGGTAGAAATATAGCTTCTCAAGTAAGGACAAAACAAATCAGGATTAAAAAGAACAACAGCGGGGTTCACTGATCTTGTTAAAATAAGGGAAACTGCTGTAAATGCTCCAGTAAATCAGCCAGTTTATATTTTAAGTGAGCTTGGCTTTGATAAGAAAAATCTGTGCAAAAGGGTTGAACTTTTTCTTCTTTTGTTCCTGACATGTGGCATTTGTTTCACTGAATGGCTTAGCTTCTGGTGAACCATGTGCTTTTTTGGCAGCTTCTCTCCTTCGAGTGCTGCTAAAATTTAAAAAAATGGCCTTTTCTTAGAAGGATGCTGACTGCTTTTGACCTGGGGCCTAGAAGTTGGAAGGCCCAGCAATGGTGCTAGCCCTGTGAGAAGAAGCAGTAACATTACTTATTTATCATTATGGAAGTAATTTCCTGAGATGGAAGACTTAAGAATTTAATTGGGGAATAAGGGGCAGTCACTAAGCAGTAGTTGAATATTTCCCCCTTTTTAAACTTTTATTTCAATGGTTTTTGGGGTACAGGTGGTTTTTGGTGTACAGATGAGTTCTTTAGTGGTGAATTCTGAGATTTTGGTGCACCCATCACCTGAGCAGCATACATTGTATCCAATATGTAGTCTTTTAGCCCTCATTCCCCTCCCAACCTCCTCCCACCAGTCCCCAGAGTCGATTATATCATTTATGCCTTTCCATTCTCATAGCTTAGCTCCCACTTATAAGTGGTTTTACATTCCTGAGTTACTTCACTTAGAATAATGGCTTCCAGCTCCATCCAAGTAGCTGCAAAAAACATTATTTTGTTCCTTTTTATGGCTGAGTACTATTCCATGGTATACATATACCACATTTCCTTTATCCACTTGTTGGTCGATGGGCACTTAGGTTGGTTCCATATCTTTGTAATTGCTAATTGTACTGCTACAAACATGTGTGCATGTGTCTTTTTTATATGATGACTTTGTTTCCTTTGGGTAGGTACCTAGTAGTGCATTTCTCTCTTTTTAAGGGGAAACTATGAGTCATTCCATGCCTTTTAAAAAGGAGTCTCTTGACATCCTCCTTATATATAATATAGGCTATGAAATTCCAAATTTCCAAGGTACAAGCCAGACTTACAGTTATAATAGTCACTAAATTTGCCAATCTCCCAATAAGTTTCAGGGACTGAGATAAGAGATTTATCCGTAAAATCTTATTTATCCTTCACAGCAACCCTATGAGGTAGTTGCTGTTATTATCCCCATTTTATAGATGATGAAATTGAGGCTCAGGTGAGGTCATTAGTTAATATTACAAACTAGAGGTAGAAGTCTTTACTCAAATCCCGGTAGGCAAAGTCCAAGTGCTGGCTCTTAACCACTCTGCTCCACCATGCTTAATTTATATACAGCCCCTGCCAAGGCAACTCAGAAAGAAATGTATTCAGCAAACGCTATGTGGATAACCTCATTTAGTCTTGGATAGTCACATAATATGCATCTATCTTCTCTTTAAGGTTAAGGTGCTGTGAGAAGGTGAAAAGGGTCAATTATTAGCCACACCTTAGCTAGTGAAACTAAGCCTTTAAATCTGAGGTAGGGTTAATGTCTAGGAAAAAATTCAAGCCAGACCTGATTTTCATGCTCTATTTACTGTAGCAGATCAGAATCCTTCCTTCAGAATCTCTGTAAACAGAAAGAATAAATAGCAAATATCTAAAAAGGACCAGGACCTAGACATGCTGTGCCTATTCACATTAGAGACAAAAGTGTTATTTCAGATATATATTAAATTTCATTTCTGGGACATCAAAACCTATGCCTCCATTCACAACAGTTTAAAGCTCCAACTTTACCAGATTATCCTGAGCACCCATTGAAACATGCAAGAGGGAAAACAAAACCACTAGAAGGAAAGAAAAACATTAAAATTTCTACTCAAGGGAGCAAGGAGGTACAGGGCTGGGTTATGTAATGCATGGTCCATATACCACTGGTGGTATCTGAGTTGATTCTAGGTAGTACATGAAAACATTTTTATAAAGAAAATTTAATAGTTGTAAATTAATGTAATGGGTATTAAAGCAAAAAAGCTAGACTTTAAAACTAGTGATTTCATGGATATTACTAGGTTGGTGCAAAAGTAATTGCAGTGTTCACCATTAAAAGTAATGGCCAAAACCATTACTTTTGAACCAACATAATAGTTCTTAGAACAAGGCTAAGTGTTAAGAAGTGAGTAAATTTGAATTTAATTTGAACACAAGTATTGAGTGAATAATAATAATACTGATAAATATGGACAAAAATTTGGAGATATACACAAAAGATTAGAGTCTCATAAACTTCAGTATGGCAGAATCAGTAAATGATAAAGGCATAAGACATTTGAATCCAATTTCTGGTTCTGAATGGACTAGCCAGCTATTAACACAGTTTACACTTCCAAACCATACAAAAATGCAACTGTGTACATTGCAAAAGGGTGTCCCAAAGGATCATGAATAGAAGATAATTAGCTCCCTTGTTTCATGAGAGTGATGTGGGGTAAAATATTCTCATTTGATCTGTTTTCCTGACCTAGAATATCTGTACACAGAAGAGCCACAATCATCCTAACGGTCTCATGCATCCAAAAAAGTAAATTTGTCGACAATAGTTTTTGATGAAAATTATATTAATAATAACAATGATAATGTGAATTGCTCTCATTTAACACACAGGATGTGTGTGTACATCAGATGCTATGCCCAGTACTTTAAATGTCTCTTTCAATCTTTCCAAAAATTAAGTATGAATATCTCTAATTTGTAGTTGATGGAACTGAAGGTTAGGGAAGTCAAGTTTTTTGCCCAAGGCTATAAATCTATCAGTGGTCATATCAGGATTTAAATGCAGTAAAATGCCAACCTATTTCTACTATGCTACCTTGCTTTTTGATATAATAAAAACTGAGTATTCTGAACAGAGGCATAGGAGAAAGAATTGTAAGTAGGAAGTTCTGCAGAATGCTCTTTAGAGAACATCTAAATGTTTTTTTCTGTTTGTTTGTTTGTTTGTTTGTTTTGGAGAAGCGCATGAAATAGCATCATTTCAAGATGGCGGCCATCAATAGTTTCCGGTTTTCTGCCCGGGTCTCAGATGGCGTGAAAGCAAAACTAGAAGTTTGATTGTTTTTTCCCATGCACTTTCTGAAGTAGCCTCTTGGTGGTGCCAGATGGTTAATTCTATTTTTGTTGACACAGAGTAAAACACCCGTAAATGAGTATTTTTCTCTACATAAGGCTACCAGGAAATTCTCTCTTTCTTTGTTCTTTAAAATTATTTTCAGCATAGGTTTAACCCATGAAAAAGGGGGTGGGTCTAGAAATCTTGAGAGTGTGGTAAACTGAAGAGAAAATAAATGAAGAAGAATACAGCTAAGGAGAAAGGTAGAAACTATCTGAATAGAGGAAAGAAACAAATACAATACCCAGAAAAGTTTCACAAATGTGAAGTTGTGCTGTAATCAGATTCAGAAGCAAACTCAATTAATTGTCTTTACTTATAAGTTAAAGGAGTGGCACAGCTGCTTGCAGCTTCAACTGTTTGCTATGTAAAATGAAGATAATTCCTTACCTGCCTGAGTAAGAATGACATGATCATTTAGACTAGCTTCCTTCTCCAAGGCCACTGAATCTGTTTAAGGACTGATCCAATTGATACTACATTTACATATCAGTATCCTCTCCTCCCATGTGGTAGATAGATTCTTAAGCAGCATGGGTTTATCTAGCCAAGCTGGCAGTCACATGTTAAAGCTCAGGTAGTCTTCATAAACCCCACAGACACTGCTATCCCAGTCATCAAAGGCAATTTTTCTTTGTTGGCCTCCTACCGGGCCTCCCTTCTTTTTCTGTATAATCCATTCTGCTTCCAGCTGCCTGAATAGATTAAATCAAATCACCCTCTTCCTTAAAACCCTTCAATGACCATTCATTGCATTTAAAATAAAATCCAAACTTCTTCCTGTGGATGGCATACCCTGGCCTGTGGCAGATGCTGCTGGTTGACTGTCCAATATCATATCAATTTTCCTTCCTCCTTAGGAACAGAATTCCACTTGTGTGTGACAGCACGAGCTCAGTTACAAACTCAGCTCTTCTAACTCTTGGAGTTAGAAGTAGCCATGTGACCTATTTCTAGCTAATGGAATATAAGTGGAAGACTACTGCTGGAATCCTGGAAATGCTATTTAAAAAAGAAATCATTTTAGAATAGGACAGACTCAGCTTGCATGCGCATTTTACCCTTCACCTTTCCTCTCCCTGCCTCGAATGGTAATGAAATACCTGTAGATAGAGCAGTTATTTCATAACAATGAGGACAAAGCCTACATGCCAAATATAGAGAAGCAGAAAGATGAAAGGATCTTGAGACCCTGATAACATGGAATGTGATGCCAGCTTGGACTGCCTACCCTCTACATTTTTTTCCAGTGTGAGAAAAATATACCTATTTTAGATTAAGTGACCGTAGTTTGGTTTCTGTTTCAAATCGCCAACAGTAATCTTCTGTAATATACTCTCTCTCTGATTTTATCTCCTACATTTTCCCCTTACTCATCCTACTTGTTGTAGATGGGCTGTGTTGTGTATCCCAGATCCTCTATTTAAAACAGAAAGATCTATTTTCCCAGATTCTGGGAAGATTGTTTACTGACAGATCTTAGCTCTTAGACTTTTTGGGGCATTGCCTCACACGAAGACAGCCATCTTGCTCAAAGGAGCGCTCTCTGTCTGGAGCAATCCATATGTAATCACTAACAGACTGTGGGATATATGTGCCCGGCCCTAGCCCCTCCCAAAAGTGGATAATTATGAAGGACTATCCCAGTTTTGAAGTCCCTATGGGGTGAATGAGGCCTTTGTTGAGATGTATTATAGTTCAACTGTTCTCTTTTTCCAATCCTGCTTTTTTAAATACATTTTATTTTATTTTGATTTTTTCTTTTATTGATACATAATATTTTACATATTTATGAAGTACATGTGAGTATTTTTTACATGCATAGGATGTGTGATGATCAAGTCAGATCAGGGTATTCAAGGAATACATTATCTTGAGTATTTATCATTTCTATATGTTGGTAACATTCCAAGTCCTGTCTTCTGGCTGTTCTGAAGTATACAGTATTTTTTTGTTAACTATAGTTACCCTTGTCTGCTATTGAACTTTAGAGCTTATTTCTTCTATCTAACTGTACATTTGTACCCATTCACCAATCTCTCTTCCTTTCCCCCTCCTACTCTCCCAGCATTCCCCAACTCTGGTATGTATCATTCTATTCTCTGTCTCCATGAGATCAAGTTTTTTATCTCCCACATATGAGTGAGAACATGAGGTATTTGTCTTTCTGTACCCAGCTTGTCTCACTTAATATAATGACCTCCAATACCATCCATGTTTCTGCAAATGACATGATTTCATTCTTTTTATGGCTGAATAGTATTCCATTGTGTATATATACTACATTTTCTTTATTCATTGGTCTGTTGATGGACCCTTAGGTTGATTCCATATCTTTGCTATTGTGAATAGTGCTGCAATAAACATGCAAGTGCCGGTATTCCTTTTTTGTACTGATTTCTTTTCCTTTGGATACATACCCAGTAGTGGTATTGCCAGGTTGTATGATAGTTCTATTTTTAGTTTATTGATAAATCACTATACTGTTTTTCCATATTGGTAGTACTAATTTACATTCCCACTAACAATGTATAAGAGTTCCCTTTTTTCCACATCTTTTCCAGCATCTGTTGTTTTTTGTCTTTTAAATGGTAGCCATTCTAACTGGGGTTAGATTGACTAACCCCATTTCATCGTGATTTGGATTTGCATTTCCCTAATTATCAGGGATGTTGAACATTTATCCGTTGGCCATTTGTATGTCTTCTTTTGAGAAATCTTTATTCTTGTGTTTGCCTTCTTTTAATTTTTTATATTTTTCCTTACAGAAGTGATCAAGTTATTTTGCCTACTTTTTACTGGGATTTTTTTTTTCCTGTTGAGTTTTTGGGTACCTTGTATATTCTTGATGTTAGTCCCTTGTCATATTAATAGTTTGCAAATATTTTCTGCCATTCATAAGTTGTCTCTTCACTCTGTCAATTGTTTCCTTTGCTGTGCAGAAGCTTTTTAGTTTAACATAGTCCCACCTGTATATGTGTGCTTTAATCGTCTATGCTTTTGAGGTCTTTGCTATAAAATCTTTGCCTAGACCAATGTCCAATAGGAATTGTTTTCTCTGTGTTTTCTTCTAGTAGTTTTATAGTTTCAAGCCTTACATTTAGTCTTTAATCCATCTTGAGTTGGTTTTTGTATATGATGGGAGATGGGTTCCAGTTTACAATCCTACTTCTTTCCCTTCCCTTCCCTTCTGCTCCCTTTCCTTTCAAAGTTTTTGATCCTAAAAGTGCTCCCTAATAAGCTTCCTGCTTGCCAGTCTCTATCTCAGGGCCTTCTTCTGAGGGACTTTAGCTTTCAAGAGTTGATGCCAGGGTGGTTTGGAAAAGAGATGTTGAAATGAGATTCTGTAATTGGATTCCCTGCCAGCCAGATAGCAGTGAGAATCTCTCCACTGTTGGTAAATGCAGCACAGATTGCCCATTGGTCATATCACATGATGTGCCATCCAGAAGCTGGTAGCTCCACAGAGCAATGGAATGAATGGCCTGCAACTCAGAGACCATCCTCCAAGTCACAGTGTATATACTAAACCAATGACACTTATTGATGCTGTGTCAATAACACACATAGAATACATTAAGTCCCTGCTTCCGTCACTCCCTGTGACACACTTGGGAACATTTTATCTCACATCCCTGCAATTGTGGGTTTTGTGGGCTCAGAGGTCCTGGCTCCCACAGGTGAAACTTCTGCCAGGGGACATAGCGAGAGTCTCCTTAAGCAAAAGTTATGGCTGCAATCTGGGAACTTCAGAATCCTCATGCCAAGGGATCAATAGCAAGAACATAGCAGGACAGGCTATCACTGTCCTGGCAGGACGATCCACCCTGTTCATCAGGGAGATCTGGGGCTGTTACACAATGAGCACAAGAGGGAATATGCTATGTCGTCCAGGCAATCTACCTTGATGACCTCTTGAGACTCTGTTGCTCAAAATGCTGTCAAGGACAATTGTAGTAGGCATAGCCTGAGGAGGGCATGACAGCCAGGGTCTCAGACACCTGGTTCATGCCACCCTGTTATCCTTCTCTCCTCAATTTCTCCAGCTTCTTCCCAGCTTAGAGAATAAAGCCCAAACTCCTCTGCATAATTTTCAAGGAACCGCATAGTCTTGTTCCTGATTAGGTCCCAGGCACAGACTCTGTGCTATGGCCACTCTGGACAAACTGAAGTTTATTAAACTTTCCAAGAGGTTTCATGCCTCCTTTAAAAAATGTAGGTTGTCCCTTTATTTCACCTTTTTCTGCCTAAGAAAATGTTAATTAGTTCAACTGTGCTGTATTAGACTTTATTTTTCCTTACTTCCCTCTCCTGGTAAAAATTAGTCATGTCTTCTATCACAGTGGTCCCCAATAATTTGGCATCAGGGACTGGTTTCACAGAAGACAATTTTTCCATGGACAGGGATGAGGGGGTGGATGGCTTTGGAATAAAACTGTTCCACCTCAGATCATCAGGCATTAGTTAGATTCTCATAAGGAGCCTGCAACCTAGATCTCTCACATGCATAGCTCACAATAGGGTCCGCAATCCTATGAGAATCTAATGCTGCAGCTGATCTGACAGGAGGCAAAGCTCAGGCGATAATGCTGGCTTGCCTGCCACTCACCTCCTGCTGTGTGGCCCAGCTCCTAACAGGCCATGGATCAGTACTGGTCCATTCTGTTATACTCCTTCAACAGAAAATTCTCATTTCTTTCCATTTTGAACCATAAACAATTTGCAAGTCTAGCTTCACTAATAGACTGTAAACTTTTTAAGGGCAAGGACTATATCTTATTCACTTTTTGAAGTAAATAAATTTTATTTATGCAACAAGAAGATACATGGAGCCTCTACCACAAGCAAAGCACTATGATACATGCATCATGAAGTGGGGAAAAAAAGAATTCAGACACAAATTCTGCTCTCAAGGAACTAAACCTAGAGTCTAGTGGAGGAAAACCATTGTATACACAAAACACCACAATAGAAAGTAGAAAAAGTTAAATGACATAGTGAGAGAAAATATGGTGCTATGGGAATATAGAAGAGGGGGGCAGTCCTTTTAACTAGATAGTCTCTATCTGCATAGCACATATAACATGGCGATGCTAGTCAGGTTCTTGGATGTAAGCAACAGAAACCAGCTCTAAATGATTTATGTTTTAAAAAGGAATTTCTTGAAAGGATCGTGGCTGGCTGACAAAATGGACAGGAAAAAATGGGGGGCAGAACCTTAGCTAAAACCATGGCGATAGTCTGTTAAGAACACCATTGTGGCTGCCACAAATCATGAGATGTCTCAGCTGGTACCAAGCCCGTCTCCCACCAGGTCTCATCAGGTGGAAAACTCAAAAACGTGGGAAAGCATTCAAGAGGCTAAGCAACCAAAATCTTACCACTACCAGGGAAAAACCTGGAGGAGCTTTGCAATGAATGTCACATACATCAACAAAGAATAGGATTTCTATACTGGAGATTGATGTCCAAAAACCTCAGGGTCTTTGGTAGACATTATGAGGGCTTGCTCCTATCACTGAGCTCTTTCCTGTTTGGGCCAGAGAAGAGTAAACTTTGTAATCACTGGGTATTTAAACAGGGCAATGTGACTGATTCTGCCAATGAAATGGAGTGGACAGGATGAGAATCCCTTCCAGGCCCAAGCAGTAAAACCTCCTTGCACAATTCTTGACTCTCTCTTCCTCCTCTGTGAGTAGCGTGGAGCCCATGTGCTGAGATGACAGTTTCATAAGATCACTTAGGTGACCCCATGGAACACAGCAGCCTGGGAGAGTGCCTGATCTACAGCAGATTTTGAGGAATTGAGATATACATTTTTATATGTTAAACCATTGAGATTTGGGGGGTGTTACAAATGCCTAAATCTAGCCTAACTTGCCAAGTACAAGATTCTGGCAACAAACACAACAAACACTTGCTGGCACTTATTTTTAAAATGTGTGTTTTTCTCAGACAGGGCACGGTGGCTCATGCTTGTAATCCCAGTACTTTGAGAGGCCAAGGCAGGTGGATCAACTGAGATCAGGAGTTTGAGACCAGCATGGCCAACATGGTGAAATCCCATCTTTACTAAAAATACATAAATTAGTTGGGCATGGTGGCACACACCTGTAATCCCAGCTAGTCAGGAGGCTGAGGCAGGAGAATCATTTAAACCTGGGAGGCGAAAGTTGCAGTGAGCTGAGATCACACCACAGCACTCCACCCTGAGTGACAGCAAGACCCTGTCTCAAAAAACAAACAAACAAACAAAAAACTGGTTGTCTCATCAAGGAAGGGAAAAATAATGGTACTATCCTCTCTTAAGCCACCCCATATACTCCCCATTACACTTTGAGTGAGAAATCAAGGAAGTAGGCATGTTTTAAAAGATAAAAATAATTTTAAAATTTGAAATAAGACTCTTTTACTCAAACTCAAGGCATAATGCCCATTCTTGCCTCTTCTGGATCAGTTTATCTAAATTTTCATATGATTCTATTCTTAGGTTCTGTCATTTATCACCTTTATATCAGGGTTTTGCTGAGCCATGAATCATTTGGATGCTTTGCAGTACACTGTATCATGAGCTGACCTCTTTTGTCCAAGGTTAGGCTTACAGTTGCTCAATTCTATTCTATCAGGAAGAATGTGTTGCTTAAAGGGTCTTCTCAAAACTATCAGGGACCTGACACATCACTTGCCGTTAAACCTGAAGTTTATGTTAAACCACTCTCTACTCAGCATTTCACAAAAAAAAAAAAAAAAAAAAAAAAATTGAGCATGGCCTCTTGCACAGAGACATGTAAGATAATCTTCTACTGCTGCTTTGATTGCTACAACTACTATCATCAGCCACCATTTATGGATCATCAACAACGTATTTGGTTCTATGCTAAACCCTTTAGAGATATTTAATTTAGTTATCCCTATAGCTCCTTGTGGTATAAATTTTTGTACCTAGTTTTACAAGCAAGGAAACTGAGGCTCAGAAAAGGTAAACTTTCCTGAGGTTATACAGCTAGACAGTGTTAATACCAGGATTCAAACCTGGTGTTGCTGACTAAAGAGTCCATGCATTTAGTCACAGAACTCTGCTGGCTTCCAGTTGTGAACCTGGGAGAGTCACAGGCACAGCGCTGAAATATTCTTCCTCTCAGCCAGGTCTGCATATTTCCTGGCTGTGTACTACTTTTCTTAAGGTCATAGAAGGTACAGCATAGGAGACACCTGGGCCAAATATACGCTTTCTATTCTTTGCTGGGAGTTCTACTCCAACTCCCTGCTTGTTCTCTATGCGAGTGAGCTGAGGTGCACACTCTTGCACTTTATCCTCAAAGATTACATCAGTATTTCCTAACATGTATTAGGAAACATGTTTTCCCATAACAATTATTGATGTATAATGAATCATGTATAATGAATATAAGCATATTGAATGCTCAACCCTAGAGCCCCCTTTTCTTCTCTCTCTAGATGAAATCCCTTTTAATCTCTTTATATATTCTTTCCCTAGGTGAAATCATTCCACCCTGTGACTTTACTTACCATCTAAATTCTTGAATATAATATTATTTATTATATTTCAAGTTCAACCCTCCACTTAGAACACTAAAGTCATTTACCCAAGCGCCTGTTTGACATCTCTACTTGTTATCACAGGCCTCTCAAATGTAAGATGTTCATATCCAAATTCTTCATTTCTTCCCTTGTACTTGATCTGCATCTCTCTGACTTTCCCATGCTCCTATCAATCAAATCAGAACCCTAGTGCATTGATCAGGGTCCAACTGGGAAAGAGAAGACACATCAGTTACTTGAATCTAAAGAGTTTAATATAAAGAATTGCATATTGGTTATAAAACTGTTAACTAAGTTAACAGAAAAGACCAAATAACACTAAGTTATGACAGAAGAAGCAGTTGAAGGAACAGCAACCAGCTCTAGGCCTGGAGAACAAGGGGAAAAGGCCAGAGTTTATTAAAACATAAAGCTTAAATGGGTGGGACCTGCAGAGCTGAAATTCAGGTATCTGAAGAGGGTGGACAGCTGGTGCTGGTGTCTCTGAGAGGAATGCAATGAGGCTGGTTCTATGAGTACTGGAAAGCTGAAAACTGGATTTATTCTGACATGGGAAAGAAGTGCATCTGCTGGAGTGAAGAAGAGGGAGGCTGGGGTGACTTTCACGGCACCAGAAATCCCACAGAAAGTGACCAGGAAAGAGCAAGTCTTCTCTCCTTCTTTCTGCTATTCAGTCTCTTTTACACACCCCTACAGTGACAGAGCCTAACAGGGAGCAGCTGGCAAAGGAAAAATGTGATTTTCAAACCCCCAGCCCCAGCATCACATAGCAGAGTGCAGGAGGGAAGACTTCAAGGACAGCCCCAGGAATCTAGTAACCAGCCTATCAGTTATTAACCATCTCATAACTGAATTATCCTTAGTCCTTTCTCCTTGCTTAGTTCCAACATAAGATCCATCAGAAAGTCCTGATATCACTATCTGCAAAATAGTTTTTAATTTTGTTGACTGTTTTTCTTTCTTTCTGACCATAAATTTGAGTCCTATGTTTTGTCACCTCTAACCTGGATTACAGCAGTATCTGTCTCACTAGACTTCTTAATTTCACCTTGCTCACCTCCACTTATACATTTGTACAATAAATGTTTATTGAGCACTTGCTCTGTGCCAGGCACTGATTCAGGCACTTGGGTTACAACAGTGAACAAAATGGACAAAGTGCTATGTTGAAGCTTGAAGAGCTTCAATTGTGGCCACTCACATTGACACAAAGCAGAAAGGTGGCTTTTTAAAAAATACAGTTGACCTTTGTACAACACAGTTCTGAACTGTATGGATCCACTTATATGCAGATGTTTTGCAATAAAATTTATACCAAGTGTGCCTACCTCCCTTGCCTCCCCTTCCACATCCTTCACCTCCACCTCTGCCACCCCTGGAAAAGAAAGACAAACGCCTGCCCTTCCTCCTCCTCCTCAGTCTACTCAACGTGAAGACAATGAGAATGAAGACCTTCATTATGATCTACTTTCACTTAATGAATAGTAAATATATTTTCCTTATGAATTTTAAATAATATTTTCTTTTCTCTAGCTTACTTTATTGCGATAATACAGTATATATAATCCATATACCATACATAAAATGCATTAATCAAGTTTATGTTATTGGTAAGACATCTGGTCAGCAGTAGGCTATTAGTTAAGTTTTGGGGGAGTCAAAAGCTATACTTGGATTTTTGGGTGTGGGAGGTTAGCACTCCTAACTCCATTTTGTTAAAAGGTCAACTGTATATTTCTGTTTGTACTTACTTAAAACTCTTCAAAGGTTTCCCATATCAAATAGAAGAAAAGCCAAACTCTCCATGATGTATAAAGCACAGCATAACCTGATGACAGCTGCCCCACCTTGCTACATAGTAGTGTCCTCCGCCTCCTCTGTACTCTGGACGCACTGGCCAACTTTCCGTTTCTTGGACGTGCCAAAATCTTTTCCTGCTCGCAGACTTACAACATTGTTTTTCCTCTGGCTAGAAAGATCTTCCACTCACGCTTGGCACGTCTCCATCCCACTACTCAGGTTTGGGCTAAAATGTCAATACCCATTTCTGACTACTATACATGTACAAGAAGTCCTCTCCCTCATTAGTCTCTGCCACTTCTTTCTCTTCAATTCCTTCATAGAACTTATCTTGACTTAAAATTTTAGGCAAATATCTTATTTGGTTATTTTCTTGGTAAGCAGATGTCTCTCTCACTAGACTCTAAGCAAGAACTGCTGTAAGAGCAGGGATCATGTCTGTATTCCTGCATATAGCATCATACCTAGTGCTCCATAAATATTTGCAAAATGAATTAACCAATTAAAAGCTCCAAGGAGTCAGGTTAGAGTTGTTTAACCCAGCAATACTCACACTTGTTTAGCCGCAGAACCAATCTTAACATAATATCTTTCAGCCCTCCCGGAGAGCTCATGTCCTGTTAATATAATTTGGGGAACACAGACTTTCAGTTGGCATTCTCTCTGGCCCTTTGTATCGCTTTATGAAAAAACACCTTTCAGGCAGAAGGCACACACCTGTAATCCCAGGACTTTTGGAGGCTGAGGCGGGACGGATCACGAAGTCAGGAGACAGAAGCTTTACTTTCTTAAGAGGCAAAAAGCAAAGAGTTTACAGGTATTTCACTTTATAGCCTGAGAGGCATCCTAGGTTAGAGGCAAAGGTAGGATTTCAGAATTATAAAGAGATTGGATTTCAATTCTAACTCTCTCCTATAAAATAAAGATCATAATTCCAACATTTCAGGAATGTTTGGAGGACACAAAGAAGTAGAACATACAGAGAACTGGGTGCAATGTGAGGCACATAGTGGATTCTCAATAAATGTTCCTCCCATACCTTAACTACTCCCTTCATCCCTCTATTGGAGAAATATATTTCTAGCAACTTTTAGAGAACAATGGGGAAACAGCAAAACGCTGGTGTGGATTATATTGACTGCCAGTGAACAGGGTTATCAACTAATATATCATTTATAATTTTTCATTTCTAGTATTTGCTCCACCCTCCTGTAAATATTAGACATAGCCTTGCCCTTGAGGATATTTTATTTTATTATTTATTAATGTATTTTTGGGACAAGGTCTTGCTCTGTTACTCAGGCTGGTGTGCAATGGCACAATCTTGGGTCACTGCAACCTCCACCTCCCGTTGCCCTTGAGAATTTTAAAACTTAGCTGTGGAAGAACAATCAACCCCAAAGAAATAGCTAGAGAGAAATAACAGTAGTCAATAAGTGTTGTAAGAAATCCTTATAGACATAAGGATTGAAGTATCTAAGGTTTCTCTTATTAAGGATACTGGAGAGCATGGATTTGCAATTCCTCTTAAGTGGGCCCAAATACTAAATAGTTTACCAAATGCTTTTGGGTGGAGTTGGAGAACTCTACCCAAAATTTAATGAACTTCTCATTTAACAATGTGCCCTTCTAGGACCACAACACATTTTAAGGAATCTGTCCTCATAAATCCCCAACTAAAGAAAGATTCAAGGAATAGGAACAGCTCCGGTCTACAGCTCCCAGCGTGAGCGACGCAGAAGACGGGTGATTTCTGCATTTCCATCTGAGGTACCAGGTTCATCTCACTAGGGAGTGCCAGACAGTGGGCGCAGGCCAGTGTGTGCGCGCACCGTGCGCGAGCCGAAGCAGGGCGAGGCATTGCCTCACCTGGGAAGCGCAAGGGGTCAGGGAGTTCCCTTTCAGAGTCAAAGAAAGGGGTGACTGACGCACCTGGAAAATCGGGTCACTCCCACCCAAATATTTCGCTTTTCAGACCGGCTTAAAAAACGGTGCACCACGAGACTATATCCCACACCTGGCTCGGAGGGTCCTACGCCCACGGAATCTCGCTGATTGCTAGCACAGCAGTCTGAGATCAAACTGCAAGGCGGCAACGAGGCTGGGGGAGGGGCGCCCGCCATTGCCCAGGCTTGCTTAGGTAAACAAAGCAGCCGGGAAGCTCGAACTGGGTGGAGCCCACCACAGCTCAAGGAGGCCTGCCTGCCTCTGTAGGCTCCACCTCTGGGGGCAGGGCACAGACAAACAAAAAGACAGCAGTAACCTCTGCAGACTTAAGTGTCCCTGTCTGACAGCTTTGAAGAGAGCAGTGGTTCTCCCAGCACGCAGCTGGAGATCTGAGAACAGGCAGACTGCCTCCTCAAGTGGGTCCCTGACCCCTGACCCCCGAGCAGCCTAACTGGGAGGCACCCCCCAGCAGGGGCACACTGACACCTCACACGGCAGGGTATTCCAACAGACCTGCAGCTGAGGGTCCTGTCTGTTAGAAGGAAAACTAACAACCAGAAAGGACATCTACACCGAAAACCCATCTGTACATCACCATCATCTAAGACCAAAAGCAGATAAAACCACAAAGATGGGGAAAAAACAGAACAGAAAAACTGGAAACTCTAAAACGCAGAGCACCTCTCCTCCTCCAAAGGAACGCAGTTCCTCACCAGCAACGGAACAAAGCTGGATGGAGAATGATTTTGACGAGTTGAGAGAAGAAGGCTTCAGACGATCAAATTACTCTGAGCTACGGGAGGACATTCAAACCAAAGGCAAAGAAGTTGAAAACTTTGAAAAAAATTTAGAAGAATGTATAACTAGAATAACCAATACAGAGAAGTGCTTAAAGGAGCTGATGGAGCTGAAAACCAAGGCTCGAGAACTACGTGAAGAATGCAGAAGCCTCAGGAGCCGATGCGATCAACTGGAAGAAAGGGTATCAGCAATGGAAGATGAAATGAATGAAATGAAGCGAGAAGGGAAGTTTAGAGAAAAAAGAATAAAAAGAAATGAGCAAAGCCTCCAAGAAATATGGGACTATGTGAAAAGACCAAATCTACGTCTGATTGGTGTACCTGAAAGTGATGTGGAGAATGGAACCAAGTTGGAAAACACTCTGCAGGATATTATCCAGGAGAACTTCCCCAATCTAGCAAGGCAGGCCAACGTTCAGATTCAGGAAATACAGAGAACGCCACAAAGATACTCCTCGAGAAGAGCAACTCCAAGACACATAATTGTCAGATTCACCAAAGTTGAAATGAAGGAAAAAATGTTAAGGGCAGCCAGAGAGAAAGGTCGGGTTACCCTCAAAGGGAAGCCCATCAGACTAACAGCGGATCTCTCGGCAGAAACCCTACAAGCCAGAAGAGAGTGGGGGCCAATATTCAACATTCTTAAAGAAAAGAATTTTCAACCCAGAATTTCATATCCAGCCAAACTAAACTTCATAAGTGAAGGAGAAATAAAATACTTTATAGACAAGCAAATGCTGAGAGATTTTGTCACCACCAGGCCTGCCCTAAAAGAGCTCCTGAAGGAAGCGCTAAACATGGAAAGGAACAACCGGTACCAGCCGCTGCAAAATCATGCCAAAATGTAAAGACCATCGAGACTAGGAAGAAACTGCATCAACTAACGAGCAAAATCACCAGCTAACATCATAATGACAGGATCAAATTCACACATAACAATATTAACTTTAAATATAAATGGACTAAATTCTGCAATTAAAAGACACAGACTGGCAAGTTGGATAAAGAGTCAAGACCCATCAGTGTGCTGTATTCAGGAAACCCATCTTACGTGCAGAGACACACATAGGCTCAAAATAAAAGGATGGAGGAAGATCTACCAAGCAAATGGAAAACAAAAAAAGGCAGGGGTTGCAATCCTAGTCTCTGATAAAACAGACTTTAAACCAACAAAGATCAAAAGAGACAAAGAAGGCCATTACATAATGGTAAAGGGATCAATTCAACAAGAGGAGCTAACTATCCTAAATATTTATGCACCCAATACAGGAGCACCCAGATTCATAAAGCAAGTCCTGAGTGACCTACAAAGAGACTTAGACTCCCACACATTAATAATGGGAGACTTTAACACCCCACTGTCAACATTAGACAGATCAACGAGACAGAAAGTCAACAAGGATACCCAGGAATTGAACTCAGCTCTGCACCAAGCGGACCTAATAGACATCTACAGAACTCTCCACCCCAAATCAACAGAATATACATTTTTTTCAGCACCACACCACACCTATTCCAAAGTTGACCACATACTTGGAAGTAAAGCTCTCCTCAGCAAATGTAAAAGAACAGAAATTATAACAAACTATCTCTCAGGCCACAGTGCAATCAAACTAGAACTCAGGATTAAGAATCTCACTCAAAGCCGCTCAACTACATGGAAACTGAACAACCTGCTCCTGAATGACTACTGGGTACATAACGAAATGAAGGCAGAAATAAAGATGTTCTTTGAAACCAACGAGAACAAAGACACCACATACCAGAATCTCTGGGACGCATTCAAAGCAGTGTGTAGAGGGAAATTTATAGCACTAAATGCCTACAAGAGAAAGCAGGAAAGATCCAAAATTGACACCCTAACATCATAATTAAAAGAACTAGAAAAGCAAGAGCAAACACATTCAAAAGCTAGCAGAAGGCAAGAAATAACTAAAATCAGAGCAGAACTGAAGGAAATAGAGACACAAAAAACCCTTCAAAAAATCAATGAATCCAGGAGCTGGTTTTTTGAAAGGATCAACAAAATTGATAGACCGCTAGCAAGACTAATAAAGAAAAAAGAGAGAAGAATCAAATAGACACAATAAAAAATGATAAAGGGGATATCACCACCGATCCCACAGAAATACAAACTACCATCAGAGAATACTACAAACACCTCTACGCAAATAAACTAGAAAATCTAGAAGAAATGGATACATTCCTCGACACATACACTCTCCCAAGACTAAACCAGGAAGAAGTTGAATCTCTGAATAGACCAATAACAGGCTCTGAAATTGTGGCAATAATCAATAGTTTACCAACCAAAAAGAGTCCAGAACCAGATGGATTCACAGCCGAATTCTACCAGAGGTACAAGGAGGAACTGGTACCATTCCTTCTGAAACTATTCCAATCAATAGAAAAAGAGGGAATCCTCCCTAACTCATTTTATGAGGCCAGCATCATTCTGATACCAAAGCCGGGCAGAGACACAACCAAAAAAGAGAATTGTAGACCAATATCCTTGATGAACATTGATGCAAAAATCCTCAATAAAATACTGGCAAACCAAATCCAGCAGCACATCAAAAAGCTTATCCACCATGATCAAGTGGGCTTCATCCCTGGATGCAAGGCTGGTTCAATATACGCAAATCAATAAATGTAATCCAGCATATAAACACAGCCAAAGACAAAAACCACATGATTATCTCAATAGATGCAGAAAAAGCCTTTGACAAAATTCAACAACCCTTCATGCTAAAAACTCTCAATAAATTAGGTATTGATGGGACGTATTTCAAAATAATAAGAGCTATCTATGACAAACCCACAGCCAATATCATACTGAATGGGCAAAAACTGGAAGCATTCCCTTTGAAAACTGGCACAAGACAGGGATGCCCTCTCTCACCACTCCTATTCAACATAGTGTTGGAAGTTCTGGCCAGGGCAATCAGGCAGGAGAAGGAAATAAAGGGTATTCAATTAGGAAAAGAGGAAGTCAAATTGTCCCTGTTTGCAGACGACATGATTGTTTATCTAGAAAACCCCATCGTCTCAGCCCAAAATCTCCTTAAGCTGATAAGCAACTTCAGCAAAGTCTCAGGATACAAAATCAATGTACAAAAATCACAAGCATTCTTATACACCAACAGACAAACAGAGAGCCAAATCATGAGTGAACTCCCATTCACAATTGCTTCAAAGAGAATAAAATACCTAGGAATCCAACTTACAAGGGATGTGAAGGACCTCTTCAAGGAGAACTACAAACCACTGCTCAAGGAAATAAAAGAGGACACAAACAAATGGAAGAACATTCCATGCTCATGGGTAGGAAGAATCAATATCGTGAAAATGGCCATACTGCCCAAGGTAATTTACAGATTCAATGCCATCCCCATCAAGCTACCAATGACTTTCTTCACAGAATTGGAAAAAACTACTTTAAAGTTCATATGGAACCAAAAAAGAGCCCGCATCGCCAAGTCAATCCTAAGCCAAAAGAACAAAGCTGGAGGCATCACACTACCTGACTTCAAACTATACTACAAGGCTACAGTAACCAAAACAGCATGGTACTGGTACCAAAACAGAGATATAGATCAATGGAACAGAACAGAGCCCTCAGAAATAACGCTGCATACCTACAACTATCTGATCTTTGACAAACCTGAGAAAAACAAGCAATGGGGAAAGGATTCCCTATTTAATAAATGGTGCTGGGAAAACTGGCTAGCCATATGTAGAAAGCTGAAACTGGATCCCTTCCTTACACCTTATACAAAAATCAATTCAAGATGGATTAAAGATTTAAACGGTAGACCTAAAACCATAAAAACCCTAGAAGAAAACCTAGGCATTACCATTCAGGACATAGGCGTGGGCAAGGACTTCATGTCCAAAACACCAAAAGCAATGGCAACAAAAGCCAAAATTGACAAATGGGATCTAATTAAACTAAAGAGCTTCTGCACAGCAAAAGAAACTACCATCAGAGTGAACAGGCAACCTACAACATGGGAGAAAATTTTTGCAACCTACTCATCTGACAAAGGGCTAATATCCAGAATCTACAATGAACTCAAACAAATTTACAAGAAAAAAACAAACAACCCCATCAAAAAGTGGGCGAAGGACATGAGCAGACACTTCTCAAAAGAAGACATTTATGCAGCCAAAAAACACATGAAAAAATGCTCATCATCACTGGCCATCAGAGAAATGCAAATCAAAACCACTATGAGATATCATCTCACACCAGTTAGAATGGCGATCATTAAAAAGTCAGGAAACAACAGGTGCTGGAGAGGATGTGGAGAAATAGGAACACTTTTACACTGTTGGTGGGACTGTAAACTAGTTCAACCATTGTGGAAGTCAGTGTGGCGATTCCTCAGGGATCTAGAACTGGAAATACCATTTGACCCAGCCATCCCATTACTGGGTATATACCCAAAGGACTATAAATCATGCTGCTATAAAGACACATGCACACGTATGTTTATTGCGGCACTATTCACAATAGCAAAGACTTGGAACCAACCCAAATGTCCAACAATGGTAGACTGGATTAAGAAAATGTGGCACATATACACCATGGAATACTATGCAGCCATAAAAAATGAAGAGTTCATGTCCTTTGTAGGGACATGGATGAAATTGGAAATCATCATTCTCAGTAAACTATCGCAAGAACAAAAAACCAAACACCGCATATTCTCACTCATAGGTGGGAATTGAACAATGAGATCACATGGACACAGGAAGGGGAATATCACACTCTGGGGACTGTGGTGGGGTCGGGGGAGGGGGGAGGGATAGCATTGGGAGATATACCTAATGCTAGATGATGCGTTAGTGGGTGCAGCGCACCAGCATGGCACATGTATACATATGTAACTAACCTGCACAATGTGCACATGTACCCTAAAACTTAAAGTATAATAAAAAAAAAAAAAGAAAGATTCAAGCTTCTTCTTAAAACCTGATTTCTCAGCAGAGTGCTTCATTACAGACCCTGGGAAGCTGATATGGCAGGCTAATTTTTCTCCTTCCTTAAAATTGAAAACAGCTTGAGCTCTCTAAAGTCCTTGTCATCTACCGAGGCAGATGGAAACTAGAGGAGAGAACAACTTTATAACAAAATAATAGCAGGATTAGCCTATAGAGAGATAGTGAGCACTTGCAAAGATTCAACAGAATACTATTGCTGCAAAAAACTGTAAACTTGAATCTCCTTGCTCTTGTGCCATGGCATCATTCTAAAGCATGAAGAAAAATTTGAAGTAAAAGAAGGTCTTGGCCGGGCACGGTGGCTCATGCCTGTAATCCCAGCAGTTTGGGAGGCTGAGGCAGGTTGATCATTTGAGGTCAGGAGTTCAAGACCAGCCTGGCCAACATGGTGAAACCCATCTCTACTAAAAATATAAAAATTAGCCAGGTGTGGTGGCGGGTGCCTGTAATCCCTGCTACTCAGGAGGCTGAGGCAGGGAACTGCTTGAACCCAGGAGGTGGAGGTTGCAGTGAGCCAAGATCGCGCCACTGCACTCCAGGCTGGGTGACAAAGTGAGACTCCATTTCAGAAAAAAAGAAGGTCTTATGGTACCTTTCCCAACAGCCTAATTTATAGAAACAAATCTAGTTAGATTAGCAGAATCTGGAGAAGAGGCTAATAGTGGCAGCAAGCGTTTATTTGTTGAATATTAAATTTGAAGAACCAGTAAAGGATGTGTGAAGGTGTCAGGTATGAAGGTGAATTGCCCAAAGTGATATTCAACTACAATTAGTATACAATTAGTTTAGTAGTTTTTAAAAAGGAAGTGAGGAGAACAAGAGAGGAAGGAAAGGAAGGAAGGAAGGAAGGAAGGAAGGGAGGAAAATGGGAAGATGGGAGGGAGGGAGAAAAAGGAAAGAAAGGGAAAGATAGTTTGAAACAACTTATAGAAGATAAATATGGATGGCATAATTTTTGTTTAACAGTTACCAGGTGTTTTTACTTCTTCTCTTCATCATTCCTATTCTTCAGCCACTCTTTTGCTCAGTTTTCTGGACAGGAGCATCAAAAGTTAGGAGTGGTGATTGTGAGAATAACTAAGAAGGGAAAGAAAACGGAAAACAAGTAAGGTTTGTAGGAAACCAGACCAACCAACCAAATCAACTTTGCTTGCAGCAAACATTATTTAAAGCAACTAATAATCCTCAGATAAAGAGGAAAAAGAATCAAAAAGGAGAGTCCTGTGTAAAATCACTTTTGTCCACAATCTATTTCAGTTAGATGGAATCAAATTTCTTTTAGGCTCTGATTGGTTCTAACTCCAGTGAAGACTCTGCTGGCTTTCTGCTGTGTTACCTACTCCTTGAGGAAAGAAACCACTAAAATTAGCTTTTCCTCCATTCTCAGCACCCAGCATACAGTAGGCCCTGCATCTAAATTAAGGGAATGTAGTTAACAACTAATACTGGCCAAGATATATAAGTAAAGAATTATTCTCATTAATGAATTAGAGCTATATAGTGAATTGAATCTCTCTAATTACACAAAACTAACACTCTTAATTTAGTTAAATACTCCAGTAGTTTCCACAATTATATTCACTTGACTGTTCTCTTAGTAAGAACAATGTCCTGTTTGGAAAAAAAAAAATTTTAGCTAATATGGACTCTGTGAGGTTTTCTAAACCTCATTTAATTACAAAATACAGTCTAAATTCATCCAACAAATATTTCTCAAGCACCCATCCAGCATACAATTATAGGGAGCACTGAGCAAGACCAACACCTTCCATGTTTCATGGAGCTTCCAATCTTTAGAGGAGACAGATGCTAAGCAACTAATTGCCTAATTAGCTATTTGACTAAAATTGTGATGAATGCCAATATGTCAAAGTTTAGGATGCTATGAGCGTGTGTAAGTTAGAGACATGGGAACTCTTCCTTGAAAAAGAAATTATGCTTGAACCCATATGTGAGGGTTAAGGAAAAATTAACGAGGTAAATAGGGAGAGGGAGAATAGTTTTATAAGCAGCTTATTTAAAGACTTTAAAGTGAGAAGGAGCCAGAACATGCTGGTAAAACCAAAGAAAGGCAATACGGCTAAACCCTAATCATGAGGATTAACTTAAAGGATGGCACAGACCTATAGGTTTTTGAAGGCTGATAATGACTGTACTTTGTTGTTTAAATTAACCCCCCCAGACTGTTCAGAAAATCTTTAGTAAGCTCTGGACTGTATATGAAAATCATCAAAGACTTGAATTTGTGACATGGCTGATTCTGGGATATAAGGACTTGTTCATTTTAATTCTTTCACTCACTGTTTACTGTTTCCCAACCTTTTTTTTTTTTTTTTTTGAGACGGAGTCTCGCTGTCACCCAAGCTGGAGTGCAGTGGCGCGATCTCTGCTCGCTGCAGGCTCCGCCCCCCGGGTTCATGCCATTCTCCTGCCTCAACCTTATGAGCAGCTGGGACTACAGGCGACCCCCACCTCGCCCGGCTAGTTTTTTGTATTTTTAGTAGAGACGGGGTTTCACTGTGTTAGCCAGGATGGTTTAAAACATAAAAGGATGCCTATATTTCCAGATGAGTGATATGTTTTTAATGATGATGAGTTTATACATTTTTTTTCATTCTTTTCATCAAGGAATAAGGTAAACGTTAGAGGAGAATGGAGTGACAATGACCTGGGAATTGTATCCTGTGGATACTATAAAAGTGTCACCTTAAAAAACAAAAGATTTCTATAGTCAAACCTTTGAGGGAAGTAGTACATTGTAAAAGGTAAATAGATTTCTTTATTGAGGGATTTCTCAGAGCCTTTAGTATTCTACCAAATCAATGTTTCTTACTAACCGGCTATGCCAATCTTGTGCCGAGCCCAGGAATATAGGATGACTTTGAAAGACATGGTCTCTGACTTCACGGAGCTTACAGTCTCTGCAACAAGGGTTGTGATCCCCCAAGAGAGAAACAGAGTTTGCAGGCCTTCCCAAACCTATTTGAGTACAGAATTCTCTTTCAGCACAGCATCTCCTGGAACAGTATTTGAGAAACCCTTGCTAGTCCTATCTAGAAGAATCAATACCAGACATCTCCAAAACATTTAGATTGAGTTCTGTGGGAAAGTACTTTTAAAAATGCCAGACACGGCTTTGTTTCCTAGAGGACAAACCAGATGACTGTGGTAGGATGGCCTTTTAAAATAAATGAAGCATCAGCAACATTAGAAGACCATATGTGCCCCAGAGTGAGAAATGCTCACTCATTCTGTGCCAGATTTGACAGCAGCATCAGGGAGTTCTCAGGAGGAGCAGCAGAAGCCCACATCTTTCCTCATACCCCAATTCAGGAGGCAGAGCAGTTAATCTTTCCCAAACAATTTAAACCTCACTCCAGTCATAAAATAACTGGGTCTTGTAGTAGTATCTATGCTGATGAAGTTTTAATTCAAAGAAGGGCATCACTCTAAGTGAGAGGCTAATTAACACAACCATCTCTTTACTATGGAAGAGATGTATATTCTGGAAGTTACTGACTTTCAGAAGTATATTCTGGAAGTTACTGACTTTCGGAAGTATATTCTGGAAGTTATTGACTCTGTGAGTGTGTGTGTGTGTGTGTGTTTGTGTGTGTGTTTGCACGTAGAATTAATGAAAAATTTATTATTTATTTATTTCTGACCATCTCAAAACCAAGATCTTCTTTGAAGTACTCTTCTAGGAGGATGAATACCAAATTGGCTTTTCTCAAATAACTGGAGAGAATGGACATCTTACTAGAGCTGAGCAGTGAAGAAGCCTCTTGGGTTTTATATTATTTTAGGTTCATTAAAGTGCAACATGCTTGATTCTGAGATTTACATCAAAATATTTTCTTTCATTTTTTTTAAAAAAATGCAGCAGATGGTAACTGGACAGGAGATTTTCTGTTATTGGGGTTAGAAAGACGAGAAGATGACTTTCCTTTTCATTCTAGTATCTCAGAGTTTTCCTTTCTAATGAAATATTTGACTTTCAAGAGTTCTGTTCCTTGTAGAGCCTCATGATTCATATTATACTGAGTTATGACTATTGTGTTGTGATTTTGTTTAGAAGGATACAGAAGATGACTTATTTTAGATAAGTCCATATAAAGAAGTTGTTCTTAGTACATAAAATGTACTCATGAATACTTACCAAATTGTTCAATCATGTTAGTGACAAATGTTTCCTATGAGTCATTTTCCCTTTGGTGACAATACCTTCATGAGCTAGTCAAACCAAAGATTAAATCCACCTGCTCTGGTTCTTGATTTCAAATCTACTTGTAAGAGAATTAGCATTATCAGATAAAATGACAGGAGAAATCATGCCAGAATGCTTTATAGAGGAAAATTAATATTGAGTCAGAACATCTGAGTATGTGTCAAGCTGACGTGGGTCCCAGCACACGTCACTGAATGTAAACACTCAGTGAAATTTGTTGATCCTCCAGCCTTCCCACCTCATTCATCACCCATTAAATTCTGCACTTTTACTAGCTATAACTTGGGTTAAAAGAATGACAAGAATACAAGAACTAAGTATAATTCCTTTACCAGAAAATACTGCACATTGCCAATAGGACCTGAAACATCAGGAACCAAACTTCCTCTCTCCTTCTCCCTGAGAGCCTGGTGCTTCTCTTTATGCATGCACGTCAACTTCATTCTGTTCTGTTTCTGCAGAACCATTTTCTCTACTTTAGGCAATTAGAGCAAGATAATAGCCATAACAACAACTCCAGGCACAGCCCCAGATTCTCATAACCCTAATTTCTGCTCTTGACCTAATTTCAATCTTCTAGAATAGAGAATTTGATTGGCCCAGCTCAGGTGTCTACTTCTAGTACCATTAGCTATGGCTAGGATCAATGGCCCATGTGTTATGCTGTCCACACAAGGAGAGGCAAGGAATGCTAAGTGACTGACATGTCCATTATACTTTTCATGCCTTTTCACATCTAAATTTGAATACATCTCTATGTCACATTCAAAAAGCTTTATGTCATATAATGCAAAATTTAAATTAATAGAATGAATCACATAAAACCTAAATATTGTGTGATTTTTCTTTTCTTTTCTTTTTTTTTGAGACACAGTCTCACTCTGTCACCCAGGCTGGAGTGCAGTGGTGTGATCTCAGCTCACTGCAACCTCCGCCTCCTGGGCTCAAGCCATTCTCCTGCCCCAGCCTCCCAAGTAGCTGGGACTACAGGCACCATGTTGGACAGGCTGGTCTCTAACTCCTCACCACAAGTGACCTGCCCACTTCGGCCTCCCAAAGTGCTGGGATTACAGGTGTAAGCCACTGTGCCCAGCCTATATTGTGTGATTTTTCTATTGGGATATGTTCACAAATGTCCCCTGGAGAAATCTTTTTCAGAGCCTTTCCCCCCCTAAACTGGTAATTCTAAGCAAGTGGTTCTTAAATTTTAGGGCACCTAAGAATCCCCCATAGATCTTATTAAAAATGAGAATTTTCCCGTCTCAGAAAGCCTAAGTAAGTCTGAGGAGAACTTCAGTTGTAAGTGGGTCACAGTTTGAGAAACACAGGACTAGATTGCATACAAGCAAAAAAGGAACAGGGGCTACAAATTTGACAGAGGGTCTTCTATAGAGGGGAAAACAGAAGAAAACCAGCATCGTTTCTGAGGAATCCTTTCCTTGCTATAAACTTCCTGAACCAACAGAACTGTCAAAACTTCATCCTGGAAAAAAAACTTCTTCAGTAGATTTTCACCGCTGTATTTAACATGCTCTGGGGATTCATGGCCAGAAATGTCCAGTTATTTCCATAAAAAGATGTGCAACATCATATTTCAGATGAGGGTATTTTCTAACTGAGGCAAGTAATACTTTGCATACTCCTATCAGCAGGTAACAAAGTAGAGAGCGCTATCGTGCGTACAGGTTATGAAAATATGAAGCCAGTTTCACAAACAGAGCTCAGTTATTCTCAGAGATCAGCTGAATAATACAGGTTTTCTTTCCAAGTGCCTGTCAAGGGAAGAATATAGACATTCTACAAAGGGCTATGTCAATGAGCTTTCACTCAGCAGCAGAGCAGTGTGACGATGATTTCATTGTTTGGCGAGAGCCAACTTTAACAGTGACAGGGGTTTAACAGCAACTCCAAAATTTCAGAGGCACCCTTCTCCCTATAAGTGATGGGGAATATATCATACAAAGGGAGTTTTTGTTTGCTTCACTTTAGGCACTAGGCTAAGTATTACATGAAAAGGTAGAATTGGTGTTACATGAAAATGGTAGAAGAGAATATTTTGGACAGGTAGGGACATCTGCTTGGAAAAGTTCTGAAATTTATTGATTTGTTTGCATATTCAAAAATGTTACTGCAAAAAATATTAAGGGATCATTTTCATTAAGCTTTCCCAGGTACTGTCTGCTAAGTGTTAGGGATACAATAGAATGCAAAAACTGACATGGCCCCTGTCTGTGAAAAAGGAAGGTGAGAAAGATAAACACAAAAACAATAATCACACACATAGTATAAAATTACAAGTCTGGCAAGGTCTGTTGAATAAATTTGGGGGATGCTACAAAATATATAAAGTAGGGAAATGACCCCGTTATAGAGGTCAGAAAAGGATGGTGAAACAGAGGTGAGGGAACAGTCAGAGTCAACAGATAAAGAATTACTCTGGCTGGGCGTAGTGGCTCATGCCTGTAATCTCAGCACTTTGGGAGGCTGAGGTGGGCAGATCACCTGAGGTCAGGAGTTTGAAACCAGCCTGGCCATGATGGCAAAACCTCATCTCTACTAAAAATACAAAAATTAGCCGGGCATGGTGGCGCATGCCTGTAGTCCCAGCTACTCAGGAGGCTGAGTGAGGCAGGAGAATCAGTTGAACCTAGGAGGTGGAGGTTGCAGTGAGTCTAGACTGTGCCACTGCACTCCAGCCTGGGTGACAGAGCGAGACTGTCTCAAAAAAAAGAAAAAAAAAATCACTCGAGGAGTATTTGCAAAGATCTTAGGTGAGGCTGTGGTAGCGAAGAATCTAGGTAATTCAAGAAGTCGATGAAGACTTCTACTAAAGGAGAGAGCAAATGTGTTGTTACTAGTTGAACTGTATCCCTCTAAAAAGATAGTTGAAGTCCTAACCCCCAGTACCTCAAAATGTGACCTTATATGGAAATAGTGTCATTACAGATAGAACTGATTAAGATGAGATCATGCTGGAGTAGGGTGGGCCTTTAATCCAATAAGACCAGTGCCTTTATAAGAAAAGGAGGTAGAGACACACAGAGGAAATATGGCCACATGAAGATGTAGGGAGAGGTCTGAGTTGTGCTTCCACAAGCAAGGAATGCCTGGGGATGCTGGAAGAGGCAAAGAAGGACCCCAACCCTAGAGTCTTCGGAGGGAACATGGCCCTCCCAACATCTTGATTTTGGACTTGTAGTCTTTACAATTGTGAGGAAATACATTTGTGTTGTTTTTTATCCACCTGGTTTGTGGCAATTTGTTATAGTAGCCCCAGGAAAGTAACATGGGGGTGAGGTAGGCTGATGTTAAACCAGGTTGGAGAGTAGAGCAGGCCAGGCCCCACAAGGTCTTGATGATCTTATTAAAGGTGATTCTCTTAAGAGCAATAGCCAGCCAGCAAACTTTTTTTTGTTTTTGTTTTTGAGATGGAGTTTTGCTCTTGTTGCCCCAGGATGGAATGCCATGGCGCCATCTTGGCTTACTGCAACCTCTGCCTTCCAGGTTCAAGCAATTATCCTGCCTCAGCCTCTGGAGCAGCTGGGATTACAGGCATCCACCACCACTTCCAGCTAATTTTTTGTATTATTTAGTAGAGATAGGGTTTCACCAGATTGGCCTGGCTGGTCTCAAACTCCTGACCTCAGGTGATCCGCCCACCTTGGCCTCCTAAAGTGCTGGGATTACAGGCATAAGCCACAGCACCCGGCCCAAAGAACACTTTTAAGCAATGAGGCAGTAGTGTCTAGGTAGCATGTGAGAGGATCAGATTCACCTTTAGAAAAGGTCACCTGGACTTCTTTAGTGAATGAATTGGAAGGAGGCAAGAATGATAGGCCACCAACATTCCAAATCATTGATGTCTCAAAATAGTCACCCAGCTTCCGGTTCCCAGCGTTGACTGCGACCGGGGTTCAGCACTCGGGTGAGGAATCTGTGGCATTGGCAGATTCAAGGTGATTTGAGCTTTAGCTAGGATGATGGAGGTTGTTTGCAACAACTGTCTGGGCTTCAGGTCCATGTTAAATGCAACATAGATGACGCCACTGGAGACCTTAAGAGACCGTAAGAAGCTGATTGCAGCCCAAGCTGTCACCCATTGTAAAAAGATTATCCTGAAGAAATGGTACATGATTTTTAGGGACCACACGATACTGGGGGACCATGAAATCCATGATGGGATGGACCTGGAGCTTTATTTTCAATAGATTAGAATCCTAATATTTCTGCTGCCCCACTGTCCTCTCTCATCCTCACATCCTCACCCCCAACACTGGTATAGATGCTTGTTTTTAAAAACTCACCCAAGACTTAAACGTGGCAAATATATATATATATATATATATATATATATATACACATACATATATATATGTATTTATATTTATAATTAAAAATTGAAAAAAACAAAGAACCAAAATAGCTACCCAATTAGATCACATTTTTCTTTCCAGCTACCATAGATTAAAGAAATCAAATTTTCTGTATTCATTAATACTGGACAGCTAAAACAAAGTTTCCCAAACTGTGTTCCAAGAAACCCAAGTTCTGAGAAGTCTGTTTTGGAAAACATTCCATGGTCAAGTAAATTTTGGAAGTTCTAAGTCCCTTGGGAGCTTTCTTCTTTCTTGGGGAGTCAAAACATGTTTTAACATGTTAAAATCTCTAGGAAGTCCTGCGATAAAGAAAGAGCATAGCTCCAATGCTCAAATGTGTTTGATTATGAAATATCCTTGGGCCAAACCCAAACCAAACATAGTTGGGATTACCTGTTAACATTCTAAAGAATTCACTTTTGAAAATTCAGGGCAGAGAGGTTTTTTAAAAATAATCTTTTCATATCCTCAACCCACTTTTGGAGCCAGGAAATTCTACCCAATATTTAGTTTAAAGTTTGCTCTGCAATTTTCCTCTTGCCTGTGTTCACGGCCCACTGAGGGATAACTGCTGACAATCTGTGAAGTGATGGTTATTTTGAAGCTCAAATCTCCCTTCCCCTTCTCTTCTCCCATCTGGGCATCATTTGAGAGATCTTCCCTGAAGCAATTCTGCAAGCAGGGTGTGGAGAAAATATTTATGAACCATTTTTAAAACACCACTTTAAAAAACATGGCATATTCAAATGTGATGTGAAACATATATCCCCAAACTTCAAAATGTTGGTCATTATCACCAATACAGAGAATGTTATACCTGGAAAGGAATCTAGGAGTCATTTGGTTTAAAATGCTCATTTTGCTCATAAATAAAACTAAGGTCCAGATAGCCAAAGAGAACGGGCCAAAACCACACAGCTGATCCTATCACACAGCTGGAAGGAGATCAGAGGTGTTCAATCCCAGGCCCACTTTCTTTTGAATATATATTCTGGGGTTTTTAAAAAACTTACTGAACTCCTGGCAGCATTTGAATCTAGATATTAATAGTTAATATAAAGATTATCAAAAAGGCATTCTAACTAATTCAAGAATCTCAACCAGTACATACCTCTTTTTGTGAGTGAAAGTAACCAATTCAGTAGAAAAAAAGGGGGGAAGGGTAAATTTGTAAATAGTAAAAATAGTAGCCTATAATTCAAGTTTTATGTTCTGGTTATCTCTGTTCCACATATATAATTTTCTTGAAATTATCAAAAAATAATTCCTCTTGACACTTTCATGTATTTATTGTAAATTCTTTATTTTTGGTGTAATTTTTTTTCTTTTAAATAACAAAACATTTTAAAATGTTTTAAACAGTAAGATTTTTTTAAATGACTCTGAAAAATATCTCCCTTGGCTTTTGTTTTTTATTCTATCTCCTTCCCTTCCATCAAGTATCTGTAAATATAAAGCAGGTAGAAAGATATCTCCCAATCAGTACCACACATTTAAGGCAGGAAAATCATGTTTTGCTGTCTCCACTCTTTATAGTGTTATCCTACTAGTGATCCTTATTAATGCATTTATGGAAGTAGATTTCAGCTTGCCTTGTCATTGCTGTCTGTCCCACAGAGACACATATTTTGCAGACATGATTCTGTACCTAAGCAGCAGCCTTTCAGACAATGTGATAGGTAAAGGCAGAAAGAAAGATGGCACCAGTACAGATGACTTTGCCCAGAATGACTTTGAGCTAGCAGAACTAAATATGATGCCTTTGCTGGTGAACACATCTTGCAGACACTTCAAGAAAGGTAATGTTCATGCAACATGGCCCCTTCCCTCAAGACATATTCTTTATCTTATAATCAACTGAAGAAAAAGTGATCTGTTACAATATTGAAGCATAAACAGGCTAAGGAGAATCTTGAGACAGTTGTTCAGTCCTTATTTCTCTTTTTTAGGGAAGTTTAAAGGATAATTTTGGCTCTATGCTATATTCTACTTAGTAGCTAATTTCAGAACCTAATCCATACAAAATACATTTCCAGGTGTAATTTCCAGATTAAACAGGAATGGCACTGCCTGGGTACATCTAGATTTACCTCTCCCCACGAAGCTCTTCTCTGCCCATTTTGCTTCTTTTGTTGAGACAGCCCATTGATATCATTACACTTGGGCTAAACTAAAAACACATCCAGCTCCCAGTATTCTCTCATCTCAGAAAAGAGATAAATCTTTTAGAATGCTTAGGGAGCTGGCTTCAAAATGCTGCCACTCCTTTCATGATAGTATCACAAAGAAGTTAGAGTCAATATCCTTTCTCTAATTCAGGAAACAGCTTGATGTAGGGAAAGATTGAGAAATTAAAAAGAGAAACACCAGTCTATATCATGATCTCACCATGTATTTGCAGAGAAACTTTGGATGAGTTTCTTTGTTTTCATGAGTTTCCGTTTCCTCACCTGTAAAATAGGATTGATAAAATGTACTGAAAATGTTGAGAAGAGCAAGTGAAGTTTTACAAAATATCCTTCATGGTTTCTGGCACATCAAAGCTCTCAGCCTATACACTTTACCTTCGCTTTTCTGGCTCCTTTTGAAATCAGCATTCAATCCATGGTAACTTCAGAAATCAAATGCCAGCTGTGTGTCTAAAAGAAAGTTCTTTGTGACGATTTAACCTAAAAGAATCTCTCAACCAGAATCTATTTAATATCTAGGGTTCAATGAAATGCCTTTAAAGCAAAGCGTTTGGGGGAAAATACAGAATAGAAAAGAAGTGCACTCCATAGAATGTCATAGTAGGGGCTATGTCCATGCATAAGGACATAAGATAAAATCAAAATATTCAGTCCAGCAAGTAGGTCACATCAATTCCACTGTTACCTACAGACAAGAAAGTCATGGGGATACTGGACAGACTTGACAGGCAATAAAATGTGATGGTTAACAGCAAGTCAAATACAATTATTTCCAGTTCTGGCTCTGAAATATACTAGCTGCACCATCTTAAGTAAGCCATTGTATTTGTGAGCTTCAATTTTCTCATCTGTGTAAGAAGGATAATAGTATCTAATTTATGGGGTTGGTGTTGTGAGTAATAAATATTCTAATTAATACATAGTGCTCTGCACAACATCAGGCAAGGAGCAAATGTTGAATAGATGGAATCAATTATCATTGTTCTTTTTTTTTTTTCTAAACACTTAAGGTCAAGTCTGAGTCACTTCTAATCAGAGTTTCTGCCCTCCGACACTCAAAAATGCCTAACAGGAACCCAATGATTAGGTACAGAAACAAACAAAAGAAGAAGAAAATCCTTATCTCTGATGAATCCTCCCCCTCCATTAAGCAGTCAGGAAATAATGCGCTGAGTACTGGTAGGGTGGGACAAATCCAAGGAAATATTTCCAGCTGTCAAGACATCCACAGTCTATGCCCTGTGGTCTTCACACATGAGATGTGAATTTTGTAAAGTATGCTTATTTCAGCTCAATTGCCGATTTTTCTTCTAGAGCAAAACTAAAGATACTTAGGCCTCTGACCAGTGGGGAAGCTTTTGTCTTCATCCTAACCAACTGGCTGGCCTGACAATAATAGCACTTTTCAATGTCATTCTTTTTGGATATCTAGAAAAGATAGGAATCCGGGATTTGTGTTCAGTGAAAAGTACTTAAAGTGAAATCTACCAGATGTACCAATAGTTTCCTGGGTAAAACATAAAGTACTTTTTTCTGAGGGTCCTCTAGTTTTTCTTTACTCCACTGGAACATCAACAAAAAGCTGTAAATCATCAAGATTGAACATCTCAGCTCTCAGTCTAGAGCAGCACAGGGGTTAGCAAATAAGATGAATGTGATATGGAATGAAACAAAAGGGAAGCATTTATAATATTACTGGTTTGTGTGAATATCAGTTGGGAAAGGAATATTTGAGGAAAAAAAATCTAATGAATGAGCTAAAAACCCCAAATGGTTAGCTGTTGCTGATCCTGGACTAGATGTTATAAAATCAATGATGAAAAATATTTTAATCTTTTTACATATTTTTAGCAGGTGTATATGGGTATGCATGTTATTTACATATGTGTGCATGTGTATTTATATACATATATACATATATACATAATACATATATATACATATATATACATATATACATATATACATATACATATATACATATATACATATACATATATACATATATACATATACATATATATACATATATACATATATACATATACATATATACATATATACATATATACATATACATATATATACATATATACATATATACACACATATATACATATATACATATATATACATATATACATATATATACATATATACATATATATACATATATACATATATATACATATATATACATATATACATATATATACATATATACATATATATATATGTATATATATAATTTGACACATTGGGGAGGCCAGTATAA
This sequence comes from Homo sapiens, assembly GCF_000001405.40. Lineage (NCBI taxonomy): Eukaryota > Metazoa > Chordata > Mammalia > Primates > Hominidae > Homo > Homo sapiens. The sequence continues at coordinate 63,198,585 of NC_000003.12, read as the reverse complement.
CATGTAATTGAAGTGTTGTGGAAATACAGAATTGATTAAATTAAAATTAGAATGCTTCTGGGTTTTGTACACAAATGTTTACTACAGCTTTATTTGTGATTGTCAAAAACTGGAAGCAATCCAAACATATTTCAGCTAGTGATAAAGAAAAGTGGGAAATCCATACAGTGAAATACTAGCCAGCAATAAAAAGAACAAATTAGTAATACCCACAACAACATGAATAAATCTTAAAAGCATTAGGCTGTGTGAAAAATGCCTTGAGTCAAAAGGCTGCACACTCTACGAATCCATTCATAGAACTTTCTGGAATAGGCAAAGCTGCAGGGATAGAAAATTGATTGGTGATTTCCAAGGATCAGGAGTGGGAGTAGGAGATTGTCCATAAAGGGGCATGAGAATTTGGGAGGAGGTGTTACATATAGAACACCATAGAACTGTATACTAAAATGAACTTCACTGTATATAAATTATATTTCAGTAAAAATAATGCCTCTGGGCTCAACACAATTCCTTGAAGGAATGCAGCTTTAAAGAGCTGAGGTCCCTATCTGAGGCAACCTCATTGGCTAAGTGAGGCCTTATTGAGTTGCTGGCCTACCAGGCCTTAATCGCCTCCATGTGGCCTCAGCATACAGCCATGAACATCATTGAAAGCTGCAGCAATACCCTCCTGAAACAGCAACTTTCTCTCACCTTCCACGTTGAGTTCCCCTCTTACCCACCCAGGCCCAAATGAGCACTTCTTGTCTCCATGTCACAGCTTCTTCCCAGCCTCAACAGGTGAGTGATGCAGTTCAGATGCTGCCCTGGTTTCTGGGCACTTTCCTCCTTGAGACTTCTCTTAGTCTTTGTATTTCAAAAGCACTGGCAGGAGAAACCAATGCTCCACAATTGCAAACATTTCTAGGACCCTGCCAGGCCTTAGACTCAGCAATTGTTGCCAAAGATCAGCTTCTTTGCCAGAATAAATCACAGGAAGAAAATAAGAGCAGAGTTAAGGATCAGGTTTACAAGAAAGATGAATTCCCAAGGCCACTCAATGAAAAATGTACTAACTAAGACTTAGTGTTAAGTAACAGACATCAGTTTGAGGTGGAGAGGTAATATTATATCTCAGCACCTTAGTCCATGCTTTTTATATATTCCATTCTCCTTCTAGAATTCCCAGGCAATCATCTTCTTTCTCCTACTCCATACAGAAGCAAAATCAAAGACTGAAAAATGCCCCTGGCCTAGCCATGAGGCAGAACTACCTGAAGGCATGTTTTCATCCTCAACAGTGGCTAGTCCAGATTGAGAGGTGCTGTAAATGGAAAAAATACAAACTGTATTTTGAAGACTTGGCACAAACAATGTAAAATATCTCAATTTTATATTGATTTTCATATTGAAATGCTAATCTTTTGGTTATATTGAGTTAAAATATTTTAAAAATTAATTTCACCTTTAAAAAATACTTTTTAATGTGGCCCTAAAAAATTTAAAATTGGCTGGGTGCGGTGGCTCATGCCTGTAATCCCAACACTTTGGGAGGCTGAGGCAGGTGGATCATCTGAGGTCGAGAGTTCAAGACCAGCCTGACCAACATGGAGAAACCCCGTCTCTACTAAAAATACAAAATTAGCCAGGCGTGGTGGTGCATGCCTGTAATCCCAGCTACTCAGGAAGGCTGAGGCAGGAGAATCACTTGAACCCGGGAGGCAGAGGTTGAGGTGAGTTGAGATTGTGCCTCTGTGCTCCAGCCTGGGCAACAAGAGAAAAACTTGGTCTCAAAAAAAAAAAAAAAAAAAAAAAAAAAAAAAAAAAATTAAAGCGTCCCAGTGCAGTGGTTCATGCCTGTAATCCCAGCACTTTGGGAGGCAGAAATTGGGGAGATTCATGAACTCAGGAGTTTGAGACCAGCCTGGGACAACATGGAGAAACTCATCTCTACAAAAAATAAAAAAATGAGCCGGGCTTGGTGGCAAACAGCTGTGATCTCAGCTACTTTGGGGGCTGAAGTGGGAGGATCACTTGAGCCTGGGAAATGGAAGTTGCAGTGAGCTGAGATTGTGCCAATGCACTCTAGCCTGGGTGACAGAGTGAAACCCTGTCTCAAAAGGATTAAAATAAATTTAAAATTACCTGTGTGACTCACGTTGTATTTATGTTGGGCACCACAACTCCATAACCTTGGCAAATTACCAAAGTTCAGTTTTCTTCATTAGTAAATGAAAGTTAAGAACTTAACATAGTGTCTGGATCATAGGGGAGTTTCAGAAATGGTTGAGATTAATATAATTAACACAAAACTATACATTTAAGTAATCATTTATATGCTGCTCAGGGCATTCAAAAAATTACAAATTATTAAATGCCCATCATATAGAGAAGTGAGTTTAGTTAGAGTAGAGCTAGATTATGTAGTCCAATTACCTGGTTTTATAATTCATTAAAAAGCTTATTCCTTCAAGAGGTCTTATGGGCAAGAGTGAGTTATCATCCAAAGAGCATAGTGGTCACAGTGGTTTACATGGATATATGGAATGACTTTATTTGAGGAAGAAAGTCAATACTCCAGAGTTTGGGCAAATTGGGTATTGAATGGGTATAGGAATGGTAGGGACCTGCAGCCCACTCCTCTGAACCATCCACATGTTACAAAATCCTGAAAGAGGAAAGCTACAGAAATCTATGTCCCAAGGAGACTGGTTCTAGATCATGGAGCTTGAAGTCCTCAAGAGCCTCATGCCAAAGCTTGGCATAAAAGGTGGAGCTCAAGAGGACACAACAAGGAGAGGTACACTGATGGAACCAGGCATGCTTCCCCTTTCTCCTGGACAAAATAAATCCAAACATTTTTGTATGATTTCAGGGTAGAAAAAGAAAGTCTCAGCTGGGTGTAGTGCTTCACACCTGTAATCCCAGCATTTTCAGAGGCCAAGGCAGGAGTGACACTTGAGGCTAGGAGTTCAAGACCTGCTTGGGCAACAAAGTGAGTCCTCTTCTCTACAAAACGCTAAAAAAAAAAAAAAAAAATTAGCTACGCATGGTGGCATGCGCCCATAGTCCCAGATACTCAGGAGGCTGAGGCAGGAGAATCACATGAGCCGAGGAGATGGAGGCTGCAGTGAGCTCTAATCACACCACCACATTCCAACCTGGGTAACAGAATGATACCCCGTTTAAAAAAAAAGGAGAAAAATAAAACTTCCCCAACTTATCACCTTCCCACCTACCCCCCACCTCCTCCAAGGAATGACATCAAAATACCCAAGACCAGATATTGTATCAACCCTGACAAGTGGCCGAATTGGGTTAGAAAAATAAAGGAATGTGATATTTCTTGCACCTTAGGTTTTGTACTATAATTCATGGTAAATTCCAACTTATAATTTGGTATACTCATGGGAAATTATTTTGGAATGATATACTTGTAAGTGTTTGGTGGTTGTCTCTTGCAATGGGATAGAAATTAGGAAGGGCTTCAATTAGTATTGTGTTACTTTTCCATAGGATTTGAGAAAAGTGCAAATATGCATTGCTTTTGTAATAATAATATCTTATCATTGGGGAAAAATGATAAACCCACAGAAATAGCTCTTTCTATTTAAGTTGTCAGTAATCCTTCAACAACCTCCCAGACTTGAATAAGAGCCCGTTTGTTATTCTCCTGATGGTTCTAGGACTATGTCTCCAGGTATACTGGAGCTACTGATGAGTCGGTAGCTGCTGCCTATGAAAATTGCCCCTGTCTCTGGCCCCCTCCTAAGTGGCCCCACCCATCAGAGCATTACCTTTTCAAGAGCTAGCCTGAAATGGAGCAGCGGGGCTCTCAGCTTCACAAGCTCTTCCTCAAAGCACAAAAGAAATATGCTTTCACAGGCAGTTGTTCAGGTAGCTCAGGTGTCAATTTTTGGGTCATCTGTCCAGAAAGTCTTTCCAGGAATTGTCTGAGGAGTAAGCTCCATGTTTCTGCTATATCACCCTGTACCTCTGGCCATATCTGCTCAGGACCTGACACCTAACTCAAGGCAAACTGATTTTGTCTACCAGGAATTTGTAATTGAAATGAAAAGAGTGGGCCCCAGTGGTCTCAGACCTGCAGACTTAGAATTGGAGGCACCGGAGAAAACTTGAAAGCAGAAAAAGAAGACAGCAGCCAGGCAGAGGAAAGCTGAGTGAGAAATAGCAGGGATTGGAATATTAGTCTTTATGGCAAATGGTGCCAAATTCCATTGTTTGCCCAAGGCCCACGGTCTTTGGGTTCTGTGAGGAACCCCTGTGCTTTGTAATAATTTCCTTTATTTTGCTCAAGTGAAGTCTAGTTGTTTTCAGTTGCTTATAATCAAAAGATCCTTAAAAATGTGGGTAAAATGTTCACCTACCCATGGTTTAAGTAATCAAGGAATTCTCACTTAGAAGGGTCTATAAATGGAAAAAATTGGTCTCAGCTTTCTCACATGTAATAATGGTATCCTAATACTCTTCTTCCCTGCCATATTATGAATTTATAGAAAAAAACCTAAGGCTATTAAGATATTTGCCAGAGACAATGAGCAGTATGATTGTTGTGGTGGTCTGACAACCCTGTGTAGACCATTTCGGTCACCCCCTGTCCTTAGGCTCCCTGGCCAGCCAGAGTTGATGCTACACTATCCCACCTTAATACATCTCCTACAAAGAATAACGGCATTAGACTTCCCAGACTAAAATAAAAATAAACTACACTGTTACTGTCAGGAAACAGAAGGGGGCACCCTAAGAATATTTAGTAGTTGCAAACGGCAGCTCTAAAGTCTTTAAATACAATGAATGCTTTCTCTCAAGCATAGAAAGCAAAGCATGGTCAATTTTACAGGTAAAATTTTTCTATGGAGCCACATGACTAAGGGATAAAGATTAAGAGTGCCTAAGTCAATCTCTGAGAAAAAGGTAAAAATTAAAATGAAGCTTCCTATCTCACGTGACAGATAGTATGATAATAGAAACAAAATATTCCTCCAAACATAACCTAATTTGATTGTCACAATGGTTTAGAGAAAAAGAGTGATCAGAAACTATTGCTTCTATTGACTGAATATGAAGAGAGCGTCAGAGAAGGAAATAATAAAACTAACTTTTATGGAGCAATTTCTATATGCCAAACACATGCTTTATGAACATGATTTTATGTTCTATAACAACCTAAAAAGTAGGTACTCAAAATTTTCCTCAAACCTCCAGTAACTAAGCAATTCTCTCTCCCAGTCATTTTTAACTAGCAGTTAATCCAGATGGTTTTCTTAGTATTAATAGACCTGAAATAAACAGGAAAGTCATTTAAGAAATCATTATTAAATTAAGCAGATGGAATAAAAAAGGAGGCAGGAAAGATGAAGGTAAAATAAGGAATAATATGGGGAAGGATAGAGGAAATGGAGGAAGGAGGGGTGATATGGTTTGGCTGTCTACCCACCCAAATCTCACCTTGAATTGTAATAATCACCACGTTTCAAGGGCAGGGCTAGGTGAAGATAACTGAATCATGGGGACGGTTTCCCCATACTGTTCTCATGGTAGTGAATAAGTCTCACAAGATCTGATGGTTTTATAAATAGTAGTTCCCCTGCACAAACCATTTTGCCTGCCTCCATGTAAGATGTCCCTTTGCTCTTCCTTAGTCTTCCGCCATGACTGTGAGGCCTCCCCAACCATGTGGAAATGTGAGTCCATTAAAGCTCTTTCCTTCATAAACTACCCAGTCTCAGGTATGTTTTTCTTAGCAGTGTGAGAGCAGACTAACGCAAGGGGGAAAGGGAGGAATGGAGAAGAATGAGGGGACAGAACAGAGCATCAAAGAAAAAGGGATCGGAAGCAGAGGAGTGGGATTGGAAAAAAAACAAAAAAACAAACAAACAAAAAAACTTCTCCTGAGCTGTCTTTAAAAAACCCTTCATGAATCTGAGTGACCAACCTTTTCTCTATTTTTATACACTCCAACAGTCCAAATATACATATTTCAGAAGCCGCAAAATGGCATCAGACAATGTCAACATAGGCTACAGTATCCACTTCTAGGAGTGAATGTTTAGGAGGGAAGCAAATGCTGCTGTGAGATAGGAGAACAATCGAAGGAGGGATATTGACTTAGCAAGCTCTGAAACCAGCCTTCACTGAAAGGTTTTACTGTCTACAGCTGTTCATTAGTTAATGAATATGAAATATTGACTCACGGGTGGCCCCACAGGTAGTTAGGAAAGCAATCTCTTTTCAAACCTGTCAATTGAACAGAGACAGATGGGAGGGTGGGTGGGTGGGGGAGGGAGATGGCCCTTTATCCCTTCCTTTACTTCCAACCACAGCCTTAGACTAAAGTAGATTTTTGGATATAGATTCTTCCCCCTACTAGGTGGGGCAGGTCCTGAAATAAAGACAAGGTGGATTGGGGGGTGAGGGCATCTGTTTCCCTGCTTTCTAAACACTTCAGAACAGGAATAAATTTAATCCCAAGGTTTGCTAACCATGGTAGATAAAATATTTTTTAAATGAACTCATGAATTTATTTTAAAGTATATTTGGAGAAAAATTAACTTGCTTATAAAGCCCTCAATTTTGCAAATACTAGAATGAAGCCAAAAGAGACATTTATATTTTTAAAAGTAAAATAGATACGTGAAAGTTAAAAGAAGGCAAAAGCATGCAGAAATAACTATAAATATTGAAGCTAGAGTATGAATGGCTGAAGTCTGAGAAACTATGATTTAGGATATAGCACAGTTAAGCCAAGTAATCATGCTTGATAAAAAATAATTGGTGAATGGATGAGTAAATTAATGGTTGGTTGAGTGAGTGTGTAGATAAATTAGGAGTGTTGAAGTAATGAGGGAATGGGTAGACAAATATATTGGCAGGTGTGTAGATGAATTGGAAGTGTTGAATAGATGGATGAGAATATGAATGGATGGTTGAATAAATGGATGGTTGGGCATTTAAATGGTGAAATGTGTCATAAATCAGGAGTGTCCATGTGAGATATACCCTTAAGTTAATTATTTGCTAGTGCAAACTGGGTGCCATTGGGTTGAAGGAAAATGGAAGTAGAAATGAGCCTGTCTGGTTCTCAACTAGTGCACCTCAATAGTAGGTACAGGGAAATCGCTTCACAGGTGAGCTGGCAACCTATGATTAACTGAAAAGTTTATTTTGCCAATGATCTTAGGATTTCAGCAAAATTGTTAAGAGTGCTGCTTCTGGAGTTATATTTTCCATGTTAAAGTTCCAATTCTTCTATTTACTTGCTGTTGACCTTGGGCAAGTTGCCTTGCCTACTCATCCTCAGTGCCCTCAGTTGTAGAATGAGACCAATCAGAACCTGCTCTGAAAGGTAATAGAAAGATATTTGCATATTTTAAGTTTCACTTGTCAGTTTGAATCTTTCAATTTCAGATTAGCATTATTATTCTGTTATTTTTACATTTTAATAATGAAGTTATTTTTAACTCTAATCACTTTTTAATGAACCATTCAATTGAATCATGAACTCCAAAGTGTAATGTTAAATTTTTTAAATAGTTGTCTGATAAAAAACTTATTTTGACTTACATACTTGTTTAAAAACTTTTTTTTTTAGGCAGGCTCTAAAAACAAAACAAAATAAAACAAAACAAAACAAAACAAAAAAAAAACATTTTTTTTTAGGCAGGCTCTAAAATTGTTACCAGTCACCCATCCTTGTACTCATGCCTTTGTATAATCCCTTTTCCTTGGATATAGGTTGGACTCAATGACTCAGATCTAATGAGATGTCGCTTCCATGATTAGATTATCAAAAGATTCTGGTTTGCTTCTTGCGCATGTGTTCGTTCTCTCTCTCTCTTTCTCTCTCTCTTTCTCTCTCCCTTTCTCTCTCCCTCCCTCCCTCCCTCCCTCTTTCTCCTTCTCTCTTTTTGGTTCTTAGAGTCCTTGCTCTTAGGAAAGTAAGTTGCCATGTCCTTGAGCAGCCCTGTGGAGAGGTTCACATGGCAAGAAACTGGTATCTCTGGCCAAGAGCCCATAGGACTGAAGACTATCAAAGTGAGTGAGACTGTGGAAATGGACCCTTCCGCAGTCAATAAACTGGGAAAAGTCAAACAACCAGAAAATAATTAAAACAACAGAAGTAAATCCTTGCCTATCAATAATGTCTGATGTAAACCATTTAAATTCTCCAAATAAAAGATATAGACTGACTGAATGGATTTTTTTAAGACCCAACTATATGTTGCCTGCAAGAAACCCACTTTGCCTATAAAGACACACCTAGACTAAAAGTGAAAGGATGCAAAATTATATTCCATGTAAACAGAAACCAAAAGCAAGCAGGAGTAGCTATATCAGACAAAATAGATTTTAAGTAAAAATAAAAAGGTAAAAGGAGACAAATAAGATTATTATATAATGATAAAGATATCAATTCAGCAAAAGGGTAGAACAATTGCTAATTCTGTGTACGCAATGGAACACCTATATATACAAAGCAAATATTATTAGAGCTAAAGAGATTGCAATACAGTAATTGTTGGGGACTTCAACACCCTACTCACAGCATTGGACAGATCATCTAGACAGAAAATAAACAAGAAGCATCAGACAAACCACACTATAGACCAAATGGACCTAACATTTACAGAACATTTCATCCAACAGCTACAGAATACACATTCTTCTCAGTGGCAGATGGAACATTCTCCAAGAGAGACCATGTGGTAGGCTACCAAATGAGTCTCCACAAATTTTTAAATATTGAAATCATATCAAATACCTCTCACACCAAAATAGATTAAAAGTAGAAGTCATTAACAAGAGGAGCTTTGAAAACTGAACAAATAACATGGAAATTAAACAACATGCTCCTGAACAATCAATGGTCAATGAAGAAATTAAGAAGGAAATGTTTAAAAATATATAGAAACAAATTTAAAAAACACAATATACCAAAATCTAAAAGCAGTGCTAATGGAAAATTTTATAGCAATAAACATATAAATCAAAAAAATAGATTTCAAACAAACAACCTAATGGTGCACCTCAAGGAAGTAGAAAAGGAAGAACTAGAAAAGGAAGAATAAAACATACCTGAAATTAGTAGAAGAAAAGCAGTAGTAAAGATCAGAGCAGAAGTAAATGAAATGGAGACAAACACACACAAACACACACACACACACACACACACAAAGATCAACAAAATGAAAGTTTTTTTTTAAAGAGAAACAAAACCAAGAAACTATTAGGTAGACTAAGAAAAAAAGTGAGAAGAACCAAATAAAATCAGAAACAAAAAAAAAAGGAGACATTACAACTGGTGCAACAAAAATACAAAGGATTTTTAGAGATTTCTATGAACAACAATATGCCAACAAATTGGGAAATATAAAGGAAATGAATAAATTCCTGGACACATATAACCAATCAAGACTGAACCAAGTAAAAATAGAAAACCTGAACAAACTAATAATGAGTAACAAGATTGAATCAATAATAAAAGTTTCCCAAAAAAGAAAATCCCAGGACAGGATGGCTGCTGAATTCATTTAAACTTTTAAAGAAGAACTTAAACCAATTATTCTCAAACTATTCTAAAAATATAAAATATAAGATCTTGTCCTTCTAGCCTTTCTTAAAAGAAAATAGAAGAGGAGGGAATTCTTCCTAACTCATTCTATGAGGCCAGCATTAGCATTATCCTGATTCCAAAACAAGGTAAAGACACAGAAAAAAAAAAAAAGAAAACTACAGGTCAATATCCCTTATGAATATAGATGCAAAAATTATTAATAAAATACTAGCAAACCAAATCTAACACATCAAAAAGATAACACCCCATACTCAAGTGGCATTTATCCCAGGGATGCAAGGATGGTTCATCATATGCTAGTCAAAAAACTTGATACATCATATCAACGGAATAAAAGGACAAAAACCAAATGATCATTTCAATAGATGCAGAGAAAGCATTTGATAAAATTCAACAGCACTTTGTGATAAAAAACTCTTAACAAAGTAGGTATACAAAGAACATTTTCAGCACATTGAAGGTCTAAAATGACAAGTCCACAGCCAACATCATAGTGAACAAGGAAAAGATAAAAGCTTTCCCTCTAAGATCCAGAACAAGACGCCCCATTCTTATTACATAGTACTTATACATAGTATTGGAAGTCTTAGCGAGAGCAATAAGGCAAGAGAACAAAATAAAAGGCATCCAAACTGAGAAAGAGGAAGTCAAATTATCCTTCTTTGCAGACAGTATGATCTTATATACAGAAAAACCTAAAGACTCAACCAAAAAAACTATCAGAACTGATAAATGCATTCAGTAAAGTTGCAAGACACAAAATCAACATACAAAATTAGTAGCATTTCTATATTCCAATAAAGAACTAGATGAAATAGATATTAAGAAAGCAATCCAATTTACAATAGCTACAGAAAAGTAAATACATAGGAATAAATTTAACCAATGAATGGAAAAACTTCCACAATGAAAACTACAAAAAACAGAGTAAAGAAATTGACTAAGACACAAAAAATGGAAAGACATCTCATTTTCATAGACTGGAAGAATTAATATTGTTAAAATGACTGTACTACCCATAGCAGTCTACAGACTCAGTGAAATCACTATCAAAATGCCAATTACATTCTTTACAGAAATAAAAATACAATTCTAAAATCTGTATGGAACTACAAAAGACCCTGAATAGCCAAAGCAATACTGAAAATAAAGAACAAAGCTGAAAGCATCACACTACCTGACTTCAAAATATACTACAAGAAATGATAATCAAAACAATGTGGTATTGGTATAAAAATAGACACATGTACCACTGAAACAGAATGGAGAATATATCAATAAATCCACTCATTTTTAGTCAATTGATTTTTGGAAAAGGTGCCAAGATTATACACTGGGGAAAGGATCACCCCTTCAGTAAATGGTTCTGGTAGAACTGGGTATCTATATGAAGAAGAATGGAACTAGACCCTTATATCTTGCTATAGACAAAAGTCTACTCATAATGGATTAAAGACTTAAATGTAACACACAAAACTATAAAATTACTGGTAGAAAACCTAGAGGAAATGTTTCAGGATATTGGTCTAGGCAGGATTTTATGGAAAAGACTTCAAAAGCACAGGCTACAAAAACAAAACTGGACAAATGGGACTACAACAAAGGAAAAAAGTTCTACTTAGCAAAGGAAACAATAAACAGTGTGAGGAGGTAACCTGTGGAAGAATGGGAGAAAATATTTGCAAACTATTCATTTGATGAAAGCACTAATATCCAGAATATATGCAAGGAACTCAACAGCAAAACAAATAAAACAAATAATTTGATTTTAAAATGGACAAATAACCTGAATAAATATTTCTCAAAAGAATACATACAAATGACCAACAAGCATGTGAAAAAAATGTTCAACATCACTAATCATCATGGAAATGCACATAAAAACCATCATTTGATATCATCTCACCCCCATTAGAATGGTTATTATCAAAAAGAAAGAAAAAACAATGCCGGTGGGAAAGTTGAATAAAGGAAACCCTTATACAACATTGGTGGGAATGTGAATTAGTATAACCACTATGGAAAATAGCATGGAGCTTCCTCAAAAAACTAAAAATAGAATTACCATATGATCCTGCAATCCCACGACTGAGTATTTATACAAAGGAAATGAATCAGTACATTGAAACAGTATTTGTACTCTCATGTTTATTGTAGCACCATTCACAATAGCCAAGATATGAAATCGACCTAAGTGTCTACCAATAGATGAATTAATCAAGAATATATGGTATATATACAGAATGGAATACTATTCAGCCATTAAAAAAGAATGAAATCCTGTCATTCACAACAACATAAATGAGCCTGGAGGACATTATGTTAAGTGACATAAGTCAGGCACAGAGACATAAAAATACCACATTGTCATTTATATGTGGTTGCCAAAAAGTTGAGTGGATAGGAGTAGAGAGTAGAATTATGTCTATTAGTAGCTAAGAAACGTAGTGGGGAGGGAGGATAGAGACAGGTTGGTTAATCGGTTCAAAATTATAGCTAGATACAAGGAATATGTCCTAGATTCTATAGCACTGTAGGGTGACTATAGTTAATAATTTATTTTATATTTTCTGCTAGAAGAAGATTTTGAATGTTTCTAACAGAAAGAAATGTTAAATATTTATGGTGATAATATGCTATTACCCTGATCTTTATACATTATATATGTATCAAAATATCACTCTTTATCTCATAAGTATGTATTAATTATTATGTGTCAACTAAAAGTAAATGAAAATAAAATGAAGATATCATCTTCATATTCAAGTTAAGATTTTTCTGGTTTTCTTAGAGTTCAGATTGTTTATGGTTGAAGGGCACCGGATGGGAGGCAATAAAGAATTGTAGAAATCATTGCAAAATCTCTAGCCCCAGAAGCTTTAGAAAGTGAGAGATGAGTCCAGGTGCGATGGCTCACACCTATAGTTCCAGCAATTTGGGAGGCCGAGGCGGGCGGATCACCTGAGGTCGGGAGTTTGATACCAGCCTGACCAACATGGAGAAACCCCGTCTCTACTAAAAGTATAAAAAGTTAGCCGGGTGTGGCGGCACATATCTAGCTACTGGGGAGTCTGAGGCAGAAGAATCGCCTGAACCCGGGAGGCAGAGGTTGTGGTGAGCCGAGATCTCGTCACTGCACTCCAGCCTGGGTAACAAGAGCAAAACTCCGTCTCAAAAAAAAAAAGAAAAGAAAAGAAAAAAGAAAGAAAGTGAGAGATGAAGTAAAACATTTGAGGTTCTTCTACCTGCTAGCAACACCCTTTGAAACATTCACATTTCAAAGGGGCAGTTACCTTGTTCTCCCTGTCATTGTTATTATTCACTTAGGAAATAGACCCATTACTGGCTCATGGGTGACTAAACACAAACTTTCAAAACCTTCTACTGAGAGTACAAGAGCCTAAGTTCTGAAATTATTTGGACAGCATTAATTGCCTTCTACTAAATTTCCATTTATTCTTCTACTAGAATACATTGTGTGTGTGTGTGTGTGTGTGTGTGTGTGTGTGTGAGTGAAGGTTCAGAAACTGTAAAAGAATGAAAGGAAATGTGCATGTATTCACACTTTTTAAATTTAAGTACCACACACCATAGTTAAAACGTATTTTCATGTAACATTCTGGGAAAAGTGCACCACTTATTTCACTTCATTTGCAGCTCTGAAAGGATAACATATAGTCACATTAAATTGCTTTAGAAAGATGGTTTAAAAATAAACTCAGTTTTTTAATATATACATATTTCCTTCTTTAGTTAAAAAAGTAACGTATACTACACACCTTTTTATTGTAGTTTAAGTTATGGGATGCAAGTGCAGAAAGTGCAAGTTTGTTACATAGATATACATGTGCCATGGCGGTTTGCTGCACCCATCAACCCGTCATCTACATTAGATATTTCTCCTAATCCTATCCTTCCCCTTGCCCGCCCGCTCCCAGACAGGCCCTGGTGTGTGATGTTCCCCTCCCTGTGCCCATATGTTCTCATTGTTCAACTTCCACTTATGAGTGAGAATATGCGGTATTTGGTTTTCTGTTCCTGTGTTAGTTTGCTGAGAATGATGGTTTCCAGCTTCATCCATGTCCCTGAAGAGGACATGAACTCATTCTTTCTTATGGCTGCATAGTATTCTGTGGTGTATATTTGCCACATTTTCTTTATCCAGTCTAACATTGATGGACATTTGGGTTGGTTCCAAATCTTTGCTAATGTGAATAGTGCTGCAATAAACATACGTGTGCATGGGTCTTTATAATAGAATGACTTATAATCCTTTGGGTATATACCCGGTAATGGGATTGCTGGGTTAAACGGTATTTCTGGTTCTAGTTCCTTGAGGAATCACCACACTGTCTTCCACAATAGTTGAACTAATTTACACTCCCACCAACAGTGTAAAAGCATTCCTATTTCTGCACATTCTCTCCAGCCTCTGTTGTTTCCTGACTTTTTAATGATCGCCATTCTAACTGGCATGAGATGGTATCTCATTGTGGTTTTGATTTGCATTTCTCTAATGACCAGTGATGATGAGCTTTTTTTCATGTGTTTGTTGTCCACATAAATGTCTTCTTTTGAGAAGTGTCTCTTCATATCCTTCGCCCACTTTTTGATGGAGTTGTTTGTTTTTTTTCTTGCAAATCCGTTTAACTTCCTTGTAGATTCTGGATATTAGCCCTTTGTTAGAGGGATAGATTGCAAAAATTTTCTCCCATTCTGTAGGTTGCCTGTTCACTCTGATGATAGTTTCTTTTGCTGTGCAGAAGCTCTTTAGTTTAATTAGATCACATTTGTCAATTTTGGTTTTTGTTGCTATTGCTTTTGGTGTTTTAGTCATGAAGTCTTTGCCCATGCCTATGTCCTGAATGGTATTGCCTAGGTTTTCTTCCAGTGTTTTTATGGTTTTAGGTCTTATGTTTAAATCTTTAATCCATCGTGAGTTAATTTTTGTATAAGGTGTAAGGAAGGGGCCCAGTTTCAGTTTTCTACATATGGCTAGCTAGTTTTCCTAACACCATTTATTAAATAGGGAATCCTTTTCCCATTGCTTGTTTTTGTCAGGTTTGTCAAAGATCAGATGGTTGTAGATGTGTGGTGTTATTTCTGAGGCCTCTGTCCTGTTCCACTGGTCTAATATCTGTTTTGGTACAGGTACCATGCTGTTTTGATTACTGTAGCCTTGTAGTATAGTTTGAAGTCAGGTAGTGTGATGCCTCCAGCTTTGTTGTTTTTGCTTAGGATTGTCTTGGCTATGTGGGCTCTGTGTTGGTTCCATGTGAAATTTAAAGTAGTTTTTTTCTAATAGGAAGAGAGGAAGTCAAATTATCTCTGTTTGCAGATGACATGATTGTATATTTAGAAAACCCCATCGTCTCAGCCCAAAAACTCCTTAAGCTGATAAACAACTTCAGCAAAGTCTCAGGATACAAAATCAATGTGCAAAAATCACAAGCATTCCTATACACCAGTAATAGACAGACAAACAGCCAAATCATAAGCAAACTCCCATTCACAATTGCTACAAAGAGAATAAAATGCCTAGGAATACAATTTACAAGGGATGTTAAGGACCTCTTCAAGGAGAACTACAAACCACTGCTCAAGGAAATAAGAGCGAACACAAACAAATGGAAAAACATTCCACGCTCTTGAATAGGAAGAATCAGTATCGTGAAAATGGCCATACTGCCCAAAGTAATTTACAGATTCAATGCTATTCACATCAAGCTACCATTGACTTTCTTCACAGATCTTCTTAATCTCAGAAACTTAACCAAGACTTTAGTCTTAAAAGTCTAGCCTTTTCATTTGTTTTAACTTCTAAAGTAAACATTACAAGAAAAAATTAATTTCAAGTTTTCATAGAGGTAGGAAAAAGCGGGGAGAATCTGTTTTCCTTCTTACTTAATCCTTCTTCCCTCAGGCATGATGCTGGAGCTAAATAGAGATGATATGTTTCAAATTGCCAATCACATTAGTCTCTGTGTGGGCTCCTTAAAACATGCAAATGGTTCTGAAAAAAAAATGTCTCTCATTCTACAAAGATAAATGAAGGTGCACATCACCATCAATTGCAATGGAAGTCAAAGGAAGACAGAAAGCATTGATAAACGAGGAAACTTTGCCTTTCCTCATAGACAAACATCCTGTAAGGAAACACAAGTATTGATGGATTACATTGGCCTCCTGACTGCATGCACCCTGTAGCCTTCACTGCAACCTATCCTCCCTAGCACTGCCAGACAAATATTCCTTCTAAACATTGTTCACTTCACTTCTAAGCTCAAACACCTTCAATGACTTTCTATTAAGTAAATGATAAAGCCCTCTCTCTTCACCTCAGAGTTCAAGGCACCAATCAAAGTTGCCAACCTTATTTCCCAGAACTTCTCAACCTGTTTCTTATATCCAGGCAATGTCAACTACAAGAGATTCTTATTACTGAGTATTTATTATCAAAAATTGTCGATAATAATGAGTCCTTTCTGATAACAATAAAAGTGATCATACTGCAAAAAGAAGTCGAAGCTATAACTGTCGATAAAGACTTACCAATGAAGAAAACATTTATAACTTAGGACCTCCTCTAACATCTCTGCACATTGAGTCAATCTCTTGGTTTCTCCATGATTGTTTCTCCATGATTATCAGTTCCTTCAGCTTTTCACAATACAGAGTCCGTACAATATGAACTGATTGCAAATGGAATTGTCAACATTGCCAAAGATGTGATATTTTATGAGGTTGATAAAAAGTGGTGTAGAAGAAGTTATTCTAGCTTTCAAAATATTTTTGTAAGTGTCATCACTTCATGGTGATCCATTAAAGTCAAGTAAGAAGTGAAAGAGGTCATCTCATGTTACTGCACAGTTGTATCAAAAGTATTTTACTCACATGGGTGCATGCACACACACAAACACACACACACACACACACCCCACCCTTGATTCATTGTTTAAGATTAGGTTGATGCAAAAGTAATTGCATTTTTACCATTACTTTTAATGGCAAAACACAGTTACTTTTGCCACAGCCTAATAACATATAGCGATGATTATAACTGACAAGTAGTAAAATATAATTTAAACTTATTTTTGTTTTTGTTTTATTTTGAGATAAATTTTCAATTAAATCTCATTTCATTACTTACTATGAAATTTTAGTCCCCATTTAAGTGAATTCTCTTTAATGAGATAGCACTTTTCTTTGGTCCTTGTTTATGTCTCAAAATATTCTGTAGTTTTCTGCTGATTTGCACATCATCCTGTTGTGATTCTCCTTATCCTACCAGGTGCAATTCAAATTCTACTTCTTCTAAATATTTTTCATCACCTTCTTTTATAAAAAGGGAATAATGTTTCTTTCCCCTCAAAATTTATATGTTAAAACCAAATCCAAAGATAATGGTATTTGGAAGTGTGGCCTTTAGGAGGTGATGGGGTCATGAGGGTGGAGCCCTCATGAATGGGATTAGTGCCTTTATAAAAGGGACCCCAGCGAGCTTCCTCACCACTTCTGCCATATGAAGATGCAGCAAAAAGGTGTTGTTTATGAACCAGGAAGCAAGCTCTCACCAGACACCAAATCTGCCAGTGCCTTAATCTTGGACTTCCCAGACTCCAGAAGTGTAAGAAATAAATTTCTGTTGTTTATAAGCCACCCAGTCTGTGGTATTCTGGTATAGCAGCCTGAATAGTCTAAGATAAACCTCTTCATGAACAACCTGTAAAAGTCAAGTATAAAGTGAAAGAGGTCATCTCATGTTACCATAAAATTGTATCAAAAGAGTTTCTCTCTCTGTCTCTCTCACATGCACACACACACACACCCCATCCTTGATTCACGTGTTTTAATATTTAGAATATACCTGTGATTATAATTGAAAAGTTGTAAAACATAAACTTTAAAAAAAGTTTTTGTTTTATTTATGAGATAAATTTCCAACCAGATTTTTCTGCATTACCTACTATGAAATTTTGGTCCTTGCTTTAAGTGGATTCCCTTTAATGAGATAGCAGTTTCCTTTGGTCCTTGTTTACATCTTAAAATATTCTGTACTACTCTATTCCTGCTGATTTGCATATCTTCTTTTGTGACTTTCCTTATCCTTCCAGGTGCAGCTCAAATACCACTTCCTGCGAAAATTATTCTCAACCTTCTCTAGTGAAAAGGAATATTTTTCCTCCAAAGATGTGGCAGATTTTGTTTGTAGCAACTATGAAACATTTCAGATAAGCAGCCTTGAGGAATAGCTGCTTGAGTACATAGGCTAGACAGGGAAGATTCTATATAGTTCTCATTCATTCATTCAGCTAATATTTGTTGAGATTTTTTAGGTATGAATTAATGTTCTGGGATCAGTAGGGAGACAATGTTGCCACTATAAACCATGTTTATATTGAATTCTATTTATTGAACAAAGAGCAAACAAGAAAATGAAGATTTACATTTCCTTTCTATGGACTCTCCAAAAGGGAAAGTAAAAATGACAAAGTTTTATGTTACTTAAATAAGGGGAGATGTATTACTTTCCATGTGGACCTCTGTGCAAAAGGAGTAAGTTTCACATGGGAGATGATGGCTGCCCCCTTGCAGGGGACTAGCACTCTGGATGGCTCTCTCTGCCTCCCTCTTGTCTTACTTCTGCTGTGCAATTGTTGATGATCCACTGCTCAACCTCTGTGGCTAAAAAAAGAACCAGGCAGCTGGTACTCTGATGAGGTGATGTCAAATGGAGCTACAGGCCCTGTCCCTGGTGAATCTCAGAATTTGTTTGGGTTAGTATCTATAAAATCGGAAATCTGTTCTCAGAGTCACATTGGCCAATAATTCACAAGCTGGTCCAAGCCTGTGTCCACACTTCTTCAAGGATAGAGAAGTTGGCTCTTAGCTGGAATCTCTGCAACACTGATTAGTGTTACATGTCAACCGTTGCAGAGAAGCCAGAGTTAAAAATACCATGGCCTTGCACAGTGGCTCATGCCTATCATCCCGGCACTTAGGGAGGCAGAGGAGGGAGGATAGTTTGAGCCTAGGAGTTCAAGACAGGTCTGGGCAACATAGTGAGATCCCGTTCTCCACAAAAAGGGAAAAAGAAGCCAAATCACCCCCACAAGTTTGAAAAATACCAAGAAACAGAGAGTTTGGTGGTCATCAACCAGACACTCAACGACAGTTGAGGCTAAGCATGTCACACAAATGCTTCAAGTGGCCTGGGGGTAGTAGTGAGGACTGTGATGGGATGGGATGGAGACTGCACACCTCCTTTAAAGGGATTTAAATTCAATTTTTTTGTAAATATTGTGTGTGCTTACCATAATACATTTTGGGCTTGATGTGGCATAGGAATGCCAGTTTGCAAGTCTTCATTTAGGGGAGCAATGAATCTCCACTTTACAACAATTTTCAGTTTATTTCATTAATTCATATTGCTATTGAGCCATCTTTCCAATATTTCTTTGTACTAACACGAGTGCAATTGTTCCTTATGACAAAGATCCAATTATTCTACTGAAGCAAAGGGCAAAGTGGATATGTTATCCTGGAGTTTGAAATGTTGAATTCCAAGCTTGTTTGTGCACTTGGGACCAGTTTGGGGACTATGAAATGACTCTTGTAAATCTAACATAATAGGGAATTTGTAAATCAATGTGGCTGTAAACCTAATGGCAGGCTAAGGCCTGAAACTTAGCTGGACTCCCCAGGACATGTCTTTAGCTACCTTTGGGGAGGGGACTATTAAGAGGATAAGCCTGGCTCATTTTCTAGCTCTTATCCATGATAAGGGTGGCTTCTAAAGTGGGAGGGCTTTGGTAAAACTGCACTCCTCTTTCCCAGGATATAAGTTGGCTGAAAATTTAAGCAGTTATTCACTGAAGGGCTCCAGATATTGTTTCAAAGCTCTACTGATAGGGCAGGATAATGGAATGAGAAAAGAAATACTCAATGCTATGACCTAATTACACCCCTTCCTTGTACTGCACAAGGGGTGAGTTCTCACTGTTAAATGTCTTTAATCAGGTTCCCAAACTTGGCTGCATATCGGAGTCATCTAGGGAACTTTAAAAAAATGCACCTGATGACTGGGTTTTAACTCCCAGAGACTATGATTTAATGGGCTTGATAGAGACACAGATCAGAATGTTTAAGATTATTTCTTTTTTTTAATATATATATTTTTATTATACTTTAAGTTCTAGGGTACATGTGTACAACGTGCAGGTTTGTTACTTATGTATACATGGGCCGTGTTGGTGTGCTGCAACCATTAACTTGTCATTTACATTAGGTGTATCTCCTAATGCTATCCCTCCCCACTCCCCCCACCCCACAACAGGCCCCGGTGTGTGATGTTCCCTTTCCTGTGTCCAAGTATTCTCATTGTTCAACGAAATACCACATGTTCTCACTCATAGGTGGGAATTGATCAGAATGTTTAAGATTATTTCAAGGTGCAGATAAGATTGAGAACAACTAGCCTAGATCTTTAGACGTGTGTGTATGATAGAATGGGGGTGGGGTGGGGGAGGTCTCTGTAAATGCTCAATCTATCCCGTAATTCATTTTTTCCCCTTATTTCCCAGTGTATTTTCTTTGACTCTTTTGCATTTTCTTTCTGGTTCATGTCCCCTCATCCTACATAGATAAATAAAATCTGGCTTCCTTTTTAGAGCTTTCTATTATATGTAGCAAACTCAGCAGCTTTAGGCATCCCTTGAGTGTTAAAGCTTTTGCCTCAGCATTAGACTGTGCAGTATTTTCTCCCTTGCCAGTAAATATTTGTCATAAATGTAATTGTAATGACTGTAATATGTGAGCATGTGTATACATTATCATTTATTAAAACAGTTCCTTACAGTTATACCTTTTTGGTTATTTTCCATTTTGTGATATTGTAAATGAAATAACTACATTTAAATATTAATATGTGTCCACTTCTCTGATTATTTCTTTAGAGGACCTACCTAGCAGTGAAAATTATTGGTGCAAAGATAAATATTTTTCAGGCCCTTGGCACATATGGCCAAGCCACTTTTCACAGCTGCTACACTGATTTATGAAACCAACTGGGATAATATAGTTAATTATCTCTAAGTTGCAGTGATGGGTGCATTTCAATTTTCTGGTATAATTTAAACAGACTTTGATTAAGGCCTGTGTTTTAGGCTGTAACTTTCAATAGCAAGTATCAAACATGCTGTAATAATAATAATTATTTATTGTATATTCCAACAAGAGCTGTATTTTTATTACATCACTCTACCCTTCAAGTCTGTAAATGCCTTAATTTATTTTCATCTTGTGTAATTTTCTTTACAACTATGGCAAGCTAGAATATACTTGTACGTTATAAACCAGGTCTGTGGACATACTGCAGAAGAATCATCTGAGCAAGACAGGTTTCTGGATTCCTTCCATAGGAGACTCGCATTTATTAGATTTGATCTAGAGGCTGAGAATCTGTATTTTAGCAGAGGTTGCCCAGATGAGTCCAGTCTGTGATCAGGCCTGGGTACCACTGTAATGTGTAATTGTGAGACTGTCTTTATGACTCTCACGTACACACCTATCAGCATCTTTCTTAAACTTTGCATCTCTGATTTGTAGCCAACAATTCAAGATTTGACCATAGAACTCCTAAAATGAAAATGAATTGCTGTAGCATCAAATGCTTATAAAACATAATTCATAATAATATTAAAATGTTCTTGCAGATAAAGTCATTATGGCAAGAAACTATTATCATTTGCTCATTCTGTTAATATATAGTAAATGTTAAGTGACATCACAAATATGTTAAAATGTAAAGCAACATAACATAATAGAGATCAGTAGGATGGGATACCAGTCTAGAGTGAGCTAGGAAGTATGTCTCAAGCATCAATTTACAGACTAATATCATGCATTGGTGAATTGGGTGCAGCCTCTCATTATTTTATTTTATTTTATTTTTGCTGTTCTTGGAAATAGCCTAACATTTTACATGTCAGTTTCCTCTATTTATTATGAAATATATATGCTTATATGTGTGCATGCATGCATATTAGAAAAACTTTGAAGGAAATAATTCTATAAGTTTATTTTTTAAATTTTATTTTAATTGTAAGTTGACAAATTATGGTTGTACATACCTGTAGAATGCAAATTAATGTTACTATTTATGAATACAACATGAAAAAGTTGAACCAAGATAATATATTCATCATCTCCAATATTTATTAATTTTATGGTTAGAATATATAAAATTTATTCTCCTACCAATTTTGAAATGAACAATGCATTATTCTTTACTATATTCACTACACTGTACAATATTGAAGAAAAAATTATTCTTCCTGTCTGAGATTTTGTACCCTTTGACCACCATCTTTTCACTTCTATTCTGTTCCATTGGTTGATGAGTCTATTTTCATGCTGGTGCCATGGTCTTTTAATTACTACTGCTTTGTAGTATAATTTGAAATGATGCAGTGTGATGCCTCCAGCTTTGTTATTTTTGCTCATAATTGCATTGACTATTTCAGGTCTTTGTGGTTCCATATGAAATTTGGAATTGTTTTTACTATTTCTGTCAAAAAATTAACTTTGATATTTTGATAGAAATTACATTGAACCTGTAGTTAGCTTTATATAGTACGGAAATTTTAAAATATTACTTTTTCTAACCCAAGAACACAAGATAATCTTTCTACTTAATTGTATTTTCTTCAGATCTTTCATTAACATTTATAGTTTTCAGGGTATAGGTCTTTCACTTCCTTATTTAAATTTATTCCTAAATAATTTATTTTTCTAGCTATTGTAAATGGGATTGTTCTTTTGATTTCTTTTTCAGATAGTTCATTGATGGTGTATAGAAACTACTGATTTTTGTGTGTTTTTTTTTTAATCTTACAACTTTACTGTATTCATTTCTTAATTCTAGCAGTTTCTTGGTAGAACATTAAGGGTTTTTAATGTATAAGATTATATTGTCGCAAAGAGTGACAGTTTCACTTCTTTATTTATCTGTTTGCGTGCATTTTACTTTTTTTTCTTTTGCCCAGTTAGTCTGGCAAAGCCTTCCAATACAATGTTGAATAGAAGTGGTGCAAGTGAGTGTCCTTGTCTTGTTATGGATTATGGAAGAAAGGATTTCAATTTTTCACCATTAAGTATAATGTTAGCATTGAGCTTATTATATATGACCTTTATTGTGTTGATGTACACTTCTTCTATACCTGATTTGTTGAGTGCTTTTCTCATGAAAAGATGGTGAATTTTACCAAATGCTTTCTCTGCATCTAATGAGATGACAACATGTTTTTGTTTTTCATTTTGTTAGTGTGATGTACCACATTTCTTGATTTGTGTATGTTGAACCATCCTTGCCTTTCAGGGATAAATCCCACATAATCATGGTGAATGATCCTTTTAATGTGTTGTTGAATTCTGTTTCCTAGTATTTTGCTTAGGATTTTAGCATCTGTATTCATAAGGGATACTGAGCAGTAGTTTTCTTTCTTGTTATGTCCTTGTTTGGCTTTGATATCAGGATAATGCTGGTCTTAGAGTTTAGAAGTGTTCTCTCCTCCTCGATATTGTGGAAAAGTCTGTGAAGGATTGGTATTAGTTCTTTCAATGTTTGGTAGAATTCAGCCATGAAGTCATTAAGTCCTGTGCTTTTCTTTGATGAAAGTGTTTTTATTACTGATTCAATCTCATTACCCGTTGTTGGTCTGTTCAGATTTTCTATTTCTTCATGATTCAGTCTTGGTAGGTTGTGTGTATCTAGGAATTTATCCGTATTTTCTAGGTTATCCAATGTCTTGGTATATAATTGTTTATAATAGTCTCTAATGATTCTTTGTACTTCTGTGGTATCAGTTTTAATGTATTCACTTTCATTTCTGATTTTTTTTTTTTATATGGAGGCTTATTCTGTCACTCAGCCTGGAGTGCAGTGATGTGATCTCGGCTTACTGTAACCTCCGCCTTCCAGGCTCAAGTGATTCTCCTACCTCACAAGCCTCCTGAATAGCTGGGACCACAGATGTGCACCACCAAGCTCTGGCTAATTTTTTGTATTTTTTGGTAGAGCATTTCTGATTTTATATATTTGAATCATTTCTCATTTTTTCTCAGTCTAGCTAGAAGTTTGTCAATTTTGTTTATCTTTTCAGAAAAAATTTAAATTTAAATTTATTGATGTTTTGTATTGTTTCTCTAATCTCTATTTCATTTATTTCTGCTCTGAACTTGTTTATCTTTTTTCTGCCTCTGACATTGAGCTTACTTTGTTCCTCTTTTTCTATTTTAGTGAGATATAATATTATTTGAGATTTTTTTTTGCATATACTTTGTTTCTGTCTTCCTCTCTTGCTGTCTTCCAAAGTGGTTTGAGGGCTTTCTGTTATATGCTTTGAATTGTTCCTATTTTCATTTCATGCATCTATTATGCATTTTTGCTTTGTGGTTACTGTGAGGCTTACATAAAACATCCTATACTGATACTACTTAATATCAACCAGATAACAACTTAGCTTCAATTGCATATAACTCTATACTTTTATTCCCTTCCTCCATGTTATGTTTTGGATATCAGAATTTACACCATTTTATAATATGTATCCCTTGACAATTTATTTTAGCTATAGCCGTTGTTAGTAGTTCTGTCTTTTAACCTTTGTACTAGGGATAACATTGCTTCATACAATGCTATTATGAATTTCCTGCCTTCATCACTTTTATTTTATTAAATAACAGCCTTTTATTTCAGCTTATAGGACTCCTTTTAGCAATTTCTGCAAGGCAGTCCTAGTAGTGACAAACTCCTTTGGCTTTTGTTTATCTGGGAAAGTTTTTATTTTTCCCTCATTTCAGAAAGACTAATTGGCTGGGTAGAGTATTCTTAGTTGGTAGGTGTATTTTTTCTTTCAGCACTCTGAATATTGCATTCCATTCCCTCCTGGCTTTAAGACTTCTACTGAGAAATCCACTGATAATTATATTGGAATCCTTTTGTATGTGATGTGTTTCTTACATTTTGCTGCTCTAATAATTTTTTCTTTGTCTTTATTTTTAACAGTTTGATCATTATGTGTCTTTGTGAACATTTTGGGTTGAGTGTGATTGGAGACTTTCAAACTTCCTGTGGCTGGATGTTGGCATCTTTCTCCAGATTAGGGAAGTTTTGAGCTATTATTTTTTAAAATATTCTTTCTGGCCCTTTATCTCTTCTCCTTCTTTAATTCCCAGTATGTGTAGATTAAATCTCTTGATAGTGTTCCATAATTCCCATAGGCTTTATTATTTTTCTTTTTTCTGTATTTAAAAAAATTGATATAGCTGTACATAATTTGGGGATACATAGATATTTGATACATGTATACAATGTGTAATGATCAAATAATTTATCTTTTCATTGTGTTGGAAAATTACAATTGTTCTCTTCAACCTATTTTGAAATATACAATAAATTATTTTTAACTATCATTGCTTTTTCATTCTTTTTTCTTTTTGTTCCTCTGTTAATGTAATTTCAAATGTTCTGTCTTCAAGCTCACTGATATTTTTCTTCAGCTTGATCATGCCTGCTTTTGAAGTTTTCTATTGCATTTTTAGTTTAGTCATTGTATTCTTTTTTTTTTTTTGACAGAGTTTCACTCTTGTTGCCCAGGCTGGAGTGCAATGGTGCAATCTTGGCTCATTGCAACCTCTGTCTCCCAGATTCAAGTGCTTCTCCTGCCTCAGCCTCCCAAGTAGCCGGGATTACAGACATGTGCAACCATGCCTGGCTAATTTTTGTATTATTAGTAGAGATGGGGTTTCACCATGTTGGCCAGGCTGGTCTCAAACTCCTGACCTCAGGTGATCCGCCCACCTCGGCCTTCCAAAGTGTTGGGACTACAGGCGTGAGCCACCGCGCCCAGCGTAGTCATTATATTCTTAATCTCTAGGATTTCTTTTCATTTTTTTCTTTTTTAAGATGGAGTCTCACTCTGTCTCCAGACTTGAGTGCAGTGGCTTGATCTTGGCTCACTGCAACCTCCATCTCCCGGGTTCAAGTGATCCTCTTGCCTCAGCCTCCCGAGGATTTCTTTTTTAAAATTGTATCTACTTCTTTGTCAAACTCTTAGTTGTGTTCATGTTTTGTTCAAAATTTCATTTTATTTTTTGTCCATATATTCTGTAGTTCAGTGAACATCTTTCAGAAGGTTATTCTGAATTCTTCACCTGTCATTTCCTAGGTCCTATTGTTGGAGCTTTGTTAGTTTCTTTTGAAGGTGTAATGGTTTCCTGAATCTTTGCAATTCTTGCATCTTTGCATTGGTATCTGTGCATTAAAGGAAACAGCCACCTTTCCCAGCTTTTATAGATGTGCTCTGGCAGGGATACACTTGCATTATTTAGTCTAGTCTATGATTCAAAGTGGGCCAGTTGGTGACAGTCCTGAGGAGCTAGAACTTGCTTTCAGGTTCTCTAGATGCCTGGACTGCTGCCTTTGCTCTGAGTTCATATGGAGAAGCTACCTAGGCTCTGCTATCCAGCGAGACAACTGGCTGAATTCTGCAATCAGTCTGAGCTTCTGGGTAGGCACTGCAATTACCTCAGATTGGACCAAACCACAGGAAGATCATTCCTTGGCCAGGTAGTATTACTATGTGAGTTCAGCAGTTGATCTGGGTTGTAGGAGGGTGTCTGAAATTAGGTGGAGATGTTGATTGGGGTGAACAGAACCAGCTGCTTTGCACAGTGGAAATGCACAGTTCAGCTGTGTCTCCTTGCTTATGAGAGGATTTGGGGTGGACTTTGAGTCCAGGCTGAGCACTGCTTTAACTCCTAGGTGTGGCACAATTAGCCACTGCCCTTTGCTGAATCTTTCTAATACTGTGATCTTTCAGCAGAACATCCAGCAACAGTACAGAGAGCACTAGTTCTGAGAAACACAACTGGGAAATGCTGACTGTCTTAATTAGGATATATACTATTACAAATGGAAATATATTCAAGCTAACTAATGCAAGAAAGAAGTTTAAGGGAAAAATACACGAATATCTCCCATGAATCAAGAACAGAAATCACAGCCAGACTTTAGCAGGCCTGACAGTCAGGCCACCTCCATGTATGATAATCTCTAGTCTGCCTTCTTTGACATCCAGCAATTAACTCATTTTGTATCTCCCTTAACATGTTACCTCCCAGGACAGTCCCTGCTGTGCATCATGACTAGCACATAGTAGGCCCTTTCTCATTGTCTGTCATTGAGACCGTGAATGCATCTGTCTAAAGACCTGAAGTTGAATGTGTCAAGCTGCCTAAGGTTTCAGAACTGCAATCTATTTCATAAGTGAGACAAGCAAGTGGACTCCAAGACTCTAAGTGAAATGAAGTCTGATGCATTGGCCTAATAAATGGGAACAGCATTTGGAAGATTATTAAAACCCATAAGAGTCAGATAATTAAAGCGGCAAACAAAGATTTTATATGATTTTTGAATTCAGACACACACACAATGCCTCATGGCAGTGCGCCCTGTTTTTCTTTTAGACCTAATTGTTTGGATACAATTGGGAAAAAAAGAAAACAACTTCTGTTAATAGAAGTACTTACTAATAAATAATTCAGCCATGATCAAACAGTTCTTTACAACTTTGAGGTTTTTATTCCTAAAAGGACATGGCATAATTTTTTCTGTGATAATCAATGATTATTATAAAAAGTGTCAATAACCTAGTGAAAATCTCTCACATTCCAAATCGACCACTCTCAGAAATAACTACTATTAATAGTTTGACATATGTATCAAATACTTTCAATATATTCTGTGTTTTTCACTTGACATATTATTGACACCATTCATATCAATACACAGATATGGCTTGGGCACTTTCCATCATATGGATGAATAATAATTTGTTTGACTACCAGCCTTTTCATAGGCATTGATTTTCCTTTTAACTTTTTGCTGTTATAAATATCTGTGCCGTCAATTCCAAAGCATAATACTTATTATTTTCTTGGATAATTCCCAAAAGTGGAATTTCAGGGTTGCTCTCCAATTAGTTTGTTCCAGCATCCATGTGGTGTGCAGAATTATGTGCAAAGATGTTCACGTCCTAATTCCTAGAACTTTAGAAAATAATAGGTTACATGGCAAAGAGAAATTAAAGTTGCTAAATCAGATAAATAAAAAAGAGTGAGAATATCTTGGATTATATGGGTGGGCCCAGTGCAATCTCATGGGTTTTAAAAGTAGACTAGAGAGGAAAAAGAGAATCAGTGGAAGACATAACTACAGAAGAAAGGCACAGAGATATGTGAGATTGTTGGCTTAAAGATGCCAGAAAGGGCCGTGAACCAACAAAGGTGGGCAGCCTGTAGAACTGGGAAGGGCAAAGAAATGAATTCTCCCTAGAGCTTCCAGAAAGGAACACAGTCTTGCCAACATCTTGACTTTAGCCTAGTGAGATCTGTGTCAGACTTCCAAATTACAGAACTGTAAAATGATAAATTTGTGTTGTTTTAAGCCACTGAGTTTGTGGTAATTTATTGTGGTGACAATGGAAAGCTAATACAGTTTACTCTCAGATTAATATAGTGAGAGTCAGCATCAGTTCTCTATTTGTTTAAGCTACTGTTAGCTATTTGTTCTATAATTTGCAGCCAAAGCAGTTCTAATAGAATCTCCCTTTAGTCCTTACTCATGTCCTATCCACTTTCTCTCCTCTATTCTAATCCTATCCATCCTAGTTGAAATCCTTCATGAGGCTTCCTTCACTGTTGCAGCTAGCCCCTCCAGCATGCATCCAATCAAATCGGTTGCTACTTTTATGTTGTATATTCCTCTGACTGTTTAATGTTTGTCAGCCCTGGCTGCTCACTAGAATGACATTGTCCAGTAGAACTCTCTGTAGTGAAGAGAATTTCTTTTCTTTTTTTTTTAATCTTCTAAAGGCTTTGTTATTTTGCCTCTAATACTCAGACTCATAATCCTAGACTTTTTTTTTTTTTAATGGAATGAGGTAAATGTCTATATTACTTTTTATCGTAAGGATAACCAGTTGTCCCAGTACCTTTTATTTTTTATTTTTATTTTATTTTATTTTTTATATTATTATACTTTAAGTTCTAGGGTACATGTGCACAACATGCAGGTTTGTTACATATGCACACATGTGCCATGTTGGTGTGCTGCATCCATTAACTAGTGAAGAGAATTTCTATATCTGTTCCCAACATGGTCATCACTAGCCACATGTAGCCACTGAGCCCTTGAAATGTGGCTTGTGTAACTAAGGAACTGCAATTTTAATTCTATTTAATTTCATTTTAAATAACCACATTTGGCAAGTGGCTAAAATGTTGGTAAACACAGCACTAGAATTTTAGTCTTTTTTTTGTTTTGTTTTGTTTTGAGACGGAGTCTCGCTCTGTTGCCAGGCTGGAGTGCAATGGCGCGATCTCGGCTCACTGCAACCTCCACCTCCTGGGTTCAAGCGATTCTCCTGCCTCAGCCCCTGGGGTAGCTGGGACTACAGATGCACGCTGCCACACTCAGCTAATTTTTGTATTTTTAATAGAGATGGGGATTCACCATGTTGGCCAGGATGGTCTTGATCTCCTGACCTTGGCTTCCCAAAGTGCTGGGATATACAGGTGTGAGCCACCCCTCCAAGGCCCGAATTTTAGTTTATTAAAGAAAACAGTAATGAGTAAAGTTCTTTGCCTCTAGTAGAGGGGTAGGTAGTAACTACATAATAATTCATTCTTAGATGGCCTTTAATGACTCCATATTGCCCACAGCAGTCACTGGCAATTCATACACCTACAGGAAATGGACAGGTAATATAAATGAGGGAAGTTTCCTGAGCACAACAATAGGGAAGGGTGGGAACTGCAGTAAGCTATCTAAAGGGGCAGTGGCTTTTCAGCCCCAGATGATGTTGCCATATTGAAGAGAGGATCAATATGGCCAAATAGTTCCATTTTTTAAAGAAATGCCAGAAATTGGGTATTTAGATAAAAACATCATATTTTAAAATGTTGATAATTCAAAATTTTTTATAAAAGAACTCTGGATAGTACAAACAAAAGATATATGTTGGCCAGATGTGATCAAAGGCTCACCAATTTGAGGCCTGTGACCCACAAGATAAATTTCAGATTTTTTTCCAATCTAGCCCCAGGAGGTCTGCAGATAGCCCAGGCTGGCCTCCTGCAGTTCCTCTCTAGTGTACTCTGCTCTAGCAACCTGGGACCGCGTGCAGTTCTCCAAACACATCCTGCACTCTTTTGCCTTTATGCCTTTGCTTCTACCATTCTTGCTGCCTCTACACCTTCACCCTACACAAACCTTGACCCTCTTGTCTTCATAGGAAAATCCTAATTATTTTTCAGTGCTCAGCTCAGATGTCCTTTCTTCTATAATGTCTTCTCTGAATCTCTACAAAATCAAAAGACTAACATTTTGCACAGAAGACTATTTCTCATGTGGTATTAGAATAAGTTGCTTTCCAACTAGCTTCATTAATAATTACTGCTGGTTTCTGAGCACTCAGCTAAATGACTTGTGTAACTAACTGTGCTTAGAGACTTATTTAACCTACTACCTGTTCACCCCAGGGATAGGCAAATAAACCCTGGCTGCTACTTCCTTCTCTGCATAGGATGAGTAATGACAATAACCACCTTCTGGCATGGTGAAGAGTAAAAGAGATATAACATGTAAAGTGCTTAGTACAGTGTTTGGAGCACAGTAAATGCTCAGTGTGTGTTTGCCCTTATAGTCACTTCTCACCCTTGGAAATGCCATGGAGAGAGGCCCATATGCCAGGCAATATAATCACAAATCAATGTCTGCTTTTAGGAGAGTTTGCCCTGGAGAATTTTAGGTGGTGGGGTGGGGATGGGGTTCATATTTGATACTACACAGTTGGGTTTTGCCGTTGCTGTTTTCTGTTTTTGCATTATGCAAACTCACAAGGTATGTCCCTAAGCTCAGCAGGCACATGCACCTTTTATTCCTCAATATCAGATGGTTGGGCAGATGATGACTTTTCTCTCCTAGTTGCTCCTTAGTACTTCCCAAAATGAATCTTGCATATGCCATATAGCTTACATTTTAAATCAGACCATCTAACTAACAGACCATCCAAATTGTGTGGAAAATCCATGCAACTGTTACAACTTGAAATAGCAAGGAGACAAAGCATTTTGTTTATATAGGATTTTTCTTTACAACAATGCTGTGACTTAGCATTATGAATTTTATAATACATATTTTAAAAACTGAAACAGGCTGAGGAGTCAGCCCAAAGTCACATGAGTGTTAGAGCAAAGATTGACACTCTGATCTGTTTAAAGTTGAAGCTCAATGATGCCAAAGCACAGCCCAGCCCAGAAGAGGGGCCGACCCCGAGTCTCCAGGTGGGGAAAGTAACTGAAGCCAGGACTGGCTATGTGATGTGCAAGGGTTACACTGCCAGTGCAGGGACCCAAGTCGAAGTCTCTTGACTCCAGGGGCTTCTTCTGTTCTAGGTGACTGCCTCTCCCTGCACGAAGAAACAGTTTGCATCCAAGACACACTAAAGAAGGGATGAAGCAGACCAGTGCTAGTGGCAGCTCATGAAAGGGTCTTTGAGGCAGCCTGGGCATTTCCTCAAGACACAGTCATTGGGGATCACAGCTGGAGCAGACCCAAGGAGCATCTGCACAACACTCAGACCACAGGGGAGGATCGCTGGAGGGCACAGCTTCCCGTCATGACAACCAGGCCAGACTAGCCTTTTTCAAAGACGACCAGCAAGGCTCTCAGGAATCTCAACCCAACTCTTCTGTGTTTCTTCACAGGCCTTTGAAAACCTAGACTATCCAGAAAGATACATTTCATCTACAAAATAGCAGGCCCTGTGCCTCCCTGAGGAATACCTGCATTTCTTGGAAGAATAGTTTTTGCCATACTGTGAGGCCCATGGCTTTTGAGAATTCCTTAGAGTGGTAGAAAGTCATAATTAATCCTTCTTTTTTTTGTTTCATTTCTCTGGGGAAAAATGGATTTAAATAAACTCATAATGTGATAACACAAAACATATGTTGATGTGTACATTCTGAAATGTAATGTTCCTACTGCAATACCTCCATATCTTAGAAAAATAGTCGCAGTTTTCTGACTAAAAATGTCTTACCGACACAGTCGCTGGAAAACACTGAGGATGTACACACCAGCACAGAGGAAGATGTAAGTCAGCTACCATCCCAGCACTCAGAGCCAGCCAGGCTTAATTTCTTGGTGCTTACATGTCCTGTTTGTTTTTAAAAATACATATAATACTATTTTCTTAGTTGATTTTTTTTCCTTTAAATATTCTGAATACCTTGTGATAGAGCTGTCCTGTATTTTGACTGTGATGGTGGCCACACAAATCTACACATGTGACAAAGTTGGTCAGAACTCAACACACACACACACACACACACACACACACACACACAAGTGAGTGCATGTAACAATGGTGAAACTTGAATAAGGTTGGTAGACTGTATCAGTGTAAATTTCTGTAATATTGTACTATAGCTATGCAAGATGTTACCATTAGGGAAAACCGGAAAAAGAGTACACAGGACCCCTCTATATTGTTTCTTACAACTACACGTGAATCTAAATTATCTCAAAATTAAAAGTTTAAAAATAACTTGAAACATATGATGACGTCCTTCCTTATCAACATTGCTATACAATATCATTTTCAATAGCTATTTAATTTTAAACTCCATGGATATATCCTGATTGAGTTAACCGATTCTCTAATAAATTCTGGTCTTAGGGACCAGAAAAGCTACTCATTGCAGACATTAACCTAAGTTATGAATTTATCAAATCAGAAAAGATCTTATTAATCATCTAATTCTAACAGATCATTTTATAGAAGGGAAAATTAAGGCCCAGATAGGCAAAGTATTTTGTTCAAGATCAGAGAGGCAGTAAATGAGAAAGTGTAGCCTAGATCCTGGGCCTCCAGACACTCAAGCCTTAGTGTACCACCTGTGAAGAAGACAAAAACTTAGTTTAATGGATGACAGACTAATATGCAGCCACCAGATATAGTTAAGTTATGTAGCTTAAATATGAACTGACATAGCAAAATGATCTGAGTAATTCCAGAGTTGCACTCAAAGACAGTTAATGCAAATGGGTGAAGCGGCATGAATGGATTACAGTACAGTGGGATGAGAAGTATGAAAAACTCAAGTGACAGCAGTTACTTACTTCCAGTTAATCGTTGCTACCTCAGAATGCCAGCTGTGTTGCCACAAGGAAATTTGGATCTTTATGTAATAATATTGTAATTTATAAAATATTCGCACCAAATTCTTTAAAATGAACCAAAAAAATCCCAAAGAACTATATAAGCCAAGCACATATTTGTGGGGGTGAATCAATTTGTAAGCTCTATGTGTAAACAGTTTGTAACTGCTCAGGTATAATTCAATTTGTATTATTAAAAAAATATATACAGTTGACCCTTGAACAACATACAAGTTAGGGGTGCTGACCCATCACACAGTTGAAAATCCATGTATAATTTTTGACTCCCCCAAATCTTAATTATTACCTTCTGTTGACTGGAAGCCTTACCAATAACATAAATAGCCAGTTAACACGTATTTTGTTTGTTATATGGATTATATACTGTATTCTTATAATAAGCTAGATAAAAGAAAATATTATTAAGAAAATCATAAGAAAGAGAAAATATATGTACTATTCATAAAGTGGAAGTGGATAATCATAAAAGTCTTCATCCTTGTCTTCACATTGAGTAGGCTGAGGAGGAGGAGGAAGAGGAAGGGTCAGTCTTTCTGTCTTGGGTACAGAGGCAGAAGAGATGGACTAGGTGGCAGAAGAGGCAGGAGACGCAGGCACACTTAGTTTAATTTTTATTGACAAAAAATCTGCATGTAACTGGGCCCACACAGTTCAAACCCATGTTGTACAAATGTTAACTGTACATAAGAAAGTAAATCTGGGTGAATAAACAGATAGCATCCATTGCCACTGAAACATGGGTGTTTTGAACGCTTGCCTTTCTCCTTCTTCATCATCTTCTTTTTAATTTATTTTTTCTTTTTGGCTGCCCAGCACCTATGATCCATTATTGTGATTGGGAAAAATCATCCTCCTTCCCCATGGCAGAGTCTTTACCAAAGGTATCTGAAAATGCCAGTTACTGGCTTTCCTAGCCTTCCTTGGAGCTGGGACATAAGCACATGACTTAGATCCCACCAGTCAGATGTGATACCCCAGACTCAGAATCTTGGTACTATGTGGAAGAACTGCTCTGACACCTTCCCAGGAAGGTATTGTAGTTGTGGTAGCCATTACCATTTGCTGGAGGCCTCAGTGACAAAGGTAGAGGCAGTGTCCAATGGTACAAGTTCTGGGGTGTCCATGAGACGAGGATGTGTTTGCGGCTAGTAGGGGCAACTGCAACACCTTGTGGGATCAATTCCTATTTCGATTCCCGATTAGTTTTCTTCCAACTTTTATTTTAGGTTCAGGGGTACATGTGCAGGTTTGTTACATGGGTAAATTGCGTATATCTTGGATTTGGTATAAAAATGATTTCATCACCCAGGTAGTGAGCATGTTACCTGATAGGTAGTTTTCCAATCCTCATCCTCCTTCTACCCTCTACCCTCAAATAGACCCCAGGGTCTATTGTTCCCCTCTTTGTGTTCACATATACTCAATGTTTAGCGCACACTTATAAGTGAGAACATGCAGTATTTGGTTTCCTGTTCCTGTGTTAATTCACTGAGGATAATGGCCTCCAGCTGCATCCATGTTGCTGCAAAGGACATGGTTTCATTCCTTTTTATGGATGCATAGTATTCCATGGTGTATATGAACCACATTTTCTTTACTCAGTCCACCATTGATGGATATCTAGGTTGATTCCATGTCTTTGCTATTGTGAAAAGTGCTGCAATGAACATATGCGTGCACGTGTCTTTGTGGTAGAATAATTTATATTCCCTTGGGTATATACCCAGTAATGGGATTGATGGGTCAAATGGTATTTCTGTATTTAGATCTTTGAGAAATCTCCAAATGGCTTCCACAATGGCTGAATTAATTTAGCCCATTAGCTAAATTAATTAATTAATTCCCATCAGCTGTGTATAAGCATTCCGTTTTCTCCACAACCTTGCCAGGATCTGTTATATTTTGACTTTTTAATAACAGTCATTCTGACAGGTATGAGATGATATTTCATCATGGTTTTGATTTGCACTTCCATAATGATTAGTGATGTTGAGCATTTTTTCATATGCTTTTTGGCCGCATCTATGTCTTTTGAGAAGTGTCTGTTCATGTCATTTGCCCATTTGTTAATGTGGTTGTTCGTTTTCTGCTTGTTGATTTTGAGCATTATTCCTGAGCATTAGTATGCAAGCCTGGTTCTCTTGGTGATGATCTGAACTTTTCAGTATCATTTAACAAATTCTAATTTTGCTGAAGTTAGCCAGAACTGCTTTACACTGCATAAAATGGGGACCCTGACTGATACAATGAAATTGGGTTGGTATATTTTTATGTATATACTGTTGTGTTTACATTTTCACATCAATTTATATTAACTAAACAGACAAGGGCTCAAACATTTACTGTACAAGTAGACAGTAATCAAGAGAAAGAGATATGGAGTATAATCTTGCAATGAATTGTTCTCACCCTATCCTTTTGCTCCCTCAAACATATACTACCCTAAACAACCATTTTATTTTGCTTATAGTGGAAAGACTCTGCTATATATCAGCTGAGTGGCTGGGGCAGGGAGGATCCATTTCCAAGATGACTTCTTTACTTACATGTCTGGTGTCTTGGGGTTCCTTGCTGTCTCTCTCCACATGGCTTCTCATCCTCCATGACCTCTCCACATGTCTTAGTGCCCTACACTTTTGCTTATGCCAGTTCCTCTACCTGGAATGCCTTTTCTCCTTTTTATCTACACAAATCCTATTACCTTCTTAGGATATGAACAGACACTTCTCAAAAGAAGACATTTATGCTGCCAACAAACATATGAAAAAAAGCTCATCATCACTGGTCATTGGAGAAATGCAAATCAAAACCACAATGAGATACCATCTCATGCCAGTTAGAATGGCAATCATTAAAAAGTCAGGAAACAACAGGTGCTGGAGAGGATGTGGAGAAATAGGAATGCTTTTACACTGTTGGTGGGACTGTAAATTAATTCAACCATTGTGGAAGACAGTGTAGCGATTCCTCAAGGATCTAGGACTAGAAATACCATCTGACCCAGCAATCCCATTACTGGGTATATACCCAAAGGATTATAAATCATTCTACTATAAAGACACATGCACACGTATGTTTATTGCAGCACTACTCACAACAGCAAAGACTTGGAACCAACCCAAATGCCCATCAATGATAGACTGGATAAAGAAAATGTGGCATATATACACTATGGAATACTATGCAGCCATAAAAAAGAATGAGTTCATGTCCTTTGCAGGGACACAGATGAAGCTGGAAACTATCATTCTCAGCAAACTAACACAGGAACAGAAAACCAAACACCGCATGTCCTCACTCATAAGTGGGAATTGAAAAATGAGAACAAATGTACACAGGGAGGGGAACATCACACACTGGGGCCTGTCAGCGGGTAGGGGGCAAGGGCAGGGAGAGCATTAGGACAAATATCTAATGCATGCGGGACTTAAAACCTAGATGATGGGTTGATGGGTGCACCAAGCCACCATGGCACATGTATACCTGCACGTTCTGCACATGTATCCCAGAACGAGTATATATATAAATCCTATCACCTTCTTAGTCTAGAAGCTTAAATGCTCTCCTGAATCCCAAATCCACAAATGCCCATCAGCAGTCTACCACCAACACCACCATTATTTTCCCATAAAGGTCCCATCTGGGCTTCAGGAACAGGATTAATAGAAATGAAAAGTGAAGGAAGGAGATCAAGAGAGAAGACAGACATCCCTGTCCCAACTCCAGACTAATGTTCATGTGTTTGCCAGTCTATCTTTTCTTTGTCTACATTCCTGCTTCTCCAGCATCTAGAAGAGTACCTAGAATATACAAGGTACTCAATGGATGCTTGCATAATGAATAAAGAAACCATTTCAAGGGAGGGCCAGGAATTAAAGATGCCTTCACACTGCCAGCGTCTCCACTCTTTTTTCCTCTTTATTTTTATGCCTTCCACCAAATGCCCAGATGAATCTGAGTATAATCACAAGAACACTTAGATAATTTGGCCATTTCCAGGTAAAACAATTTACAGTCTCCCCTTCATCACATTGGGTTCTCCTGCTGACAGCCTCTTAAAGGAGAAAGCTGTATACCATTCTGTACTTTGGTGAAGCATCTCTGGTGCAGTTAACAGCTGGAAAAGAAATGCCAAGACCCCCTACTCAGAGGGCCAAGTGATTTCAAAGATCTGCCCTGAGAGATGAGAAAAGGTAACCACAGTCCTTCAGAGATGAAAATCTTTTGCTAAAAGTCAGAAAAGCCATTCCTTAGAGGAGCAGACATTTGACAGGAGCTGCAAAGTTGGCAAATCTAATTTCAGAACTACCTAGAAAATAAAAATAGGATCTTGAGTTCAGCTGGAACAGTTTTGCGGAGGATTCAGAGGGCCTGGCAAGCTCAAGTGTTTATGGGAGTTGTGACCAGTCAGGCAGCTCCTTCCTAGTCTAGCCCAGAACTTGAGGGGCCTCTCTTGCCTCCACTGGGAATCACAGCACATCAGAACTAATGGGAACTCAGACTGTCACATCTAACCCCCTCATTTTACAGACAAGCAAGCAAAGGACAGGAGAGAAACCACTTTACAAAGAAGATGCAGCAAGATCCATTACCAGACAAGAACATCTGCCTGACAGCTAATGGGTACCTTTGTTTCCCCAAAAGTGACATTGGGTTGTACAATTCTGCTTCTCTGGCTTTTGGTGAGGCCACAATGCTGTTGACATAGGAACGTGAACGCTACAAATATATAAAATGGCCCAACTTTCAAAAAGTCTGATCAGCTTTCCCAAGGAAGAATCATTCCACATGAAGTGCTAAATTTCTGTATGGTATCGCTCATCAAGAAATCTTGATCAACCAACATTAGTTTAAGAATATTAATTCATCCATTAATATTCACTCAGACACTGTGATTAGAGGGAGTGGGCATCTTTTAGCTTATGTATTAAAGTCGCAGAGATATCCTTTCTCTGAGACATAGTCCTCCCCACAACCCATAGGGCTGCCATACCCCTCCTCTGCAGGCACATTTGTATCCTGTGAATGTTTTCCTGATCACACTTTTTTTTTCTATTTGGACAGGGTCTCATTCTGTTACCCAGGCTGGAGTGCAATGGTGAGATCATGGCTCACCACAGCCACGGCCTCCTAGGCTTAGGTGATCCTCCCACCATAGCCTCCGAAGTAGCTAGGACTACAGGCACATGCCACCATGCCTGGCTAAATTTGTTTGTACTTTTTGTAGAGGTGGGTTTTGCCATGTTGCCCAGGCTGGTCTCAAACTCCTGGGGCAATGCAATCCACCCACCTCAGCCTCCCAAAGTGCTAGGATTACAGGCGAGAGCCACCACGCTAAGCCCCTGCTCACATTTGACTGGACCAGGGGTGATACCTAGGTCAAACTGGAACAATCAGATCCCCTTCTATGGATTTTGAAATCTGAGAGACTTGGGGACTTAGGGAACTAACCAATTATCTGAGCTGGTCTCTTAAATGGAGGAAATATAATCTGAAGAATTGTGAGGAAGGCTTTACA
The DNA here is from genome assembly GCF_000001405.40 of Homo sapiens. Lineage (NCBI taxonomy): Eukaryota > Metazoa > Chordata > Mammalia > Primates > Hominidae > Homo > Homo sapiens. The sequence continues at coordinate 63,160,182 of NC_000003.12, read as the reverse complement.
TGAATAAGAAAAAGCAAATACAGCCAGTGGAAAGGATAATGAAAAAGAAGGAGAGAATGAGAGAGATAAGACAGAGAGAGTGGCCAACAAAGGGAAAAACTGGCATATGGGGAGGAAGGAGAGGAATAGAGGAAGAAACAGAGAGAAGTAACAGACAGAACCAGAGGCCAAGATTAAGGGAGAGGTAGGGGCAGGGAGGAGCAAGACTGAGAGACTGAAAACTGCCTGAGTTTCAAATGTCTGTTTCAAATCATTTGAGACGCCCAGCTGCTTTGGGGTTTCATGCATAACACAGTGTTCTTCGGTAATTCTCCCTCTTATAATTTGAGTTTCATTGTTTTCTATTAACTACAAGTAAGAGTTTTTAACTATAAACAGCTTGATACTCATTCAAAAAGCAATGTTAGTTAAAAAGCCAAAAGAAAAAGACTATAAGCCAAAAAGTGACACATGATGGATTTTGACATATTTAGAGACTGCCTATACTTCCACATATCTATTCAAACACTGGCTAATTATCTTTGGTTAATAAAACCTTCACAACTAAAAGCAATTTAACTCAGCTCTGCAACTGGGAGAGTCAACTAAAAATTATTTTGTTATAACCATATGACGGGTAGAGCAAATAATTAATATATCCAGGTTTGAAGGAAATAGAACAGAGATTGCCAAGGAGAACTGCAGGCTTAGTCAATGCACTAAAACCCAGCCAATGGTGCTGAGACTTTCTTGATAAAGTGCCTTTGGAAAATGAGGTGGCATTGGGGAAGGTGGGTGGGGCCCTGTCAGGTGGAAGGAGATGAGCAGGAACTGACACATTGTATCATAGCTATAGATTGTATGTGCTGGCATCACCTTGCCATGCTACATACTGTTCACAGTTACTCTCCTCAACTCACTCCTGGCTTCATCACTGCCTAAACACATCATACACTTTCATGCATCCCTCCCTCCGTTTCTACCTTTCCCTTTGCCTGCAATGCTCTTGCCTTACTCCTCCACAAAGTGTTGTGCCTCTTCCAAGTCCCTACTTGAAACATTGTTTCCTCTGGTTCCTTCTCCAGCCCACCCTGGACGAATCTGCTTACTTCTTCCCCTGTGGCCTCCATTGCATTTGGCACTAATACTTATTATATTATGTATTCTAGGACCATTCTAGGTACTGGAAACAATAGGCAAAAATCTTTGCTTCATTGGCCTTTTCTTTCTACTTTGGGAGACAGATGGTAGGCAAATAAGCAAACATGTACACACACACACACACACACACACACACGATTTTCAGTACTGATGAGTCCTATGTAAAAAATTATTCTTTATAAGATAGCAATTGATAGGGAAGGGAATGGGATCTTATTCTAGTAGTTTTTATATGCTAGATCTAATAATCTCTATGTTTGTTCACCAAGCTATGAGCTCTGAGAAACATCTTTGGCACATAGCAAGTGACCAATAAATTTATAATAAAAGTAGAACATATAAGAACCACAGGTTTCAGTATTTCACAGCCAACAGAATGCTCTTCTAGATTTTATAGAAAGCAGGTGAACTAGAGTTAACTGATTTCCCAGTGAATGACTGAAAATTATTTTGTTCCCTGAAAAATGTAAGTATCATATTTTTCTCTGAATTCACCCAGGAATGTAATTAACCAGAAAGCTCTCAGTTCTGGTACAAAACATCAATATTCCATTTCTCAGTTTCATAAATAGCTGTGTGGACTTGGCCCCACATTCCACTTTCACTGGCTTCAATTATTTAATGCCATGCTTTTCTGTCCAAAATCTGCTGTTTATTATCTGTGTGTCTCATATTATTTTTCCAGCCACACCAGCCCAGCGAGGTTGTAATTTTTAATCCAGTGCACTGGGGTTTGTTGTCTGACTTCCATTCCAAATACTGGTTAATTTGGTTATGAGGAATCTTGGGAGACTGAGCTACTTGGCTGGAATAGGATGCATTTTGTTGCGCAAGCATATTCAACTCATTTCTGATTACAGGCATGAGGGTAGAGGTATAGAAAATGCTCAGTAAGTGGGAGAATTGCATTGAAGAAAACAGGGTCTTGAATTTGGAAGGCAGCGAAGAACATAGACATTGGAACCAGCTTGAGATTAGTTTGAATTGCTGTTCTGATATTTATTATTAAGGGGTTCTAGAACAAATCAATCCTGAGTTTCTCCTCTGAAAATAAATAAAATAATACCTACTTTGCAATGTTGCTGCAACAATCAAATACATTGTCTGCAAAACACCTAGCAGAGGATCTCACGCACAGCAGGCATCTACCAGATACATTCTTAAGACCTACTTTGATCAAAGCTGTCTATATCGTTAGAAGGAAATTTATATTCAATAGACTTTTCCTCTAGATCAATTATTTCAAAACTGTGTCTGGACACAATGTGATATAATTCACTGTTCCCCACACTTTGCATCCAAGTAGAGATTTGTGTTGAAGAACAAAATGTGGAACCAGATAGCCTGTGTCTGAAACCTGCTTAACCTCTTCTAGTTATTTAAATGTGCAGCGCCTGTCTGATCTGCAAAATGGAAATAGTGCTTATTTCACAGGATTACTGTCAGGTTAATTGAGTTAATATATCCAATTTACTAAGGTTTGTTTTGGGTATAGTGTTTGTTATTTTTTGCTTAATACTTTCCTTTAAATTAAATTGACCTTTTTTAAAAAAGCTTAGATACATTCATCTTAAAAGGAGACTTTATACCATGTCTATAAATGAAAAACCATAACTGTTAAAAATAAACACAAAATCAAAGCAATGTTATAAAAATTCAGCTAAATGCGATTACATGCTGAAGACAATAAGCTTGAGACCTGCCTTATATTTTGTTCAAAGGGATTTTTTTCTTTTTTTTTTTTTCAGAAATAATCTTATTCTTTAATTTTTATATTTGCCAGCCTTTAAAAATCATTATGTAAACCTAAGTTTGAGCTCTGGCTCTTAAAATTCTTTTTTTTAATTACTATTTTACTTCAAGTTCTGGGATACAAGAGCAGAATGTGTAGGTTTGTTACATAGGTATACATGTGCCATGGTGGTTTGCTGCACCTATCAACACATCATCTAGGTTTTAAGCCCCTCATGCATGAGCTATTTGTCCTAATGTCGTCCCTCCTCTCTCCCCTAAGCCCCCTGACTGGCCCCCGTGTGTGTTGTTCCCTTCCCCGTGTCCATGTGTTCTCATTGTTCAACTCCGACTTATGAAAGAACATGTAGAGTTTGATTTTCTGTTCCTGTGATAGTTTGCTGAGGATGAAGGCTTCCAGCTTCATCCATGTCCCTGCCAAGGACATGATCTTATTCCTTTCTATGGCTGCATAGTATTCCATGGTGCATATGTACCACGTTTTCTTTATCCAGTGTATCATTGATGGGCATTTGGGTTGGTTCCATGTCTTTGCTATTGTGAATAGTGCTGCAGTAAACATATGTGTGCATGTGTCGAAGAGAATTTTTCAAGTACCCAAGAAAGGTTCAAAGAGATCTAGAACTAGACGGAGACTTTCTTCATAGAATCGGAACAATGCTTTCACTTTGTGATTCAGTCTTAGGTCTATGTACTTCCTAAAAGCAGCTCTTCTACATCTAGAGGAGAGCACTGGAGAAATGGAATTAAGAACACCAGGCTCTGGCCACACGGACACTATTAATTAGAGACTGGCCATTAGACAAGGTTACTTAGCTTCCCTGGACCTTGGTGTTTCCTGTGTGAAATGAAGAAACTGGGCTCTAAAGATCCCTTTTATCTCTGGAATGCAAGGATTCTGATACTGCTCGAGATATAATATTTTATTGTGTTTCTGTTGAGCACTGTCACAGAATGGGTCACAGTGACCCATTCATTCTTTGTGGAATTGAACTGACCACTTTGGACTACTCAAGATTTCCTGGTTGGGTAATGTTTTCATCTCAGCTAGGTGGACAGTTACATAAGGGCAGGGAGAGTGCTCATTTTGTATATCCTCCAGTGCCAGGCTATGAAAAGACTTGATGATTTTATCTTCTTGATCTAAATAGGATGCTCAACTGTATTTACTTCCTGTTAGAACAGTGGGGGACAGAATGAATGGGCATCATTGACAGAAGTAAAATCTTTTCACTATAGAAGAATAGACTCTGAGACCCTCACATAACCCCCGGTTCACAACAAGAAATGGTGGGCACAGACTTCAAAATTTCCAACATGAAAAGCTCAAGTTTCCTAGGATTAAACTAGACCACAAATAAACCTCATTTTAACATTTTTTCAGCTTTTTTAAAGAAAACATTTTATTTATTTATTTATTTATTTTTTTTTCCTGGGTGGGCATATCTTTTTTTTTTTTTAATTATACTTTAAGTTTTAGGGTACATGTGCACATTGTGCAGGTTAGTTACATATGTATACATGTGCCATGCTGGTGTGCTGCACCCACTAACGCGTCATCTAGCATTAGGTATATCTCCCAATGCTATCCCTCCCCCCTCCCCCCACCCCACCACAGTCCCCAGAGTGTGATATTCCCCTTCCTGTGTCCATGTGATCTCATTGTTCAATTCCCACCTATGAGTGAGAATATGCGGTGTTTGGTTTTTTGTTCTTGCGATAGTTTACTGAGAATGATGGTTTCCAATTTCATCCATGTCCCTACAAAGGACATGAACTCATCATTTTTTATGGCTGCATAGTATTCCATGGTGTATATGTGCCACATTTTCTTAATCCAGTCTATCATTGTTGGACATTTGGGTTGGTTCCAAGTCTTTGCTATTGTGAATAGTGCCGCAATAAACATACGTGTGCATGTGTCTTTATAGCAGCATGATTTATAGTCCTTTGGGTATATACCCAGTAATGGGATGGCTGGGTCAAATGGTATTTCTAGTTCTAGATCCCTGAGGAATCGCCACACTGACTTCCACAATGGTTGAACTAGTTTACAGTCCCACCAACAGTGTAAAAGTGTTCCTATTTCTCCACATCCTCTCCAGCACCTGTTGTTTCCTGACTTCTTAATGATCGCCATTCTAACTGGTGTGAGATGATATCTCATAGTGGTTTTGATTTGCATTTCTCTGATGGCCAGTGATGATGAGCATTTTTTCATGTGTTTTTTGGCTGCATAAATGTCTTCTTTTGAGAAGTGTCTGTTCATGTCCTTCGCCCACTTTTTGATGGGGTTGTTTGTTTTTTTCTTGTAAATTTGTTTGAGTTCATTGTAGATTCTGGATATTAGCCCTTTGTCAGATGAGTAGGTTGCAAAAATTTTCTCCCATGTTGTAGGTTGCCTGTTCACTCTGATGGTAGTTTCTTTTGCTGTGCAGAAGCTCTTTAGTTTAATTAGATCCCATTTGTCAATTTTGGCTTTTGTTGCCATTGCTTTTGGTGTTTTGGACATGAAGTCCTTGCCCACGCCTATGTCCTGAATGGTAATGCCTAGGTTTTCTTCTAGGGTTTTTATGGTTTTAGGTCTACCGTTTAAATCTTTAATCCATCTTGAATTGATTTTTGTATAAGGTGTAAGGAAGGGATCCAGTTTCAGCTTTCTACATATGGCTAGCCAGTTTTCCCAGCACCATTTATTAAATAGGGAATCCTTTCCCCATTGCTTGTTTTTCTCAGGTTTGTCAAAGATCAGATAGTTGTAGGTATGCAGCGTTATTTCTGAGGGCTCTGTTCTGTTCCATTGATCTATATCTCTGTTTTGGTACCAGTACCATGCTGTTTTGGTTACTGTAGCCTTGTAGTATAGTTTGAAGTCAGGTAGTGTGATGCCTCCAGCTTTGTTCCTTTGGCTTAGGATTGACTTGGCGATGCGGGCTCTTTTTTGGTTCCATATGAACTTTAAAGTAGTTTTTTCCAATTCTGTGAAGAAAGTCATTGGTAGCTTGATGGGGATGGCATTGAATCTGTAAATTACCTTGGGCAGTATGGCCATTTTCACGATATTGATTCTTCCTACCCATGAGCATGGAATGTTCTTCCATTTCTTTGTATCCTCTTTTATTTCCTTGAGCAGTGGTTTGTAGTTCTCCTTGAAGAGGTCCTTCACATCCCTTGTAAGTTGGATTCCTAGGTATTTTATTCTCTTTGAAGCAATTGTTAATGGGAGTTCATTCATGATTTGGCTCTCTGTTTGTCTGTTGTTGGTGTATAAGAATGCTTGTGATTTTTGTACATTGATTTTGTATCCTGAGACTTTGCTGAAGTTGCTTCTCAGCTTAAGGAGATTTTGGGCTGAGATGATGGGGTTTTCTAGATAAATAATCATGTCGTCTGCAAACAGGGACAATTTGACTTCCTCTTTTCCTAATTGAATACCCTTTATTTCCTTCTCCTGCCTGATTGCCCTGGCCAGAACTTCCAACACTATGTTGAATAGGAGTGGTGAGAGAGGGCATCCCTGTCTTGTGCCAGTTTTCAAAGGGAATGCTTCCAGTTTTTGCCCATTCAGTATGATATTGGCTGTGGGTTTGTCATAGATAGCTCTTATTATTTTGAAATACGTCCCATCAATACCTAATTTATTGAGAGTTTTTAGCATGAAGGGTTGTTGAATTTTGTCAAAGGCTTTTTCTGCATCTATTGAGATAATCATGTGGTTTTTGTCTTTGGCTGTGTTTATATGCTGGATTACATTTATTGATTTGCATATATTGAACCAGCCTTGCATCCCAGGGATGAAGCCCACTTGATCATGGTGGATAAGCTTTTTGATGTGCTGCTGGATTCGGTTTGCCAGTATTTTATTGAGGATTTTTGCATCAATGTTCATCAAGGATATTGGTCTACAATTCTCTTTTTTGGTTGTGTCTCTGCCCGGCTTTGGTATCAGAATGATGCTGGCCTCATAAAATGAGTTAGGGAGGATTCCCTCTTTTTCTATTGATTGGAATAGTTTCAGAAGGAATGGTACCAGTTCCTCCTTGTACCTCTGGTAGAATTCGGCTGTGAATCCATCTGGTCCTGGACTCTTTTTGGTTGGTAAACTATTGATTATTGCCACAATTTCAGAGCCTGTTATTGGTCTATTCAGAGATTCAACTTCTTCCTGGTTTAGTCTTGGGAGAGTGTACGTGTTGAGGAATGTATCCATTTAAAGAAAACATTTTAAATCTCTCTCTTGATCATTTAAAAATCCCTTTGAAAAACTAATTAAAACAGTGTTATAAGCTCACCATTTTTTATTTCATTTTAAAGGGCTAATTCAAATCATAGAATTGAGCCACTGCCAAATTCAACTTTGTATTTTTTAATTTATCCTAAACATCTGTCTGAGGACCATCTTCTTTTCTGTAGACTCTTCATGTCATCATCTTTACTTACATCACTAAGCCTATTTATTTTTCCTAAGACACTGTTTTATCAACTGCTTCCCAAATGTTATCCCAAATGCTGGTGGGAAGCAAAAAGATTAAGCTTCACTGGTATGTGGATGTTAGGTACTCAGCTAGATTCACTCATTAGCCAAGAGGCTCACTCTGTATCAGTTAGAGTCCTTTGGTGGCAAGCAGCAGAAATTAATTCTGACAACATTGAATAGTAAAAGAAATTTGCTTAAAAAATAAATGCGGAGCACACAAAAAGGAAGAGTTGAAAAACTAGACTCAGGAAAGAGCAGGAATTGATATAGCTCTGAGGCTCTAGGTTTCCAAACTGTGACCCAAGGGCAAATCTAGCCTGCCATCTGTTTTTATAAATAAAATTTCCGTGGAGTATAGGCTTACCCACTTGTTTGCACATTGTCTGTGGCTGCTCTCACTTTACAATAGCAGAGCCAAATTATTGAGGCAGGGACCTTATGGCCACAAAGCCTAAAATATTTACTATGTGGCCCTTCACAGAAAAGGCTTGGCAGTCTGTGTTCTGTGTAACGGGAATGAATAGACAGCACTTTCACGGTATCATGGCAGGGCTAGATCTTCCCCAGTCATTTTTCAACCCACATGTCTCTATTTTCAAGTTTCTAATTCTTTGGAGAGACAGTCTGACTGACTAAACTTGGGTTACATGGCCAGACTCTTCCCAGGGGAGGGCCAGGTCCCTTAACTGACACTCCCACTGCTTAGGTAGCAGCCAATGGGTGAGAAACAGCAAAGCAAACCCAAAGAGCTCTTACTGAAGAATGGAGAATTGGTGCCAGGCAGGGAAAAACAACAGCTGTGCCATACACACTCCCACACAGCAGCCTTGCATCAATTCAGATGTGTGCTTCAGCAAAATTAAAATAAACACACACACACACATACACACACAAGTCATGGAGCTTCAAGTTGTTCATAAGTAGTCAAAAACTCAAATGATAACTTTGAATCCCCATAGTGTACTATATTCCATTCCTGCTAGTCCCAAAGGCATTAGAAATGGTACTGAGAGTAAAAACAAAATGATGGTACTGAACAGACATGACACTGATAAGCAAGTCGTGTCACTTCCTGAGACTCAGTTTCCCCAACCTGCCCTGCCTACTAACAAAACTGTGGTGAGGTGCAGATTTAAGTATAGAATAGGTGCTCATTTAATGTTTGTAAGATAATTAAGGATTTCATGTGAATAAAAAGTCATTATGAAGGGAAAATCCTTAAACAAAAAGAAGGGGTGATGAAAAATTTAAATAGTGAACAGGGAGTGGGGAGATGTTGTTCCATTGGTACAAAATTTCAGTTAGACAGGGGGAATAAGTTCTGGTGTTCTACTGCACAGCAAGGTGACTGTACTGAATAATAATGTATTATATATTCCAAAATAGCTACAAGAGAGGATTTTAGATGTTCTCGCTAGAAAGAAATGACAAATATTTGAGGTGATGGATATGCTAATTACCCTGATTTGATAATTCCACAATGTATACATGGGTTGAAATATCACATTGTAGCCCATAAATATACACAATTATTATTTGTCAATTAAAATAAAATTTAAAATATCCAAATTGTTTTTTATAGCAGATTATGGCCATTTCTAACTTCAATATGCTATAGATCATAAGGAACTCTTTGCTTGTCTGTCATTTCTTTTCATAGCTTACTAGTGTTATGGGTCTTCTTTCTTCCTCCCTGTGGTTACCAGGGTAACATGGTAAACTTGCATACCAATCCGATTTGGAGGATCCTAGGAGACAGTACTAGCTTCAAGATGCCAACTGCCTTCTTGGGAGTAGGCAATGCTTTAGTTCATTGGAGAAAGTTCTCAAAAACTATACAGATTAGACTTTTCTGATTATCACAACCTCTTTCACTATGCCCTCCCAAGTCAGCCTCGTTCCCATCACCGTAGCAACCTACTTCACATTATTCACTGATGGCTGTTAACCTGATGATTTTGTGCTCCTTACCAGAGTTTCTAATATCCTGAAATATGCAGCCCCAGAACTAATCACTCTCTTAGGTTCCATCTAATGATAATAACCATGAACTCCTAACACTGTGCTAAACATCATGCGAAGACCATGTATATTTCATTTCTTTGGTGCAAGGTACTTAGCACCATTTCACAAATGGGAAAACTAAGGCCCAGACATACTATACAACAAAGTGCTTGAGCTTTGATCCAGACCAAGAGTGACTCACATAGGAGTTTTGTCAAGGACAAAGCTTTGTCATTTAAGTCCTCAGCAGTATGCTATAAAGAAAAGCACCAATGTTAACTGGATCAGGAAAAAAACAAATATGGGAAACAATCAAGTGCTCCCATTCAAATCAATTTTCTTCAACTCAATCATAAAATAAGATTAGCAAAAGAAATGCAGACCATCACCAAGTGGTACCTATGCACAGATAAATACAGAAGGCTATAATTATTTTCTACCCCAACATACAGACTCAGAGAATGGGTAAAACATGTTTGAAATTTGTATAGCATGCGTCTGCCTTTACACTCAGTGTCCAATAGAGCTTACTCTTGGCCTTTATAATCAGCCACCATTTTTATTACTTCTTAACCCAGTGCCCTTGGGTTCAGAAAAAAACAGATGGAGAAGTTCCACCATTTGCCTGTTCCACAAACAGAGCAATGCTACACTTACCTAAAACCTATGCCCTACCCTGATGTCAATGGTATATGAATAGAGGTGGCAACTTGGATAGCGACATTTGAAAGTAAATGAAAAAGGCTTGATCCTGGCCTGAAAAGAAAACCACTTACTCGGCCAATCATGCATGGCATGTCTAAGCTTGGCAGCCTAAAGTGACATGGGTTGATGGCTTTTCACCCAATCTAGGCCAGTGGGCAGTTGGAAGAATGAATCTGTACTGTCATGACTCTCATATTTCTTTAGCTCATTCTTTGATTGCCTAGCTAACTGCGTTGTTGATAGTTTCATTTGGATGTCAAAATTTAACATGCCATAAAGGTATATTTTTATTTCCCTTAGAAACATGTTCCAGCTTCCCCATTTCTGTAAATAGCAGAATCCCCCTCCTAGTTGCTCAAGCTAGAAACCTTAGAATTACCTTTTTCTCCTTCCCAATTATTATTATTCTATCAACAAATCCTCTTAATTCCACCTCCAACATGTGTCTTGAACCTAATTCCTACTATTTCTACTGCTTATGAGAGAATTATTTCTAGTTCTCTTACACCTCAATGCCTCGACTCTTCTGTACAAGTGGTTAATTGTTATTAACAAAGAAATTAAAATACATTGAAATGCAAGAAAAGGCATACGTTCTATTTAGACTTAGTTTATTAGCATTGCTTATCTTATCAGGGAACAAGCAAGAAGGCTCTAGTTTCTGTCTAGTTTTACTAGACAGAAAACTAGACAGAAAAGCCTGTCCCTTAATCTAAGCCATCATCATCACTCTCCTGGTCCTCTGCAGTAGCTTCCTCTTTCCATTCTTGACCCTCACAATCAAAGAGTAAAAATGAATTTTCTAAAGCATAATTCTAAATCCCGTCACTCTCCTGCTTAAAAGCCTTCAGTGGCTTTCCTTGCACTTAGAATCAAAGTCAAACCCCTTTCATAGCTTACATGTCTGCTATCACAGGTTTCTGTTAAGTGCTCTTGCCACACTTGTCATCCTTGAGTTGTTTTTGCTTTGGACATTCCTGCATACCCCTTTATTTGCTGGTCTAACTCCATCCCACCCTCCAGGCTTAGTTTCCTCAGCCAGAAAAATTTACTGTGTTGGTTTTCCTTGTTTCTTTCTCTCTTAGTGTCCTGCTTCTTTTCTCCATAGCACTTTTTATAGGGATATTAACTGTTTGCTTACATGTGTAACTTATGTCTCTCCTGTCTGGCAGCAAGATGTGGTGAGTTGTGGGAGCTCATCTGTCTTGTTCATCACTAATCTCCCGCCCTGAGTATGGTACCTACCACATACAAGCTACTCAATAAATATTACAAGAGTAAATTAATGAATGTCCAAACCTACCTTTGGTTCTTTATGTTTATTTTTATTGTTTCATCAATAAATTTATTGTTTCATCAATTCCTTTCCTCCCATCTGTTTAGAGATTTATAGTTTACAAATCCTTTTCATTTTCTTTCTCTCATCTGTGAAGAAAGCAGAGAATCTGAGCTCATCCCTTTTACACAACTGAAGAAAATAAGGTTCAGGGAGTTTAAGAGACCTGCCTAAGGCTGAGGAACAGCTAGAAAGTAGCAGAAACAAACTAAGAACCCAAGATTTCAGATATTTTCTCTAGTTCTCTTAAGCCACAATCAATGCCTTGACTCTTCTGTCCAAGTGGTTAATTGTTATTAACAAATAATTTAAAATATATTGAAATGCAAAAAAGGATATTCAAATAAAAATAGGAAATGGCATAAGTTCTATTACTTATTTTATTTGCATCATTTGTCTTACCAGGTAACAAGCCAGTAAGGCTCATTTATGCATTCAGCTCCAAGCAAAGCTAGGCAGAAAAGCCTGTTGCTAGAATTTTAGAATTGGAAACTCTTTTTAGGTTTTATAAAGATTTATTACAAGCAAGGCATTATAGTGGGTAATGAAGCTGCTTCATTGACTGCAGCAATGATGGAAAGTAATTAAAAAGCTGCGTCCATACTATATTTTATTTTATTTTATTTTGAGATGGAGTTTCATTCTTGTTGCCCAGGCTGGAGTACAGTGACGTGATCTTGGCTCACTGCCACCTCCTCCTCCAGGGTTCAAGCAATTCTTCTGCCTCAGCCTCCTGAGTAGCTGGGATTACAGGTGCGCACCACCATGTGCAGCTAATTTTTGTATTTTTAACAGAGACAGGTTTCACCATGTTGGCCAGGCTGGTCTCAAACTCCTGATCTCAAATGATCCACCTGCCTCGGCCTCCCAGAGTGCTGGGATTACGGGCGTGAGCCACCACACCCAGCCCATACTAGATTCAAATTAGTGTAATAGACATGTCTAAAATGCAGGTATAGCCATTCATTATTCCGTTAGAGTTCCATATTTTCTAAAATATTAATGTGCAAAAGTATGTCCCCGGACAGACTGGCTGAATATTATGGATTATTTTAAACATACACATTATTTTAAATTTTGGCTGAAGACAGTTAATATTTTCAGAAATCTCATTTAGGTAATTTTCAGTGAAAAGTTTCTTCTATCCTAGAGCCACATTAGTTGCTTCTTTCTCCATTAGCTTTCTACAGGAGCAAATCATCTTATAATTTGCAGAAAAGTGCATCAGCACCATGGCTAAGCATCGCTCATAAAATATCATGATTCATTGATTGATTTTTATCTTTGAAGTTAAAATACAATAACAATTTCTACAAAACAAGGTGCCTCCGCCTCAATCACACTGCTTGACTTACATAGTGATAATCTAATAATGTAATCCACAAAAATAAATATTTTAGTTCAAACATTTAAGATTGAAATTATCTGATTAAGCTACACAATTGAATTATCAAAATTAGATTGTCAGGATGGATGCAACAAGAGCTGCCATCCTTGAATGCACATTTCTCTCCTCCCACCAGGAGCTGAAAACTATTATTCTCTCCCTTGAATCTGGGCTGGCCTTGTGAGTTGCTTGGATCAACAGAGTGCAACAGAAACGACACTATACATTCTCAAATGAGACCTTAAGAATCTTAGCAGCTTTTTGTTGTTGTTCTCTTGGGATCCCATGTGAAGGAACTCAGGCAATATAACTAACTGATGGGGGACCACATGAACCCTTATGGACAGGGAGATGGGGCCAACCAGCCTGTGCCATTCCTGCCATCCCAGCTGAGGTGCCAGACACGTGTGTGAAACTATTGCAGATGTTCCAGCTCTCGCTGAATTCTCAGCTCAGTGAATCCACATGTGTGGCCCCAGCCAACACCACATAAAGCAGTGACAAGCTGTACCCACTTGCCATGCCCAGATTTCAGAATCATAAGAAAATGAGTGGTTACTGTTCGTATTAGTTGAGGTTCTCTGGAGAGACAGAACCAACAGGAGATACATAGAGGTAGATAGATGAGAGAAGATTAAGGAAATAGGCTTACATAATTATGAAGACTGAAAAGTCCCATAATAGGCCATCTGCAGACTGGAGAACCATGGATGCTGGATGCTGGTAGTGTGGCTCAGTCCATTTGAGGTCTTCAGAACCTGGGAAGAGAATGCTGTACTTCTCAGTTTTGAAGCCAACGACTTGAGAAACCAGCTGGCTACTAGTGCAAGTTTTACAGTTGAAATGCCACAGAGCCTAGAATTCTGATGTCCACAGGCAGGAGAAACAGGGTGTCCAGCTCCAGGATAAAAAGAAAATTCACCTTTCCTCTGCCTTTTCATTCGATCCAAGCTTTCAGCCGATTAGATGTTGCCCGGCCACGCTGAGGGCAGCTCTTCCTTATTCAGTCCTGTGATTCAAGTATCTTCCAGAGACACCCTCACAGACATACCCAGAAATAATGCTTTATCACTTATCTGGATATTCCTGAATCCAGTCAAGCTGACACCTAAAATTAACCATCACACTGTTTTAAGCTACTATATTTAGGGGTGGTTTTTCTGCAGCAATAGATAACTGAAATACCAACATAATCACATTCATCTTTGCTGTGTATACACAAGTTAAGTTGTTCAGTTTAATACACACTTATTGAGGAACAACTACAGGTGCTGGGGGTACGAAGATGATTGTTTCACAGTTCTAGTCTTTAAGAAGTTTTTTTTGTCTAAAGGAAAATACAAAAGTAGAATTGCAAAATTATAATGCAATGTTTTAAGTGCTAACACTGAGAGTTAAGGCGAATTTACTAAATCAGAGAAGGCTGAGGGAGGGGACAATTCAGCTAAGTCTGGAAAAATAAGTAAGAATTGTCTATATGTAAAAAAGAACAGTGGTTATAAAAAGCATGGTGATGGTGAGAGTGGGGGAGGATATAATGGGGATAAGAGCAGGAATGGGAGCAGGGTCAGGGAACTGAAAGAAGTTCATTGTGGCTGGAGTGTGACATGAGATTAGGAATGATGGGAGGTAAGCCAGGGGAGGATGCCAGAATATGGCTAACCTCATGCCATAATAAGGATCTTGGTCTACACAGTATGTAGAACAGACTGTGCATTAGGCATGGATCAGGACTAACGTTTTAAATAGAATTGTCAGGATAGATACATCAATGGGCTCCACATCGATCATTGCAATAGCTTGGGCTCTTAATTATAATGGAATTTTAATTCAAAGTGGATTAAGTGGAAAAGAATATTTTAGGAATCATCAGGGAAGAAACTGAGGCAGCTCACAGAATTAGGAGAAGAGCTTCAGAAACCTGGGACTCAAAGAAGAGAACCAGAAACCCCAAATCACCAAGACATACTCAACACTCTCAAGTCACATTTACTTATTATCTCTTGATCTCCTAGGGGCAATGACTTTAAACCCTTTAGCTGTTTCTTCTGGTCATTACCTTATATTTCTTTTTACAAAAATTCTGACACTGTTTTCTTGAATGCACAAATTTAGACATTGTCTACTGACTTCTTTTTAGGGAGATGAAGATTTTAGTTCTTTTACATTCCATTTTCCTTGTCTCTACCGTTTCAATCATATTCTATCACAATTTTTGATTACATATCAGTGTTTTTATTATTATGACTCTATAAATATCTCTCAATGCTCAGTCAAATGGTGTACCATCATTACATTTAATTTCTAATACCACTTTTATTTCACCTGGAGTTAAAATTGACTTCTCAATTTTTATTGCTCAGTTTTATGTAAATCAATAAACTCTTTCCATACCTTCCAACAACTCTTCAATTCAACTTTTCCAATGTCAAACTTGTAGTGTGTTGGTTTCAATCTTTTCTTGAAGGCATTTCTTCTTGAGCCCACTATTCTGCACTAATCTGGAACACCATCTCTGTAACATGACTTGAACCCCAGGTTTTGTCTCAGCCACCATTTTGGAAATTCCTTTAATCTGGATTGGAGTCCTCCTTTTCTGGATTTTCTTCCTCTGTTTTAGTCCATTCTTTCTTTTTACTAGAACAAAGAAAAAGTCTGCATCAAAGGTAATTATTTTGAAATATGAAAGTCTAAAAAACTCTTTTTTTTCTTATCCTCATGCTTGATTGTTTGGAAGGCATAAATTTCTAGGCTGAAAATAATTTTCCCCAGAATTTTGAAGCTCTTGTTTCATTGTCCCAGCTTTCAATGTCATCATTGAGAATCCTATGTCATTCTGATCCCAAATAAATACATACATATGTATTGTGTGTGTGTGTGTGTGTGTGTGTGTGTGTGTGTGTGTGTGTGTGAAATGTCTCTGCATTCACTCTGGAGAACTCCATTCTCTTCTTTTTATCTCTGGTGTCCTGAAATTTTATGATAGTGACAACCTAAATAATAAACAGAGAGAGGCTCTGTTTGGATTGTAATGGAATTAAAATTCCATTATAATCTATTTTTTTAATAAATTTAATTTATTTAATCTACTTAATTTAATAAATGTATTTAATAAATTTAATTCTAATCCTTAGGATTAGAATTAAATGAGAGTCTCTAAATATATATATATATATATTTAATTGTAATGGAATTTTAATTCTAATCCTTAGAAATTAAATAGAATTAAATATATATACATATTTAGAGAGCTTCTCTCTGTTGTTTATATGTATTTGTTATATATGTATTATATATGTTATATGTATGTTATATATGTATTATATGTATTATATATTATATATTATATATATATTCTGTATTATATATAATTATAATCTCTTTGTTATATATATATGTATTTAGGATTAGAACATTGCAATGGGAATACACATGCCATGGTAAACTTACTAGAGAAGTATAGGAAAACAAAGGTTTTTAAAGGAAAAACCTAGGAGGACTACACAATTGTCTTGAAATAATTATCCTTAGCTATAAAAATGGTGATGCCAGTCTGAGGTTGAACAGGCGGTTGCTGGGTAGACGTCCTTGCAAAAGTATTTTTGTCCTTATATCAAAAGTATTTTTGCTGTAAGTTTGCAATGGCCTTTGTGCAAGGTGGTGCTTTTTGCAGTCTTTCATGATAGTTTGTTATCAGGCAAACAAGCATGGGAACCCTCTCTTTGTAGCCTTCCCTGGCTCTATGTGTTAGAGTTTTCTTAACATTAGTGACTCCATTTGGATTCTGAAAACTTTCACCATGGTATATCTCAGCGAAGGTCTGTTTACCTCTGTTGTGATGTGTACTTAGTGAATTCTTTAAATCATGTTTTCACAAGACCTTGAAAATTTCCTCACATTATTCTTTGATAATTTTTTGTAGCAGGTAGTATTTCCCTGTTTATACCACCTCAGCATCATCACCTCCATGCAAAAGGCGACTATAGTGAGTTTAATAGTATTCTCTCAAAATACATGTTCACTTGAAACCTAAGAAGGTGACCTTATTTGGAAATAGAGTCTTTGCAGATGCAATTAGTGAAGGATCAAGATGAGATCATACTGAATTAGGATGGGCCCTCAATCCAATGACTGCGGTCCTTATAAGAAAAGGAGAGGGCACACAGAGATACAGAGACACACAGAGAAGGCAATGTGACTCTGGAGGCAGAGACTAAAGTGATGTATCTACAAAGCCAAGGAATGCCTAAGAGTGCCAAGAACCACTAGAAGCAAGGACAGAGACATGGAATGATTTCTCCCTCAGAGCTTTTAGATGGAACCAACCATGCTGACATACTGATTTTAAACTTCTGGCCTCCTGAACTGTGAGAAAATAAATTTCAGTTGTTTTAAGTCACCTAGTGTGTGGTAATTTGTTACAGAAGACCTAAGAAACTTATCTATTTGCTGATTTTGGACTCCTGTAACTCTGCATGCACAAGGGATTTTTTCCCCTACTGGCCATGGGGAGCATATTCCACCTGCCTAAGAATGAGCCAAATATCCCTGCGAGCTTCCCTCAAACAGTGGCATAAAAGAAGTGGTGGATTAATGCCACACCTTCCTTATCTTTTGTTTTGACAACTCTCATGTTGTTCCAAACTCTCCTAACTCGATTGAGCTCCAGTTGCCTATTGTAATAATTGGCTTTATAGCTTTCTTTCCTTCCCAATTGGCTTTATTAGCTTTCTTTCCTTCCTGTCTCACTGTCTTACAATCCTACTGTCGTTCCTGGGATCGTGTCCCAAAAATGACTTGAACTCAAACCCATAATTAAGAGTCAGTTTCCAAGGGAACCCAAACCAAGTGTCTTTCTACTATATCTTCAATTCTCTTCTTCTAGAATTTTAATTAATCAACTAATGGGGCTACTGAATAGGGCTTCTAATTTTCTTATTGTTTACCCCCAGATGTCCACTTTTATTGTTTGTTGCAATTGTTATTGGTTTTGGAGGGAGAGATTTCCTGTCTCTATATTGTAACCCTTTAACTATTTTTTTCCCCATCATAGATTTTATTTCTGAAGAAATGTTCTTTTTTTTTTTTTTTTAATTATACTTTAAGTTTTAGGGTACATGTGCACATTGTGCAGGTTAGTTACATATGTATACATGTGCCATGCTGGTGCGCTGCACCCACTAACTCGTCATCTAGCATTAGGTATATCTCCCAATGCTATCCCTCCCCCCTCCCCCCACCCCACCACAGTCCCCAGAGTGTGATATTCCCCTTCCTGTGTCCATGTGATCTCATTGTTCAGTTCCCACCTATGAGTGAGAATATGCGGTGTTTGGTTTTTTGTTCTTGCGATAGTTTACTGAGAATGATGGTTTCCACTTTCATCCATGTCCCTACAAAGGACATGAACTCATCATTTTTTATGGCTGCATAGTATTCCATGGTGTATATGTGCCACATTTTCTTAATCCAGTCTATCATTGTTGGACATTTGGGTTGGTTCCAAGTCTTTGCTATTGTGAATAGTGCCGCAATAAACATACGTGTGCATGTGTCTTTATAGCAGCATGATTTATAGTCCTTTGGGTATATACCCAGTAATGGGATGGCTGGGTCAAATGGTATTTCTAGTTCTAGATCCCTGAGGAATCGCCACACTGACTTCCACAATGGTTGAACTAGTTTACAGTCCCACCAACAGTGTAAAAGTGTTCCTATTTCTCCACATCCTCTCCAGCACCTGTTGTTTCCTGACTTTTTAATGATCGCCATTCTAACTGGTGTGAGATGATATCTCATAGTGGTTTTGATTTGCATTTCTCTGATGGCCAGTGATGATGAGCATTTTTTCATGTGTTTTTTGGCTGCATAAATGTCTTCTTTTGAGAAGTGTCTGTTCATGTCCTTCGCCCACTTTTTGATGGGGTTGTTTGTTTTTTTCTTGTAAATTTGTTTGAGTTCATTGTAGATTCTGGATATTAGCCCTTTGTCAGATGAGTAGGTTGCGAAAATTTTCTCCCATGTTGTAGGTTGCCTGTTCACTCTGATGGTAGTTTCTTTTGCTGTGCAGAAGCTCTTTAGTTTAATTAGATCCCATTTGTCAATTTTGGCTTTTGTTGCCATTGCTTTTGGTGTTTTGGACATGAAGTCCTTGCCCACGCCTATGTCCTGAATGGTAATGCCTAGGTTTTCTTCTAGGGTTTTTATGGTTTTAGGTCTACCGTTTAAATCTTTAATCCATCTTGAATTGATTTTTGTATAAGGTGTAAGGAAGGGATCCAGTTTCAGCTTTCTACATATGGCTAGCCAGTTTTCCCAGCACCATTTATTAAATAGGGAATCCTTTCCCCATTGCTTGTTTTTCTCAGGTTTGTCAAAGATCAGATAGTTGTAGGTATGCAGCGTTATTTCTGAGGGCTCTGTTCTGTTCCATTGATCTATATCTCTGTTTTGGTACCAGTACCATGCTGTTTTGGTTACTGTAGCCTTGTAGTATAGTTTGAAGTCAGGTAGTGTGATGCCTCCAGCTTTGTTCCTTTGGCTTAGGATTGACTTGGCGATGCGGGCTCTTTTTTGGTTCCATATGAACTTTAAAGTAGTTTTTTCCAATTCTGTGAAGAAAGTCATTGGTAGCTTGATGGGGATGGCATTGAATCTGTAAATTACCTTGGGCAGTATGGCCATTTTCACGATATTGATTCTTCCTACCCATGAGCATGGAATGTTCTTCCATTTGTTTGTGTCCTCTTTTATTTCCTTGAGCAGTGGTTTGTAGTTCTCCTTGAAGAGGTCCTTCACATCCCTTGTAAGTTGGATTCCTAGGTATTTTATTCTCTTTGAAGCAATTGTTAATGGGAGTTCATTCATGATTTGGCTCTCTGTTTGTCTGTTGTTGGTGTATAAGAATGCTTGTGATTTTTGTACATTGATTTTGTATCCTGAGACTTTGCTGAAGTTGCTTATCAGCTTAAGGAGATTTTGGGCTGAGATGATGGGGTTTTCTAGATAAACAATCATGTCGTCTGCAAACAGGGACAATTTGACTTCCTCTTTTCCTAATTGAATACCCTTTATTTCCTTCTCCTGCCTGATTGCCCTGGCCAGAACTTCCAACACTATGTTGAATAGGAGTGGTGAGAGAGGGCATCCCTGTCTTGTGCCAGTTTTCAAAGGGAATGCTTCCAGTTTTTGCCCATTCAGTATGATATTGGCTGTGGGTTTGTCATAGATAGCTCTTATTATTTTGAAATATGTCCCATCAATACCTAATTTATTGAGAGTTTTTAGCATGAAGGGTTGTTGAATTTTGTCAAAGGCTTTTTCTGCATCTATTGAGATAATCATGTGGTTTTTGTCTTTGGCTGTGTTTATATGCTGGATTACATTTATTGATTTGCGTATATTGAACCAGCCTTGCATCCCAGGGATGAAGGCCACTTGATCATGGTGGATAAGCTTTTTGATGTGCTGCTGGATTCGGTTTGCCAGTATTTTATTGAGGATTTTTGCATCAATGTTCATCAAGGATATTGGTCTACAATTCTCTTTTTTGGTTGTGTCTCTGCCCGGCTTTGGTATCAGAATGATGCTGGCCTCATAAAATGAGTTAGGGAGGATTCCCTCTTTTTCTATTGATTGGAATAGTTTCAGAAGGAATGGTACCAGTTCCTCCTTGTACCTCTGGTAGAATTCGGCTGTGAATCCATCTGGTCCTGGACTCTTTTTGGTTGGTAAACTATTGATTATTGCCACAATTTCAGAGCCTGTTATTGGTCTATTCAGAGATTCAACTTCTTCCTGGTTTAGTCTTGGGAGAGTGTATGTGTCGAGGAATATATCCATTTCTTCTAGATTTTCTAGTTTATTTGCGTAGAGGTGTTTATAGTATTATCTGATGGTAGTTTGTATGTCTGTGGGATCGGTGGTGATATCGCCTTTATCATTTTTTATCGTGTCTATTTGATTCTTCTCTCTTTTTTTCTTTATTAGTCTTGCTAGCGGTCTATCAATTTTGTTGATCCTTTCAAAAAACCAGCTCCTGGATTCATTCATTTTTTGAAGGGTTTTTTGTGTCTCTATTTCCTTCAGTTCTGCTCTGATTTTAGTTATTTCTTGCCTTCTGCTAGCTTTTGAATGTGTTTGCTCTTGCTTTTCTAGTTCTTTTAATTGTGATGTTAGGGTGTCAATTTTGGATCTTTCCTGCTTTCTCTTGTAGGCATTTAGTGCTATAAATTTCCCTCTACACACTGCTTTGAATGCGTCCCAGAGATTCTGGTATGTTGTGTCTTTGTTCTCGTTGGTTTCAAAGAACATCTTTATTTCTGCCTTCATTTCGTTATGTACCCAGTAGTCATTCAGGAGCAGGTTGTTCAGTTTCCATGTAGTTGAGCGGCTTTGAGTGAGATTCTTAATCCTGAGTTCTAGTTTGATTGCACTGTGGTCTGAGAGATAGTTTGTTATAATTTCTGTTCTTTTACATTTGCTGAGGAGAGCTTTACTTCCAACTATGTGGTCAATTTTGGAATAGGTGTGGTGTGGTGCTGAAAAAAATGTATATTCTGTTGATTTGGGGTGGAGAGTTCTGTAGGTGTCTATTAGGTCCACTTGGTGCAGAGCTGAGTTCAATTCCTGGGTATCCTTGTTGACTTTCTGTCTCGTTGATCTGTCTAATGTTGACAGTGGGGTGTTAAAGTCTCCCATTATTAATGTGTGGGAGTCTAAGTCTCTTTGTAGGTCACTCAGGACTTGCTGTATGAATCTGGGTGCTCCTGTATTGGGTGCATATATATTTAGGATAGTTAGCTCCTCTTGTCGAATTGATCCCTTTACCATTATGTAATGGCCTTCTTTGTCTCTTTTGATCTTTGTTGGTTTAAAGTCTGTTTTATCAGAGACTAGGATTGCAACCCCTGCCTTTTTTTTGTTTTCCATTGGCTTGGTAGATCTTCCTCCATCCTTTTATTTTGAGCCTGTGTGTGTCTCTGCACGTGAGATGGGTTTCCTGAATACAGCACACTGATGGGTCTTGACTCTTTATCCAACTTGCCAGTCTGTGTCTTTTAATTGCAGAATTTAGTCCATTTACATTTAAAGTTAATATTGTTATGTGTGAATTTGATCCTGTCATTATGATGTTAGCTGGTGATTTTGCTCGTTAGTTGATGCAGTTTCTTCCTAGTCTCCATGGTCTTTACATTTTGGCATGATTTTGCAGCGGCTGGTACCGGTTGTTCCTTTCCATGTTTAGCGCTTCCTTCAGGAGCTCTTTTAGGGCAGGCCTGGTGGTGACAAAATCTCTCAGCATTTGCTTGTCTGTAAAGGATTTTATTTCTCCTTCACTTATGAAGCTTAGTTTGGCTGGATATGAAATTCTGGGTTGAAAATTCTTTTCTTAAAGAATGTTGAATATTGGCCCCCACTCTCTTCTGGCTTGTAGGGTTTCTGCTGAGAGATCCGCTGTTAGTCTGATGGGCTTCCCTTTGAGGGTAACCCGACCTTTCTCTCTGGCTGCCCTTAACACTTGTTCCTTCATTTCAACTTTGGTGAATCTGACAATTATGTGTCTTGGAGTTGCTCTTCTCGAGGAGTATCTTTGTGGCATTCTCTGTATTTCCTGAATCTGAACGTTGGCCTGCCTTGCTAGATTGGGGAAGTTCTCCTGGATAATATCCTGCAGAGTGTTTTCCAACTTGGTTCCATTCTCCTCATCACTTTCAGGTACACCAATCAGACGTAGATTTGGTCTTTTCACATAGTCCCATATTTCTTGGAGGCTTTGCTCATTTCTTTTTATTCTTTTTTCTCTAAACTTCCCTTCTCGCTTCATTTCATTCATTTCATCTTCCATTGCTGATACCCTTTCTTCCAGTTGATCGCATCGGCTCCTGAGGCTTCTGCATTCTTCACGTAGTTCTCGAGCCTTGGTTTTCAGCTCCATCAGCTCCTTTAAGCACTTCTCTGTATTGGTTATTCTAGTTATACATTCTTCTAAATTTTTTTCAAAGTTTTCAACTTCTTTGCCTTTGGTTTGAATGTCCTCCCGTAGCTCAGAGTAATTTGATCGTCTGAAACCTTCTTCTCTCAGCTCGTCAAAGTCATTCTCCATCCAGCTTTGTTCCGTTGCTGGTGAGGAACTGCGTTCCTTTGGAGGAGGAGAGGCGCTCTGCGTTTTAGAGTTTCCAGTTTTTCTGTTCTGTTTTTTCCCCATCTTTGTGGTTTTATCTGCTTTTGGTCTTTGATGATGGTGATGTACAGATGGGTTTTCGGTGTGGATGTCCTTTCTGTTTGTTAGTTTTCCTTCTAACAGACAGGACCCTCAGCTGCAGGTCTGTTGGAATACCCTGCCGTGTGAGGTGTCAGTGTGCCCCTGCTGGGGGGTGCCTCCCAGTTAGGCTGCTCGGGGGTCAGGGGTCAGGGACCCACTTGAGGAGGCAGTCTGCCCGTTCTCAGATCTCCAGCTGCGTGCTGGGAGAACCACTGCTCTCTTCAAAGCTGTCAGACAGGGACACTTAAGTCTGCAGAGGTTACTGCTGTCTTTTTGTTTGTCTGTGCCCTGCCCCCAGAGGTGGAGCCTACAGAGGCAGGCAGGCCTCCTTGAGCTGTGGTGGGCTCCACCCAGTTCGAGCTTCCCGGCTGCTTTGTTTACCTAAGCAAGCCTGGGCAATGGCGGGCGCCCCTCCCCCAGCCTCGCTGCCGCCTTGCAGTTTGATCTCAGACTGCTGTGCTAGCAATCAGCGAGATTCCGTGGGCGTAGGACCCTCCAAGCCAGGTGTGGGATATAGTCTCGTGGTGCGCCGTTTTTTAAGCCGGTCTGAAAAGCGCAATATTCGGGTGGGAGTGACCCGATTTTCCAGGTGCCTCCGTCACCCCTTTCTTTGCCTCGGAAAGGGAACTCCCTGACCCCTTGCACTTCCCAGGTGAGGCAATGCCTCGCCCTGCTTCGGCTCGCGCACATTGCGCGCACACACTGGCCTGCGCCCACTGTCTGGCACTCCCTAGTGAGATGAACCCGGTACCTCAGATGCAAATGCAGAAATCACCCGTCTTCTGCGTCGCTCACACTGGGAGCTGTAGACCGGAGCTGTTCCTATTCGGCCATCTTGGCTCCTCCTCCGAAATGTTCTCTTTTTTATAGGTATTTCTTCTTGTTTCATAGATGCACTGTCTTATCTATTTGAAGATTTTTTTAAAGTTTCTTTTAAGTCCTATTTGTTTGCATTGTCTTTGTTTATTCTAATATTTGTTAGTTTATCTTTCCCTCTCTTTCATAAATTAACAGCTTCTCTTGAATATGTGGTGATCCTTGACTTTCTTTTTCCTTCTTTTTTAGTTAAGTGCTAAAAAAAGTGAAGAGAAATGTTGTGTGCATGGTTGAAACTTATCATCTGGTGGGCTAATTTTAGATTTCATGGCCAGCTGAATATTTCATTTGGGATTCCCCCAAGCAAATCCTTCTAGGGGGTCATTCAGTTTCTCCAGATAAGGAATCCTCAGTTTTATGTGTGGGGCTAAGGGTATAAGACTGCTTGTAATAGCTTTGAATTAGACAGAGGTATGGGGCTGTGAAGCTTATTGTAAAAGGCAGGCTTTCACTTAGCTCTCTATTTTCCATTTACACCTCCCCTCTACCCTCTTTTGTCCCTGGGATTCCAAGTCTAAAGCCTCTGTGGTTTAATTCTATCAGGGGCCATTCTTTCCATCTTGTGAGGGGGTCATGAAGGCAGGAGTCTAGAGAACTACAGGCACAATTGCTCCTCCCACTGACTTTCAAAATACCTCCCTATTTTTAGCCACCACTTGACTACCACCATCTGAAAAATCAGATTCCTTTAATTCCTGAGCCTTTATGAGGCTCTTCAGGGCAATCTGACACCTGAGTAAATGACTACTGTACTCTGCTTAGTCATTTACCATTCCTACATCTGCCTTCTGTCTTCATACATTATACTTTAGGAGTTATATATTTAATTTAATGGAAGATGATTTGATATGAGATGGAATTTGTATTGCTGTATTCCATGATGTTCTGGGAGTGATTTTCAAAAGGAGGAGGTTGATTTTACATAATTACCTTAAGGCTAGAAGTTCAGAAAATAGACTTTAAGTGGCAAAGGCAATTGATTTCCAAGCAGGTAATTCTTAATTTTTACATTTATTATAAATATATCTAAACTAAAAATAGGAAGATTTAAATTATCGTATTCCCCTCATTACTTTTTGCATGTACCCTTACAATCATAAGGTCTTTGAGGGCAGGGAACAAAAACACCCCTTATTATTTTCCACACTATCTTTAGCATAATGCTGGGTATAAGAAATGTTTGATAAGTACCATCTAAAGTTAATTGAGAATGAATTTTTAAAAATCATACCTGCCCACAATTTTCCTTAAGGATTAAATATTCCCAGACCATCATTCACATTCACAACCTTTGCAAATTCATTTTTCCTATTCTTTCTTCTGTGGTTTGAAAGAGGGAGAGCATAACTGATCTCCTTTTTCAGACCTAAGCTGTATGTCTCCTAAGAAAACAGACAACCACTGCCTCGTATGTTAAGTACAAACTATCAGTGACTCAATTCTCTATAAAAAGCAATTCACACTTCCTTCTATCCCTCTTAGAGACGACAAACATGAAGTTTGGGGAAAGAGAAAAAACTTCATGGCCTGTTAAAAGATGATCAGGCAGGCAATACATAAGCAGAATACAAGAGCTCTGCTTCATCAGAGAGAACAGACAAGTTAGCATGCAGAGAAGGGCAGAATTTCCCAAAGACATGGCCAGTAGAGAAAGCATCCCATGTCAGATACATTTGGCAATCACTGAATAAGTGTCCCCTTTTTGGAGATTCACAGAGTCCACTATCATATTGAAGGCTCTGAAAAGTACTGCAACCAGCTCAACTTATTTTTTATCCTAGCTTTACTGAGTTATGATTAACAAATGAAAATTTTATATACTATAGGTATATGATGTGATTTTTTGTTATACATATACATTGTGAAGAGATTACCATAATGAAGCCATTAAATAATTAACATATTCATCACCTCACATAGTTACCATTTGTGTGTGTGTGTGTGTGTGTGTGTGTGTGTGTGGTAATACTTAAGATCTCTCTTAGCAAATTTCAAATATACAATGTATTATTATCAATGACAGTACCCATGCTAAGCATTAGATTTCTAGAATTTATTCATCTTATAATTGAATGTTTATACCCTTTGATCAGCATCTCCCCATGTCCCCTTTTCCCCCAGACCCTGGTAACCACTCTTCCACTCTCTGCTCCTTTGATGTTAGCTTTTTAAAATTCTGCATATAAGTGAGATTATGCAGTATTTTTCTTTCTGTGTCTGAATTATTTTATCTATTTTTGTGAAAAAATGCCATTGTAATTCTGATAGAGATTGCCTTAAACCTGTAGCTTGCTCTCTGTAGTGTGGACATTTTGATTATATTAATTATTCGAAACCACGAATATGGGATATCACTCCATTTATTTTTGTCTTGTTCAATTTCTCTCATCAGTGTTTTACAGTATTCAGTATACAGATCTTTTACCTCCTTAAATTTATTCCTAAGTATTTTGTTTTTGATAGTATTGTAAGTGGGGTTGTTTTTAATTTTTTTCAATAGTGAATTGTTAGTATAAAGAAACAGCTGATTTTTTAATATTGATTTTATATCCTGCAACTTTACTGAATTAACTTATTAGTTACAACAGTTTTTTGGTGGAGTCTTATCTGTGCTCTCTTGTACCGCTTTTCATTATCCTATTTGTACAGAAGGAGGAACAACCTCAGAATTGGTTTAGGATTTCCCCCAGGTCGTATTAAGTAATACAGCTAGCTGAACACATTTAAAACAATTATTTTGAATTATTTTCAGTCAGTTTGTAGATCTCCATTTCTTTGGTGTCAGTTACTGAAGCATTATTAGTTTCCTTCTGTGTTTTCATGTTTGCCTGATTCTTCATGATCTGTGTGGCCTTATGTTGATGTCTATGCATCTCAAGGAGCAAACATCTCTTCTTATCTTTACAGATGGTTTTAATAGGTAAAAATGTTCTTATGCCAGGTCCCCAGACGAGTGGAACTGCTTCTGGGATCACATTTAAGTGGGGCTGGAGCCAGGGCATGGGGCTGTTGCCAGGTCTGAGTTGGTAGGCCTGTTACTGGAGTCATAAATGGGCATGGTTTCTCCTGAATCCCCGTGTGGACAGGACTGACCCTGGGACCTGGGTAGAGCAAGGCTGGAACCAAGTCTTTGGGCCACTTCAGGGTTCACAGCTAAGGCTGCATTCAGCATTCACAGTTGGAACTGAAGTCAGTCAGTCTGTTACTAGAGGCAGAGATGCGTTTCTCTAGGTCCCTGGGTGGGCAGGACAAAGAGCAAGGCTAGAGCTGCTCACAGGGCGACTTCAGTATCTGTGGTTACGTCTGCCACGAGTGGCCCTGTAACAGGTAATGGACAGGCATGGTTTTTCCAGAGCCCTTTGGTAGATGGGACTGGTTTTAGGACTACAATCAAATGGAGGGGATGGGACTGCTTTCAGTCTGTTGTTAGGACCATGTTTGGCAAGCCTGATACCAGGGTTACGTGTCCCCATTCTCAAATCAGCTCTTCTCAGTTTGGGGCTTCATCAGGGTTTCACAACCTTTACCCTAGATCCAAAAGCTCCCACAAAGGCACTCTTGCTTGTGAATGGCTGCCAGATTGTTGTCTGTGTGGGAGATGTGAGCAAGAGACCAACTATTCTATCATGCTGACATCCAAGTCTCAACTTGGTTTAATTAAATTGGTCCAAAACATATTTGAGAATGTAACTTACTTTTCTCAGATGAATAATTACTCCAAGACTTGTTTTTTTCTTTTATAAAATGAAGATAAAAGCATCTACTTCAAAAGAGCATTTTAAGTATTTAATGAGATAGTCCATTTAAATCATTTAACCAGTGCCTAGCTTATGATAAACCCTCTGTAAATTTGGATTGTGGAGTTTAATTGTAGTTTAATTGTGGCAGTTGTAGTTTTTGTTGTCATTAATAATTATAGTATTTTATGGGATATACCTTAGAAAATGCTATGTGGAAAATGTCAATGGTTGCACACTACAACCAATGAAACCTGGCAAGTGGGAAATTCTAAGATTATTACAAGGCTTACAGTACATCAAAAGTTTTAATATGTTCCCTAAACTTATCTAGTTTAATGGTTTAAGCATGTTATTTATAGAATTTAATCCTATTAGTGTCTGAGTTAACCTGGGTCTCAGAAGAGTCATGATATAATCAAACTGGAATTTCAGGAATATAATATAGATGAGTGGAAAGAGCATCAACTTTGGAGCCAGAACACGTCCTAGGTCTACTCTTTGCTCTCTGTGTGATTGTAGATAGTCTACTTAACCTCTCTGGGCCTCAGTTTTCTCTGCTAGAAAATGAGGAAAATGATTTCTAGTTGGGAAGATTAAGTGGGGTTATATTTGGGGAAAGTAAATGATGTAGTACCAGACACATAGGCAGTTATTCCTGGTAGTTCCTTGTGTATCCAGGCCTTTATGTTACTTGTGCTGATGTAGCCCCTGCTCTACTGCTAGAATCCAGAAATTTACTCCTGCCTGTTACAGAAGAGGACATCAATTGTTCACTTTACCCTCTCCCTGCACTTCTGTCACTTCCTCACCTGTGTCTATGGAGCTCAACCACATGAAGCATTATCCAGGAGACTTTAAGTGCTAGAATTTCACCACCTTAACACAAGTCAGTGGTGAATGTGCCAGCCAGTGAGGCAGGGTACTAGGAGAGAGAAATGGGGACAACAGGGCCTTTTGGTACAAGTAGGAAAATTTATATTCCAATTTACTCAAAACATAAGACTTTTACATCCAAGCATTGCCTAATCTGACACACAACAGCCTCATAAAGTAGTACTTTTCATTTATCCTATTTGTACAGGAGGAGGAACAACCTCAGAATTGGTTTAGGATTTCCCCCAGGTCATATTAAGTAATACAGCCGGTACTAGAATCAAGCCTTTTTATCCCAAATAATTCATACCAGTAATACATAACTACTGCTATGCCAAGTACTCCTGGTAATGTGCAAGCCCCTCACCTGTGTATCACATTTAATCCTGAAAAGATCTCTGGAAGGTGGGTAACATTACTTCCCTTTCATGGACAGGAGGATGGGCAGTTGGAAAGTAGCAGAGTGAAGATATGAACTGAGGTCTGTGTGACTCCAAAGCCCCTGCCCTGCCCACTAAATTACGCACACCCTGATAGAACCCTTGAATCCTCTTAGCAGCATGAAGACATTAGTAAAACACTAGCACCCGGGGCTGCAAATGAATTTTAATAATTACTTACTACACACAAACACATAGTTGGCCTTTTTTAAACACAGGTTTTGATATGCCTGGAAAGAATGGCAGAGGGAGCAACCCTTTCATAAGGATTGAGTCAGCCACGTTGCAAAGATTTGCCAGCACCGAAGTCGGTATTTGCCTACTCCCCTTCATTTTCTGGGTTTCACTGTCAGCCTCTTACTATCCTGCTGTGCCCATTCTCTCACAGGACATTTAGCATGCTGGGTTGCTTTCATTGTTTCCTTCTTAATTTCCTTTTCTAATCCTTCAGATTAGAAGTGGGCAATAGCAAAATAGTTAATATTTCTGGAGAATTTACCATGAGGCAGGCATCATGAAAAACCCTTTACTTTCATTATTTTGTTTAATTTCCCTCCATCTTCAGGGAGGTTTTCTAAGCAGCCCAAATTTATCAGTGGGAAAACATTATTGGGGATGCTATGTAACTTGCACAAGGTCACACAGCTTGTAAGTGTTGGGGGCACAATTTCATCCTGGTCAGTTGAATTTCAAATTGCACCCCTTTTGCTATTTTGCTACACTTCCTCTCCTTTAGAGAAAATGGGAAAAATGCCACATTTCAAACTACCTCACAAGAAACACCAGCTGCCTTTGTCATTTATTCTCAAACATTGATCGCAGTTAACCTAGACAGGGGAGCCAAGAGTGGTTTAGATGGCTTTGGAAGTATACGTTAGAAGTGAAATGGGTGAAGATTTTACCAACTTTGTTTATTTATTTATTATTATTTTGAGGCAGAGTCTCACTCTGTCACCCAGGCTGTAGTGCAGTGGCACGATCTTGGCTCACTGCAACCTCCGCCTCCTGGGTTCAAGCGATTCTCCTGCCTCAGCCTCCTGAGTAACTGGGACTACAGGCCTGTGCCACCACGCCCAGTTAATTTTTTGTATTTTTAATAGAGACAGAGTTTCACCATGTTAGCCAGGATGGTCTCAATCTCTTGACCTCGTGATCCGCCCGCCTTGGCCTCCCAAAGTGCTGGGATTACAGGCGTGAGCCATCTCGCCAGGCCTTATTTATTTATTTTTGAGACGGAGTCTTACTCTGTCACCCAGGCTGGAGTCCAGTGGCATGATCTAGGCTCACTGCAGCTTCCGCCTCCTGGGTTCAAGTGATTCTTCTGCCTCAGCCTCCTGAGTAGCTGGGACTACAGACACTTGCCACCACGCCTGGCTAATTTTGTATTTTTAGTAGAGACTGGGTTTCACCATGTTGGCCTGGCTAGTCTCGAACTCCTGACCTCAGGTGATCTGCCCACCTTGGCCTCCCAAAGTGCTGGGATTACAGGGATGAGCCACCATGCCCAGCCAGATTTTATCAACCTTTACCTTCAAAGAGGTCTTCCTGACTTCCTATGGATCACAATAGCCTATAAGAGATTCTGGAGATGCATCCATTAAGCATCATGCCTTCCGTTCTTAAACAGCTCATTCCCAGGCTCCTCAGAGAAGCATGAGTAAATACTCCATCTCCCGATGAGTGATTGCTTCACTTCCCATGACAATCCTACATATATTTCTTGTGGATTATTTTGATTAGAGAGTGTATTAGTTTTCTGTTGCTGCTATCACAAATCATTACAAAGTTGGTGACTAAAAATGACTCAAATTTATTATCTTACATTTCTGGAGTTCAGAAGTCTGCAATGGGTTTCAGTGAGCTAAAATTAAGGTGTCGCCAGAGTTATGTTTCTTCTGTAGGCTGTAGAGGAGATTCCACTTCTTTGCCATTTCCAGTTCTAGAGATTGCCTGCGTTCCTTGGCCGTGACCCCTTCCTCCACCATCAGAGCCAGCAATGGTCAGTCACATATCTCTCACGCCACATCACTCTGACATCGACTCTTCCACCTCTCTCTTCCACGTTTAAGGACCCTTGTTAACGTCAGCTGATTACCAACTTTAATTCCATCCGCAACTTTAATTCTCCTTTGCCAAGTAACATAATCACAGGTTTTAGGGATTAGGACATGGACATTTGTGAGGGATAATATTTTTCCTGCCATACAGAGTTATTTGTAAATTTGCAGTCTATGGATGGAATCCTTCAGAAGTGTCCATAATTAAAAAAACATAAATGAAAACCTAAGCTATAGAGGTATTGATTTCAAAGAGGTAGACTTTTTAAAATTGATCATTACCAGAATCCATTGTATTCAAAAACCTTTCAGCATTCAAAGCATCAATGCATGTTAACTCATTAATTTACACTGCAAAACTCTAAGGGGCTCACTACCCAACCTATTTTAAGGATGAGAGGAACCAAGGCCGAGAGGTGACACAAGAGTTAGTGACAGAGCTGGGTGCAAACCTAAGACTTCTGGCTCTGTGATCTGCATCCTGTCTATCACCTACAGCTACTCTAAAGACAGGTTCCCACTTCAGAAGGTTCATGTATTGACAAAGGCCACCACCTGCTGGGACTGAAAGTGCTGATTAACTAAAGCATGTCTTCTAGGCGCAGGAAATTTGGGAACAGATGTTCAGGGCATCTTCATCACTGGAACACCCCCAGGTTCAACCTTTTAAGCGTATCCTGTAGATGAGCTATTAAGGAAGCCAGGCTTCTCTGGGTTTCTTGCCTTTCCCAAATCCTAAAAGGAGGTCTGTTCTCTCTCTTGATTGGGTGGGAAGCGGTCTCTGGCCCCTAATTCCCTTTTTAAAATATCTGCCAACAACGGACAAATGTTCTAGTCTCCTTCCATTTGCCACTGCCTGTGGGAGGTGGGGTGAACAGCTTACCTTTCAGTTTTAAAACTGGAAAGGTCCTGGGAAAACTGAGATAAGTTGGTTATCCTAATAGGAAATATTTTAAAAACCCATTTTGAACTGGATCCCAATGTTCTTTCTAAAATAGCCACAGACTCTATTAGTTGAATCATGACTGGAATTCAAGCAAATATTTGTGGACTCTTGTCAGATATATCTGGGTCAAAACTATTCTGACCGTCAGGTTCCTCATCTGTGAAATGAGCATGGTAATATTTCCATCCTAAAGTCAACGTGAGGATTGAGTGCGACAATGCATATAAGTTTCGCAGAAGACCAGGGTCTGAGTAATTGGTAGTAATCACTACTCTTACCTAAATAATTGGATCAGTAGGTTTTTGAAAATTCCCCAATAAATATGGGCAAGGCGGCACAGTGATGAGAGTGGCTTCCTAGTCACACAAGACTTGATTCTCATTCCAACTTATCTATTCCTTAGAAGGATGATTGATGACAAGTGTCTCACCCTCAGTGAACCTCATCTTTAAAAAAGAATAATAGTATCTCCCTCAAAATGTTAAGAAATAAATAAGATGGTATTAAGGTCTTAGCACATGTCCTAATATATAATAAAAAGAGAGAGATATTATTACTTGTAATTGTATATTTGAATTTTTATTGCCACTAAAATAATCAAATTAGGAATTTTATTGGCTTATGGCTTAAAAACTCCAGCAATAGAGCAGGCCTGAGTCATGTTAGATTTTCTAGGTGTGATTAATGATACCACCAAGACACACCCACTCTTTTTCTGTCACTCTGTCTTTTTCTCTCTGTCTGTCTCTTTCCCTTTCCCCGTTTCTTGGTGCCATTTCTCCTCTGTGCTGACTTCATTATCAGGCAAACCCTCCTAATACGATAGAAGGAACATAAGAAACCCTACAGAAAGAAAACTGCTCCCAATAGTTCCAACACAACTTTAATTGAACCCATGTAGTTTCTATGCCTGTCCCAGTATTAACCACTATGGCCAGGGTAATGGAATATGCTCATTTGTCAGGCCTGGCTCACATGTACATCTTAGGAACTGAATGAAGTGGATTCAAATAATCAGTTCCATATAGATTAAGAGAAGTGAATGGAGGTTCCCCAAGGTAAAATTGGCAGAAAGGAATGGATCCCAAGAAGGCAAAAACTGCAGGTGTCACCTACCATTGCATTATTTCTATGGTATTGTCTGAATTTTTTAAGAAACCAAGAAATAAAGAGACCTGTAAACTGCTATCTAATGTGACACCTGCATAAACTTCTTAGGCAGTGAAGTTTTTCTAGCCTGGTTCACTCTTCTGGCTTGAATTTCCTGGGGGAGAAAAGCACTTCCCACCCTTAATATGGAAATTTTTAGCCACCCAAAGAGCAGAGCTGTGGTCATTTTAACACAGTTCAGAAATTTTTTGATATTATTCCTTTCAAGATTTGGAGCTTTATTCTACTCCTCTTGAATATGTGTTGGACTTAGCAAATCATTGCTAATGAATAGAATATGGAGAAAGTGCTGATGTGTGATTCTGAGCCAGGTCATAAAGGGCACTACAGCTTTCTTCTCGTTCTTCCTCTTGAATTGCTCATTTTTGGGGAGATCAATTGCCATGTTGAGAGCACACTTGAGCAGTCCTATGGAGATTCCTCTGGACAGTGAGAAATAAAGGCCTTCGGTCAACAACCAAGAGAGTATGCCATCTTGAAAGAGGATCCTTTAGTTCTAGGCAAACCTTCACAGCTGCAGCCCCAGACAACATCTGCTTATAACCCCTTGAGAGACCTGGAGTCGGAACCACTCAGGTTAAGCCTCTCTTCGACCCCCTAGAAGGTGTGTGAAATTGTAAATGTTGGTTATTGTAAGCAACTCGGTTGTAAGGTAATTTATTATGTAGTGATTGATAGATAACAATACAAGAACCTCAGGCCAAAAGGAATCGAGTAGTAGTATAGGAAAAGCACTAGAAGAGATGGGAGGAAATCTGAGTCTGTGACCTGGATCTTACATTAAGTGGCAATATTTTCACACTAATAACTTGATTTCTCTGAGCCTTGGCTTATCCAAATGTAAATTGGGGAAACAGTACATCATTACATATTTCACAGGGGACTAAAGATAATCCAACTATGCAATCTAGGTATACCTTAAGGTAATAAAACTAATTTTGCAATTACCTTATTAATGTCATATCATGATGTCAAAATTAATGTGGAAAAATACTTTAAAATTATTAATTCTATAAAAAATTTGGAATCTTAAAATTGGAAGGCACTTCAACATTTAGTTCATTTCCTTGCTTGTTCGGCATCTTTTGGTCACAAGGTCCAAAAAATTAAATAAATATTTCAAGGTCACACAGAAGCAAAGTGGATCCTAAAATGCAGCCTCTCTGTGCCTCAGTTTCTTTACCTATAAAATGAGAATAATAACACGTGATGTGAAGGTTGTTATAATTGTAATCCTGTTGCAACCATGGCCCATATAGCCTGAGTTAAGAATAATGTCATGGTCCAAGAACACAGTCCAGCAATTGAAAAGTAATTTTAAAACAAATCATGGGAGGCCGAGGCGGGCGGATCACGAGGTCAGGAGATCGAGACCATCCTGGCTAACACGGTGAAACCCCGTCTCTACTAAAAATACAAAAAATTAGCCGGGCGCGGTGGTGGGCGCCTGTAGTCCCAGCTACTCGGGAGGCTGAGGCAGGAGAATGGTGTGAACCCAGGAGGTGGAGCTTGCAGTGAGCCAAGATAGCGCCACTGCACTCCAGCCTGGGTGACAGAGCGAGACTCTGTCTCAAAAAAAAAACCAAAAAAACAAAAAAAAACCAAAAAAACACAAATCACCTACTTGTTTTTTAAGTCACTATAGCAATACAATACATGATGGAGAAACAGTCACTTCCTGCACCCTCCAGGTAGTCTTCAGTCACCTAGCACTAGGCCTGCAGTGCCCCAAATGTTTTCACCCCTCTCTCTTCCCAACTCTTCTTTTTTGTGTCTGTGGTAGTGGAGGGACCATCTCCAAAGAGTGAAGAAAGAGAAGAAACTGAGTGGGCAAGTCCAAGACCCTTTTTAGTGGTAAATGGAAAGTAAGGCAGGGAAAAGTGATGTCCTTTGTTTTTATCTGTTATCACTGTCACAGGTTGGGTTCTCCTTGAAGCAGACATCGAGACAGAGTTTAACCTGTTACATGTTTATTAAGGCAAGTGCTTGGAACAGACACCGTGGAAGGAAAGGGAAGAAAGAAGAAGTGGGTAGAAGGAGAGGTTGGGCTGCATGTAGGTCTAATGGCTCAACAAAGCTGTCCTAAATTGGGCTGAAATGATACGGGCTTTATGGATTCTTCTGGATCAGCCATTGGTTGTGAGTCCCCAGGGAAGGGTGTGATCTTGGGGAAGGCAGCTCTCTGCAACTGAGGCAAGTCCTGAAGGGGCTGATGAGAGAAGGCTGTCTGCCAATAGGACTTCCATCAGCTGCAGCAGCAGCTTGAAGGGGATCCGGGTGGCTCACTGCAATCACATATGGTCTAATATGTGCGCCTGGCACCTCACAGGCAATTAATAAATAATAACCACTAGCTGGCTCTGACTTCAGGCCTCTTTCCATAGCATTCCTATGATCTCTCCCCCTATAACCATGGGAGAACTTCACTGTCTGCATCCTCAAAGTGCAGAGAACTCAGACTGAAACCAGTGGACACAGACTGAATGAGCCTCAGGAAACCAAGACAATCAGATGAGACCCTGCTCTTTTAATGTTCTAATGTTTTCTGGGCAGCGAGTTTTGCCCTTAATGGGCTATTTCCAGGAGCCCTAGATCATGCAGAGATATTGCTGCAGTGCCTGGGATCTGGCCCAGGGCAGGAAACACCTGAAGAAGGATGTGCTGCCTGGCACTCTGCTTCCTCACTCAGCTATTCTTCCTTAGTGTTCACAGCTAGTGCAGAGCTCTGGTACTGGCTGCATCTGACTTCGCCAGTGACAAGGCAACTCTCTACACCCTGAGCCAATAAACTGGGTTAGTGTTCATGCTGAAAGTAGGGCTTTCTGTAAGGAAAGTCTCAGCCATCCCCCCAAATGCAGGCAAGGGCAAGTCTGCTACTCGTCAGTTGCAACACTGTGCAGGAGAAATCAGGTCAGATGAGTATCATAGGCAGCCTAGAAGAAAAAGAGAAATGATCAGAGCTGAGCCTCAGGGACACACAAAGGGAGAAAGAACAGCTTGATTTACTTTCCCTGGGAATGAAGAATTTATGGGCTGATGATGCTTATAAGCTCATTATTTCTCTATTTTCTCTGCCTTTCTCAGGCATTGCTAGGAATGTATGGATAGAATTGGAGCTATAGTCATTTCACAACAGCCAACAGGCAGATTTGGGTACACCAATAGCAGTAACATTCATTCATTCATGCACCAAATATTTGTTGTAGTGCCAGGTGCTGTTCTTGGCCTGGGGGTACAACAGTAAAGAAACAAGAGCCCCTATTCTCAGTTGCCAGACTACAATATTATTGGTCATATGTCTAGCAATTGGAATTTGGACCCCAAGTTAAGAGCATTCACCTAAAGTCTGTAACCTTAACCACCATACCACACCATCTACCCCTCCCTACCTCCCATCATACATCCCCTGTCCTCTCACCATTGTATTTATTTTTTATTGTTTATAACATTTAAATCCTGAAGATTTAATGGATGTAAAATTCAGTGTAGGAAGACAGGCAACTTTAAAATTTCCTAGAAATTAAAATAGCTTCATTGGATATTTGTTGGAATAATGGAATTACAGACCTTTAGCACTGGAAGAGACCTGATATGCCATATGCTTGTCTTTCTTCCCTCCTTCCATCCTATCTCATGCTTCATTTCTTGAATGAATGCTCTTTTCAAGGGTCTTCCAGCTTCTGCTTACACAACCTTGGTCATCAGAAACCAAATCCATTTTAGGGCAGATCCGTATGATAGAACTGTATTATTCACACTCAGCTAAAATTGATTTGCTCTAGCATGTCCTACCTCCATGGTCTGGCTCCTGCTTCATTCTAAACTCTTCTGTAAGTGTTCTTCATGCTACTTAAGCTACCTACTGCTTCCTTCCACGTCCTGGAATATGCCCAGTTTGTTTCCACCTTTCCTGTTCCCTCTGCTTGGAATGCTTATCTTCTCTTTTCATCTGGCTAACGACAGAAGCCATCCTTCAGGTCTCAGTTTAAATGTGATTTCTAAAGGAAAGCCTTTAATGAACCCCCAAATCATATTAAACTACTGATTATCCTGATTGCCTACTTTTCTTTTACAATTTGTTGGGTGTCTGTATGGGTAGATAGGTAGGTGGATGGCATGGGTAAAATGATTTCTACTCATTGCTTTTGACTCCACTCTTCAGGCTTTACCAAAGAGGCTTAGTTCCACTTTTCACGAGATCCCATTCATTACCTACATAATGAATTTAGAACACATCGAACTCTCTTGTAATCCACACAACTTCAGTTCCTTTTGTGTTCCTTGAGCATGGCCTCTGTATTGTCCAAAAGGCACCTCCTATAGTTATATTTGATTCAGGTTGATTCTGAATGGAATAGAAATTAATGCATAGAAGGAAGAGAACCCCTGATAGAGGCCAGCTGTGAATGAAAGCAGCAGTGAATGAAAACAAAGACAGGAAATCAATACAGTAATATTGCCAGAAGCAGCTAAATATAGAAGAACCCACATTTATGTTATTTGTACCATCCTTGCAAATACCTGTGGACATGTTACCAGCCAGCCCATTCCCCAGGAGGGCCAAAGTTCATCCTGATATGGGGGTGAATCTATATGTAAGGCTAACTTACTCTTTAAAAAAGTGGCTTAGAGCCATTTTCATCTTCTTTACTATTAGTATTTGTAAAAGTGTTGAAATCCTAATGCCATGACCTACCTTTCTTAGGTCTCAAACCTTGCTTGGATGAGTCATTTTCTCTCTCTGAGACTCAGCTTCTTGTCTGTTAAAAAGAGGATGATAGCACCTGCCTTACTTGACCCTCAGAATCAAATTACATGTAGCAAAAGTGCTTTGTAAGCTGTGAAGCACTATACAAATATAAGGTGTGTTTAGAGAGATGACTTTACTTAGGGAATAAGAGGGAGTGTGTTTTAAATGAACCATGGAATACATCTCTGGGATGAGTTTATTGTAAACTCCAAGCAGGTCACATTTTACCAATGGGATATTAAGAGAGATCTCAAGGGATATTGAGATACATTTTCTTGTCATAAAAAAGAAGTCTATGGTTCATTTTCAGGAGGCAGCCCATCTGTGGTAAGATCAGCAACAAATACCTGTGGATGGTGAATTCTGTTTTATGGAGGCAGGCATTTATACCGGAAGTATGGCTTTTCCCAATGCATACAGAATCAGATTTGGGCAGAGGAATGCTTTTAAAAGTTATATTTTGTACATGTTGACATGAAAACTCTCTTTTCTATAGTTCAAGAAAAAACAAAGGTGAAAAATGATCTTTGGGCAACATATCTTAGCGTTTCAAAACAAACGAGCTTTGAAATCAAGTAAACATGGGTTTGAATCCTAGATTTGTATCATATAAGTGGAAGGATCTTGAGCATGTTCTGAATTGTTTAAGGCTAATTTTTCTTACCCAAAAAGGATCTCTCTCTCTCTCTATTAGTTACTCTATTGGTATGTGTAGAAGTGTAGTATTTGTAAATACCATCATTACAACTTGTTACAAATATTTAAGAAGGACACAAAGTACTGTGAGAGAGAGTAATGGGATTGGGAACTATTTTAGGTGGGGTTGTCAGGGAAAGCCTCATTAAAGCGGGGGGTATTTAAATAGCTGAATGCCTATCAAACATATAACATAGTACCTGGCATATAGTATCAGCTCAGTAAATCACAGTGGTTGTAGTGTGTTTGAGGCATAGAGTTAAGAAAATTTAACCAGCAGTTACAAATATTGAAATGTTAAGTGATATTTAAATAATTGAAATTTTAAAAATTAACAAAAATAAAACAATGGGAGGCATTTCAAATCTGTAATATGAACTCATAAGTATTGTTTATTAAAGCTGCCCTCAAATACACTCTGAAAAAGATGCCTTATTAGATTGTAACCCTAGAGCAACCCTAGCTGTTGCTCTTGAAGCCACTGAACTCTACTGAAAAATGTTATTAGAAATATTTCATGTCCTCTCCTTCTGTCTGGGCCATCTACCCAACACCAGATCTCAGGATTGAGCCTGCTAACTGGTCTCTCCACTTCTCCTCTTCTTTTCCCTCAATCCATTCCATACACAGTAGCCAAAGTGATACCATTAAAGCATAGGTTAGCTTATGTCACCTCCACCCTCACCAGCGTCACCATATTGCTTATGATCCTGCCATGCCTTTTCCTTTCGTTTAAAATAGAATTCAGGCTCCTTGCCAT
Source organism: Homo sapiens (assembly GCF_000001405.40). Taxonomy (NCBI): domain Eukaryota; kingdom Metazoa; phylum Chordata; class Mammalia; order Primates; family Hominidae; genus Homo; species Homo sapiens. The sequence continues at coordinate 63,120,809 of NC_000003.12, read as the reverse complement.
GGCCCACAGGATCTCCATGACCTTTCCACCTCTCCAAAATTATTCTATGCTTGGATTCCTCTCACTCCGTGTGCTCCAGCACACCAGGTACTTAGAAAAAACTGAAGATGCCTAGAAAAAAGTTAGAAAAAACTGAGGACTTCCCTCCACCTGGGATACTCCTTTTTCTCCTCCCTATCCTCCCTTAATCCCCAAAATTCAGCTATTTAAGTACCCCCCACTTTAATGAGGCTTTCCCTGACAACCGTACCTAAAATAGTTCCCAATCCCGTTACTCTCTATCATAGTACTTTGTGTCCTTCTTAAATATTTGTAACAAGTTGTAATGATTGTATTTATTTATACATTCACTGGCTTTTGATCTATCACACCTCATTAAAATTCAGGCTCCATGAGAACAAGAACCAGGTCTTGTATCCTGAAAACTGGGCATTGCATAGTGCTTGGCACATAGAAAAGCACTTAAGGAAAATCGTTGTATAACTAACAAAATGAAGAAGCCCAAATTTCACCTGTTTTCCTAAATGGTAGGTCCCTAAAGACAACAGGCTGGCAGATTGATGACAGCCTTGGTGGTGTTTATTCACTCAGTGTTTATTCACTTGAGAGAAAACACTTTTGCATCACAGCCAAGCTTTCTCAGTGAATTTTAAAAGGAAAGAGAACGCTGTGCATGTGTCATGTGTCCCATGAATTGTTACTGAAAATTCTCAAAGTTAACCCTGGTGGCTGTCAGATTAATTCCCTCTCTCCCCAACTCAGTTATGAATTCAGAGGAGGGATGGATCCAGGTTTGAGGTATGAACTTAATATATAAATGGGGGGTGTGGTGACCATGGAGGTGTGTCACTCAGATCTCTTCTTGAGAGAAACTGGCATGGGATCCAGGGTGTATTAATAGCCTCCAGCTGCAGCACCTTCGCACCCTACCCACCCGCATCCCCAGTGACATCCACTGAGCAGTGATGCTTCCTCTGGTTATTTCAGCCACTGACTGAGCAGAGGAAAGGTTTCAAAGCTCAATCATTTGCTTTTCTTTCTTTTCTTCTTCTTTTTTTTTTTTATTTTTTATTTTTTTTGAGAAAGGGTATCACTCTGTCAACCCGACTGGAGTTCAGTAGCATGATCTTAGCTCACTGTGGCCTCGACCTCCCTGGGCTCAAGCTCTCCTCCCACCTCAGCCTCCAGAGTAGCTGGGACCACAGGTGCATGCCCATCATGCCTGGCTAATTTTTTAGAATTTTTTGTAGAAACAAAGTTTTACCATATTGTCCAGGCTGGTCTTGAACTCCTGAGCTCAAGCAATCCTCCTGCCTTGGCCTCCCAAAATGCTGGGATTACAGGTGTGAGACATAACATATTGCTTATCATTTGTCCTTGATACAGCACTCCTGTGGTGACTACTGTTGTTCGTGGACTCCCCTTTGGCCAGGCCAAGACCTTCTAAAAACTTCTCTGGAGTCTGAGGCTCTTCCTACCCAACACTGACTCCCATTCCTTCTTTCTCTCCTTTCACAGAAGCCAGACTGGTACCACAATCTAAATGCTCTCCCCCACCTACTCCTGCTGTCTCTCTCCTTCATCCTCCCTTCAATGAATATGTTATATACCTAATTTCATCTTGGTGTCTACTTCTCAGAAAACCCAAACTGACACAAGGGGCCTGGCTTGAGAAAAATAAATCACAATTCCGGCTACAAATTTAAATATTGGTCCTTGTACATAACCCATGCAATATGAAGATCCCTGAGGCTGAAGCTTCATTAGCATCACAGTAAATCCACATGTAGCAGAAGCTCTACATCCACGGATTCCCACCCTTGGATGCACACGGGGAGATTTACAAAGTACTGATGATTGCTTCTACCTGAGTATGGAGTGTGACTTGAGCATCAGGATTTTCAAAAGCTCCCAGGATGATTCTGATATTAGCCAGGATTCAGAACCATAGCTCTTCATAGATGGCTGGAGAGGCAGCTGACCTTCAGAAGCATTTCTGATTCCTGGCCTTCACTTGTTTTGAAGATATTACAAGTTCTGCTTCAGTGTTTCTCCAGCAACCAGCTACGTGATGCCCATCAATTACTATCTCCAAGGTTTTCTATCCAGGTCTGGAAAATAGAGTTTTCATGACCTGTTTGAAACTCTTTGAGATTGCTTTCCGGTTATTAACAACGGTTACCCGGTGTGGACCTTGCCAGATACAGAAGTCTTTACAAGTATGGTGTGGAAGTAAGGATCTTTAGTAGAGATCTATAAAACACCCTGATCACTTAAATCATTGAGACTATAACCTCTTAGAAGGCAGGGACCATCTTACCTTGTCTGTGTGTTTGGTGCTATTGATTAGTAACAGGCAATTACTTACATTATAAGAAGGCAATTCATTTTTGCCAAAATGAGCTAGACTGGTATTTCTCAATTCTCATGGATATTTCAAATGTGTCACAATCTCTTGGAGGTGCTGGTTAAAAATGCAATTGTCTTAGCCCCAAGTAAGCCCAGTAAGGATGAGGTAAGGTGAGGGATAGGTAAAATGTCTGCATTTTTAATAATTATTCCAGACAATTCTTATGCAAACCAAGGTGCCTCCTCATCTCTGGTGTGCTATACAGAGCACAGTTTTTCTCTGAGCACAGTTTGGAGCTACAATTTGTCCGCAGTTAAAATGACAATGCTCCATATCCCTGTGAATACTTTCTTTCATCATAAACCTGTCTTAGCACTGAATTCAGCCCACTTGAAACTACCACTTGATTGCAAATTATTTGATCAAGAGTAGATTTTGCAGGTCAAAATGAAAATAATTTTAAATGGGCTTTAAGAATGCAGTAGATATAAAAGTAGACACTCAGCAAACATATTGCGCTATTAAAGAAGACAATTTTAAAGTTCTCCATTATTCTGCAGCACAAATCCAGACAGAAGCAGGAAAGGAAGAATACTCCTTACTGTTCCCTAGCACTACACACTCAAGTTCACATATAGTGAGTCTAATTCCTGCCTTCCTCAGTTCTCATGTGGATCTTGAAATAGCTTCCTAACTGGTCTTCTGCCTTAATGCTTCCTCACATCCTATGCCTAATATGACCATCCCACTATATTGGGAGATCATTCTGCAGTGCCATTTTATTCCCTGCTTAATAGCCTACAATGCCCCATTGCTTAAAGGCTTGTTACTCAAAGTGTGGTGATCTATGTACCAGTAGCATTGCCACTATTACAGAGCTTGTTAGAAATGCAAAATGCTAGTTCTATCCTGGACATACTGAATCAGAATCAGTATGTTAGCAAGTTCCCAAGATGCTTCATATATTATGTTGACTGAAGAATTGCCAGATTCATAAATTTGGAAAGGAGAGCTTTATTTATCCTAAAGGGTTGCAGCATGCAGGCTGGTCATCCCACAGGCTGGGAAGTGTACTCTTGAACTCTTGAGCAAAAGCCAAGAGCAAGCATTTCTAGGAAGGGAAAAATGAAATAGGAATTTATGCCTAATGGGGTGGCCAGGTATACATATTTAATAAGCTATAGGAGTCATGAATATTTATGAAAGGAGAAGCATGCATATGTGCAATTGAGCTTCATGCCTCTTCATGGGTGGTGTGTTCAAAAACGACAACATTAGCATGATCCGAGGGTGGAGTTCTTGACCCTCTGACATCAAAAGGTGAAGCAGAGGACATGAAAACCGTCACTGCACATCCTTCAAGAGTTGGCCAAAACTGGCCCAGAGATGGAGGTCAGTCTTTAGGAAGGGATGCATTGTGAAGTGATGAGCTGTCACCTGGAAACTGTAAAGAGGGAGGGAGAATCTGGTCACAGCCTCAGATGATTGGCTAAAGGTGACAAAGGAATAAGTCATCTGTTTCTTGTTTTCTAGAGCTGGTTTCTGTGTACCCCTTAGGAAAGAATTCTGGTTAAAGGTTAATAAGGAGGAGTGATGTGGTTTGGTTCTGTATCCCCACCCAAATTTTATCTTGTAACTCCCATAATTCCCATGTATTGTGGGAGGGATTGAATCATGGGGGCAGGTCTTTCCCCTGCTGTTCTCACAGTAGTGAATAAGCCTCAAGCAATCTGATGGTTTTAAAAATAGGAGTTTCCCTGCACAAGTCCTCTTCTCTCTTTGCCTGCCACCTTCCTTGTAACGCATGACTTTCTCCTCCTTGCCTTCCACCATGATTGTGAGGCCTTCCCAGCCATGTGGAGCTGTAAGTAAGTCCATTAAACCTCTTTTTCTTCCCAGTTTTGGGTATGTCTTTATCAGCAGTGTGAAAACAGACTAATACAAGGGGCATGTTAAGGAGTGCCCTACCTCCTATCCAGTCATTACTGGGAACTCAATTTTTAAGGTCCCCTTGACCAAAAGGGGGCTTGTTCAGTCAGATGTGGAGCTTAGGATTTTGTTTTTATTACTCAGTTATCACAATGTGAAAAGCTTTAGTTTACTGCATAATGTACAAGCTCTTTAGCCTGGTATGCAAAGCTTCTTGTGATTTTGCCCCTGCTCTTTTATTTATTACCTCTTTCCACCTTCTGCAACTGCAAACCATCCACATTTCTGGAAACATACTATGCTATTCCACTTATACTATTTTTTTTTTTTTTGAGATGGAGTCTCACTCTGTCACCAAGGTTGGAGTGCAATGGCGTGATCTCAGCTCATTGCAACCTCTGCCTCCCAGGTTCAAGTGATTATCCTGCCTCAGCCTCCCAAGTAGCTGGGACTACAGGCATGCACCACTACACCTGGCTAATTTCTTTGTATTTTTAGTAGAGATGGGGTTTCATTCTCTATGTTGGCCAGACTCGTCTTGAACTTCTGACCTCGGGTGCTCCACCTGCCTCAGCCTCCCACATTTACTCATACATTTATACATGCTGTTCCTACTACCTGGAATTTGCTTAGGCATTGCTTCTCTGTGAAGCCTCCCCTGATACTTCCTGAGGAAGTTATTGTATTTATGTTCCCCTCTGAAATGCTTCTTTGTCGTCTATATCACATTATGTTGTGATTGTTTTTTTGTTGGTCTGCTTTCCTAGACTGTGACCATGTGGAGAGTAGGGCCTGTTTTTATTTTTAATCTTTGCATCCTATAACTAGTACAATCTCTAGAATAGAATTTATTAAGTAGAATAGGTACTCAATCAATATTTGATGAATTAAGCACTCAGGAAATATATTGCTCAAAAACTCAATGACCATACAAGTCAGGACTGCATGTGGTTATATAATGCAATCAGTGATATGACTGGCACTCCCCAGTGTTATGCAGTGTACAACTGTACATGACAACTCTGGTAAAGATTGTTCAGTTTATGTATCACTTAAGTGTCAGTGATGACAAGTAACAAAAATCAACTCAGGCTAGCTTATGGCAAGAATGGGAATTTTTTATAAGAATAAAGGAATGACTTGGGGAATGACTTGTAACCAGAATTTATGAAAACAGACTAGAGCCAGAAATCCAAACATTTTCATGACTTTCTCTTCATTTCTTATGGCTGTTTCCCTTTGCACATCAGTATTTGTCTTTCCAGATACAGACAGGCTTTCTTTGCTCCTTGACACATACACATTAAAGGCTATCCCATTGCCCTCAAGTTTAGGTATTACTGGTTTAACCACTTGCAAGAACAGAGGTAAAACATCTGAGAATCCCAGGGGAAACAATCTGGTTGGCTTGGCTTGGGTAGTCTTAACCTATTGACTAACCAGCCATGGCCCATAGGGCTATGCAGTTCAAACATGACTTCTAGGGCCTATTTCTGTAGATATGAAGACAACAGTATCCCCCAAAAGACAGGGTTATCAGCTGGTGACTGGAGCCATACCTCAGATAAATGGAGATCATTATACTTTAATTAGGTACCAGACTGGCTTCGCCTACTTAATACTAACAAACAGTACTAATGAGATAGAGGCCATAGGTTCTATCCCTATGCTGGTCAGGAAAACTTGCTTGGTATTTTGCCAAATAGCAAAGAAACTGAGTTCTAAATAGTTATGTCAATAATTCTTTGGGTAAGACTTGCTTTCCATTACTTTCCTGGTCCAACTTCCATAAACTGTAGTGAGGAAATGAAGAATAGAGTCATACATGCAAAGAAAATAAGGACTAGCATCGCCTAATAGACTGTGACTTCATTGAGGGCAAAAAGTGCTTCTTTTTATTTTTGTCTTCTTTTCCCTCCCCAGAAACTAAAACATTTCGTGGGCCATGTGAATCTTCTAGTGGATTGAATTAAAATGGACTGGAACATTTTTAATTCTCGGCACAGAGGCTTATTAGAACAGTGTCAGAAGTAATGTATAAACAAGATGTTGTGAGTTGCTGAAGATGCAGCAGTTATATTATAAACTTTTAGTGGCTTCCAAATGAATGGAATCTTAATTTATGATGAAGGTAATGGTGTTACAGAGCTATGTCTCTAAGGCAAATTATTTAACCCACCCAAACCTCATTTTCCATGTTGGTAAAAGGGAAATGATGATAACATCTACCTTATAGAATACTTGCATAGCTTAAGTGGGAAAATGTGTATCAAACATTTGGCACACTGCTTAGCACATAGTGAACACTCAGTAATTGTTAACTATTATTATTATTTATGGATTTATTTCAAACACTGGCTAGCTAACTAAGGGGGACTTTGCCAAGACTCTAGGCACCAACATGAGGGAGTTAATATTTCTGGGTTACATCATAATCCCAAAACAAACACAATGGCTTGGATGCCATAATAACTTCTTAGACCTAGCTAATTTGCCACTAGGGAGCTTAGAAAGATAATGGTTAATGAGAAAATATACAACCAATCTATATATGTTATTTCTAGAGCCTGTCCAATTCCCAGGGGACAAAAAGTTCAACTCAAAGTGTTTTGGGGAGATAAAAAAATTGCTGAGTAAAAGATAATGGGAGAATAACCCATTTTCTGCCTTTAATATGGCCCAAGCATCCACCTCTCTTTCTAACCTCCTCTAAATCACCTTGACTAAAACGTTGCCACTGTTTGGGTCAATAGGAAATAAATACCATTTTTGTTGTTGTGATTAGAAACTCAGGTATTGCAGAAATCTTCACCAATCTTGGCTTCTTTGTCAGCTTCTATCAGCCAGAAGGTCCTCAGTACATTCTTCAGTCTTTTCAATTACATCTCCAAAATAGATGTCCCAATTGCCAGTGGGGATGTCTAAAACCAGGAAGCTGCAGTCTGAATGATTTTCTTAATAAAGAATGAGGAGGCAAAAGACAAAATTCACTGAACTGAAAGAAATCCCACTGACAACTGGCTGTCCAATATTCTATAAGAAAATTCTGTCAAAAGATGCAGAGTAAAATTGCTTGGGTCATTTTACTGAAGGTATACAAAATACCAACTAGTCCACAACATAAACTAGAGGGCTTCCAGTTGATTCACCCATCCATTTTCATTTGTTTGGGTATGATTTGTCAGTTTCCTCCAAAAGACTGTAAGCTCCACAGGACCAAAACCACAGGTGTATCACTTTACTGTTGTAATCCCACTACCTAGTACAGTGTCTGTCTGGCATAGAGTAGGCACTCAAAAATGTAAAGAATAAGCATGGATTCTTTTATGTTATGGGAACATAAGTCTCTATTATAGATTATGTGCCCCAAAAGGAGATGCTGAGTAAGATTTGAGGTGCAGACCCTACACAGCCTTGGCCAACCTGACGGGAAATCTTTAGAGCAAGTTTAGACTTTCAAAGTGTTTTATTAAACCAAACTAGTTGTCCTTTTATGTCTCCACTTAGCTCAATACAATCCAATGGATACAGGCTTCTTCAGGAAAGGCATGACTTTGGGCAGGGAGGCTCTGCAGCTGATGGCAACCTTGAAGGAGCTGACACCTAGATGCTGTCTGCTGACCCTGTTCTCATAGGGCTGAGCAGCATGTCCTTCCTTGAAGGGGTCACAGGATGCTGTATTTTGTGGAATTATATTACTTTGCTCCCTGGTAGAGATGAGACAAAGGGTAAGACCTGGAGAAGAAGGTTCTCTGTTGGCTGAGGACAGTGATGAATATCTGAATGTGCAAAGAGACCTCAAAGTGAGTTTAGAGGTGATCAAGAGAGAGATGAACTGCCTTCATAATACAATAGGAGAGGTTCTTTTGTTTGTTTTTAATTTGCTGGAGGATGGTGGTGAGGGTCAAGAAATTGAGCTAAAGACTTATGCCTGAGGCCTAAATTACCACACATTATAAGATTTTTTAAGCCCTGAGAGACAATTATTTATCTGCTTGTAAACCTACAGCATCACTTCCCACCTCTAGTGCCTATTACTCTGTACCCTTAGTAAATATATGCTTCATATCTGCATGTATCTATGTTGTCCATTGGAGTACATTCTTAAAGTCAAGCTCTACACAAATTAACTTAAGCAAACACACAATGCACTTAGTGTTAAGAATGTGGAAAAGAGACCTAACCAGAAATATTAAAAAAGTACTCAACAAACCTAGAGGAGCTTACAAGTCTATGGATGTAAGCAAATGAAATGGTCCAGGCACAGGGGCTCACGCCTGTAATCCTAACACTTTGGGAGGCCAAGGTGGGTGGATTGCCTGAATTCAGGAGTTTGAGACCAGACTCGGCAATATGGCAAAAACTTGTCTCTACCAAAAAAAGAAAAAAAAATTAGCCAAGCATAGTGGCCAAGTGCCTGTAGTCCCAGCTACTGGGGGGCTGAGATGGGAGGATTGCTTGGGCCTGAGAGGTCGAGGCTGTAGTGAGTTGTGTTCATGCTGCTGCACTCCAATCTGAGTAGCAGAGTGAGACCCTGTCTCTGAAAAAAAAAAAAAGAGAGAAAGAAAAAGAAGAAAGAAAGAAGGAAAGAAAGAAAGAGAGGATCTTTTTAAGTGAGCAAAACTAGAGCATACCTAACTAAACCTGGTAATTATCCAATCTGACCAGTCTACATTCTACTCTCCCTTCCAGTTTGTGAAGCCCAGGGGATATTAGTCAATGTGATAGTCTCACCTGGACCAAATCAGATAACAAAGATTCATACCCAACAATGATAGAATACATGGTAAGCACACATACCTTGTTTCTATCCTTTATTACTCAATTCTCAGCCTTTTGGCTAAGATCAAATGTCTTTCCTTTCTTGACTGCCCTTTGTAGGGTTGCTCTCCATGCCTGCTCCACCCTCAAAAGTGATTTCATGGAAATCAGAAAATGAGAACAGAGTGTCATGTGGGTTACACAGAACAGAGAGAAAGACACACATCAAAGTTAAACATGCATTGGGAATAGAAACTTTGAGCACAAGCCCATTAGAAACCATGCCAAGAAGTTCTGGGGATAATACGGAATGTGGGTTTTGAGATGACATTTATGTTATGATATTCTGCAAAGCAAGAATCCAGAGTCTATTCACTTAAGGAGCAGTATCTCAAGGATAATCTCCTTGATTATGGACATTTTCTGCTAAGAGAAACTTTTTGAATCTGTTAATCTTAGTAATATATACCAATGCTTGAACACGTACAGGATCCATTAAATATTTATAATGCCGGGTCCAAAAGCACAGGTCAAACCAGTTGAAACTCTAGAGCCGTGTTTGTTGACTATGAGTGATTTTTGCTCCCAGGGGACATTTGGCAATATCGAAGACCCCTTTTGGTTGCCACAACTAAGGGGCTGGGCTGATTGATATCTAGAAAGTAGAGGCCCAGGATGCGGTTGAAGCCTACAAGACACAGGACAACCCTCTACAACAAAAAATTATCTGACCCCAAATATCAACAATGCTGAAGTGGAAAAACACCTCTCTAGAGTGAATTTATTGGGACATGTGTATCTGACAAGTCCTGAGTCAGGTGAGCTTGATCCAGCAGCTTCAAGGAATCCACCAGGCCTTGAGTTCTGCCTGCCTTTTTGTCTTGCTTATTGTGGTGTTGGCTTAGTCCTCAGGATCTTGCCTCTCACCTGCCAGCTCCAGACACTCCCCTTGTGGTACCAAAACAGCTGTGGAACTTCCATCTTCACACCACACTACTCAAGAGAATTATTTTCTGCCAGCTCCCACACAAATCCTCAATTACTTTTGGTCATTTGTACAATAGGTTAAGGACCAACACTGTGGTCAGTCAATCAGCTACTCTCTTAATCCAGTGGTTCTCAACTTCAGCTCTCATCAGAATCACTGGGAGGGTTTGTTAAAATATACACTGCTAGGGTGTACTTCAGTAGGTCTTGGATGTTTTTTTCTATGAAGGATCAGATGGTATTATTTTAGGCATTGCAGGCCAAATAAGCTCTGTTTTCCTTCTAGTCTTCCTCCTTTTCTTCTCATTTGTGGCCCCCTCCTCCTTCTCTTCCTCCTCCTCCTCATTCTTTAAGCAATTCTTTACAAATGTAAAAACACATTCTTAGAACATAAGCTGCACAAACGCCACTGGCTGCATTTGTCCCTAGACTGTATTTTCATTGACTCTGAGCTTCCCCCCGTTTAACTCACTACATTGTTTACAAGAAAAGTTTGCAGAATCCAAGTAAAAAATGATAATTATGACAGAACTCTAAATGGTAGCAGAGCTGAGGGAGAGTATCCAAAAGAGGACAAACTTGGAAGGGGGGGCCACCTTCCCAAGGCTGGGATTCAGACCTGATTAGAGAAGGCTGCAACTCACTAGGTGGTAGAGAAATGTGCTGTTTTGCTAGGTCAGAGCCAGTCCGCAGTTGCTGGACAAGCCGGAAGTAAACCTTGGGGCATAGGTGTGATATGGCTGGTAACTGGACATGCAGGCTTGCAGAGGGTGTTGGATAGGTGTGGGAAGAAAGCTTGAATGTGCAGTGCCCCATTGGAAAGACCATGGACAGGTGAGACTAACTGGGGCTGCTGAGTCATGGAGGGACTCATGCTCTGGCTTCATGATAAGGGCAGAGCCCCACCACATGTCTTCCCCTCCACACCAATGACTGTCAGTGCAGCTTCTGGACAAGAGAGTCCCTTTTCTCCTCTGATGTGCATCCAGTGCCTGCTACTAAGAAAGCTTAACATCGTGCTTATAGTAAAGGAGAAATGCTTAAAGTCCACCATTATTACAGAGCAGGTATCGAAGGGTAAATTTGGAGATGAAAAGCAAAAAAATGATAACTGGTACACATGTAATTTTGTATAATCCTTATAATAACCCTATGAGGAAGGAATAAAAGTTACTCACATTTTATAGCCCAGGAAGCTGAGATTCACATAGGCTATATTGTCTTCCCTAAGTTCCATACATAGTGACTGGGAGAGCCAGAATTCAAACCCCAGGAGACTGATTCCAAAATATAGCAAGTACAATCTACACCCAGCCAACCAGATTAGCACTGGGCTCTATTATCCATGGCTCCTCTCCTTTCCTTATGTGTTTGATATAGGCAGGGACAGTGAAATTTCAGGAAATAGTTAGAGACCAGAATTGAAGATCACATCATCATTCTTTTTTCCTCTTTGATATTCAAGAAAGTTAAATTGTTTCATCAAAAACATTGAGATGCTTAACATAAAATGTATAACCTCTTTGAAAAGCTTTATCCTACTAGAGTTCCAAGGGGAAATAATGAAAGAATGCATTATAAATTCTGGCCACAAACACATCTATATTTTTATTCAATTTTGTCACTGTCAAAAATATTGAAAGTATTGGGGAACATTTGATGGATTTTCTGGAGATTTTAGCATCTTTGAGCTTTGGTCAAAAAACTAATTTATCATTATTACTTGGCCCTTGGACATTTGTATTCTGTTTTGCAAACCTCACAAAATGATCATTTCCTTGCTTCCTAAGTACCCTTTCCTCATGAATCCTGTTTTATAATTACCAATAGAACCTGAAAGAGGCCCTTGGGAAATACCATTTACATGGGATAAAGTGATTGTCAAGGCCCCACAATTCCCATGGCCACTTTTTTGTTCTGACATTTGTATTAAATAGACATTTGCAGAAAGTTTCTGTTTCTGAATTTGGTGGGATTGGGTCCTCCTATTTACTTCTACTTTAACAAAATCAATGTTTTAAATAAAAACTGAACATGTTAAGATATATTAATAAATGCAATGTATGCACATTGCAGAAAATTTAGACAATACAGAAAAGCCCAAAAAGTAAATCCAGCCACATTTCCACCACCCAGAAGCAGTCATGGTTTGGAATGTTTCCTTTCAGGCTTGTTCTTTCTACATGTATAGCACATTTGCAATAGGTTTGTCAATACAATTCATATACTGCCTTTCTACAAATGACTCATTTTTTAAACACCTCTGAATCTTTTATACTGGCTATAACAACAGACACAGACAAGCGCTCAGCTCCTAAGTATACGAGCTTGTGAATTTCCACAAACTGAACATGCCTATTCAACCAGCCTCCAGATCAGAAACAGAACATCACCAACTCCTGGGAGTGCACCTCCCCAACCCCTACCCCTGTGCCCGGCAGTCACTATCCTGCCCCAACAGCAACCACGGTCTGGTCTTAACGTCCATCTCCATAGATCTTGATTTTTAAAACTTTATATAAATGGAGGCATGAAGTATGCTTTGTTTTTCTCATGCAACACTTGGCATGTGAGATTCATCACTATGTGTAGTAGTAGTTTCTTCATTTTCCTGGCTGACTACAAAACTTTTTGAAACTATATGGGATTAGAAGAGTGAATTTCATATATACCCTAGTTCAGGAAACTGATCTCTGCCATCTCCTAGTGAGGAAACGTTATTCAGAATTACTTCTCTGATGAGAATTGTAGTGATTTTTAAAAATCTCAGTGGAGGGTTAAGGGGAAAATTATGTAAGTGGCTTCTATAATAGCCTCCAAAGTTATATATGTATCCAGGACTACTGCGAGTCCCTCTAAATGCAAGTGTCCCAAGTCAGAAAGGGTTTTCTTTCTTAGGAAGATGTGTTAAAAACAGAATGAGCAAAATATTGGGATTAGACAAAGCAAATAAATGAGCTCACAGGAACTTCTTTTATTCTGATTATTTATGGAGTATAGCTACAATTCAAAGGGATTTCTTAATTCATGAGAACATTAACTTCTTGATTGCTTAGAGCAAGCAGTACTACTCAAAGTAGCAAGGACCAAGTAGCTTTGGACCTTGGACTAACAGCATCAGTTTCACAAAAGAGCTTGTTAGAAATGCACATTCTCAGCCTTATTCCTGGGCCTACAGAATCAATATTTCTGAATATAGGGCCCAAATATCTTGGTTTCAATGAGCCCTGCAAGTGATTCTGATGCTGACTGAAATTTGAGAAACCTTGTTTAGGAGCAAGAGATGGTAGTGGTAAAAAGCTTGAGGGGGAAGGTGAGGGAGCTGAGAGCAGTGGCTCACGCCTGTAATCCCAGTGCTTTGGGAGGCCTAGGCAGGAGGATCACTTGAGGCCAAGAGTTCAAGACCAGCCTGGGCAACAGAGCAAGACCACATCTCTACAAAAAATAAAATATTGAAACAAAAATTTAGCTTGTTGTGGTGACAAACGCCTGTAGCCCTAGCTACTCAGGAGGTTGAGGCTGGAGGATCATTTGAGCATAGGAGTTTGAGATTGCAGTGAGCTATGATTGTACCACTGCACTCCAGCCTGAGCAACAGAGTGAGACCCTGTCTCTAAAAGAAATAAAAGTCAGTGTATGATCCTGGGCAAATTACTTAACTGTTTGAGACTCTGCTTTGTTACATAGAAAATTAGACTGTAATAGCAACCTCATAGGATTTCTATGAACTTTAGACAAAGACAATGCCCATGAAGTGCTCACCACAATGCTACCTAAGGAGTTCTTTTTTCTTGGGGGTCCACATTTGGCCTTTAGGATTTCCAAGAAATTCCTGATTAAACCATAGGTAGATAAAATGGGCCCAACTGGGCTGATCAGAGACTCTTTCCTAGGAGCTTGAAGAAAAAGATGTGAGAGTTTTAGTCTTCACTCCCCGCTTGACATGTGAATGTCAAGGGCATGTGAATAAGGAAGCCAGGGGCAGCTGTCTTCTGCCATATGGGCAGAGATGGAGATTCAGCAGGAGTGTTGAAAATCAAGAGAAGAATGAAGCGGAGGTGCAAAACTGAAGGAAAATGAGAGACCATATGGCCTCAGAGAGAGAGAGAGGAGAGACAGAGAATAGATACTCAATTTTTCAACCCAGACTCTTCAGAGGTCAGACTACAATTAACACCCCCTAAAATGCTCCTGTATCCTTATAGCCTCTTAATATTTCAGCTCATTTGAGGAGACACATGATAATTGTAACAAAAAACAAACCTTGACTAAGACAAAGTACAGCTTCAACATTGTCCCAGCAAAAGTCCCATTGCTACCACTGTCTAAACCAAGACCCTGGCAGCCAGGACAGTCTTACCCCATGCAGTGTTTCTGATGCTTTTATCTTCCTGTATCCACATCTTTAAAATAAAGCATCTTTGGGCAGCTGCAGTAATACTCACAGCAGGGAGAATATTTACATCTTCAACATAACCACCTGGAAGAATGAAAATGAAGATAAGATTGTCTTATAGCTCTTGGAGAAAAAGCTCATAATTTCCCTTTTTATGATAATAAGAGACATTTACTCCCTGGAGTCTAATAACAGCAAAGTGGCAGAAAAGCCTCATCATTAGGCTATCTTTTGATGAATTCATTTTGGTAGTATCAGGAAAAAAAATTCTTAAAGTTGCAGATCACATATAAAAGTAACAAGTATTCTTCATGAATCTATCTCCTATGTCTCCTTCATGCCCTCCCTACTCTGATTGACAGCTGGGGGAACAGAACACTTGAGCTCCTGGCTGGGCTTTGCAGAAGCTGGTTTTTAGCCAAACTTACAGGTAGATATTGATTACAACTATTTATCATGCATTGAAGGGATAATGGAGAGCACTCCCTCTCCACACCCCACCACCTGTGGGTTCCTTGAGAAAAAGGCTTAAGGCTCTATCGTTAGAATTCAGAAGAGTGTCTGGGTTATTCAAGAAGACCTGCTGACATCCAATGTTACTTCCTATCTCCTTGCAGTGATGGAAATAAAATATGAGTATTAAACTCTATAGGCACCACCAAAGAAGTTTAATTATACACATAAAAAGAAAGAATCTATATGATATTTGTAGAATCTCTCTAATAATGTTCTCTTTGTTTATGCTTATTTGCTGTTTAATGTTTATATTCAGAGAGGAACTTGCCCAGGAGCCTCAAATGAGATCCAAGAGTTATGATTGAATACCCACATTGCCTCACATTTCTGTTTCTGAGAAAGTCATTAAAAAGAGGGTGGGTGGGCCGTTAACCCTCTGTGCCCACCTGTTTATCCAAGTTACTCATAACTTAGGGTAGTAGTAGTGAGGAGAGAGGGCTTCTAAGAGTGCTCAGGCATTCAAAACAACAAGTTCATCAGAGGGCAGAGGTAGTGGCCATAGTATATCAATGATGATTTGCATTGTCTGGGAGCCAGGATAGATAAGCAATTTAAATAATTTTTTTGAAGTTTGATTGGTGTCTATCTTGTCTGTTTTTGTATGTCTCAAAATTGTGTTTAAAAGGATGAAAGTAAGGCTCATCCGTAAAGTGAAATTTAGTTTTATTAAGTTTTAAGGCATTTATTTATCTTCACATTCACTTGTCATACTATTTCAATAAAAAGCGTGTAGTTCAACATCTTCATTAATAATATAAATTAACAAATTGAGGTCAAGGAAGGTAAAGCAGCCTTGTCCAAACTAGCAAATGGCAGACCCAAACCCAGTCCTCTTCATCCTCAAGCTAATGTGCTTTATCCCTGGGTCAAAGTTTTACTTCAGAATACCCCCCGTTTTCTCCAAGATATGAGTAATACAGTTTTTAAAAATCCTGCAAATAGGATTTTTTAAGGGATTGAAATGCTCAGCAAGGGCTAAGATATTATAACACCAGGTACTTTCTTCATTATATCTGAATCATTCTCTAGATATAGGTTAAGCCCTGGAACAGCAAGTTTCCTTACTTCCAACACAGAAACAGGGCCATGCATCAGGAAGAAAAGCTGGAGGTAGCCCCAAGGGCCTTGATCATTACCCATCGGTCTGAAGCTACATTCATTAAAGGAATCATTAAAGGAATCATTTTATATCAAGCGGGTACCTATTTCTAAACTTTTTAGAAAAATTGCATATGTTTTAAAGTTAAATTTTTGCCCTTGGGAAAGGGTTTGTTCTGTTTCAAACAGGCAGTGTATACTCTTTTCATACATGTTTTTGTTTGTCTTTCTGGTTTCTCGGCATCCTTTGAGAATTTGACCCTGACTCTGACCCTGTGTGTTCTGGAGGGACGTCAATCATGGAATCCAGAGTCCCTGACCACAGCTTAGGTAAAGGACTGAAGATTTGACTTGATGACAATCAGAATCTCCCTCCAGAATTTTGAATCTTGGGGAGTCACATACATGAGGTGGCTGAGGATGAAAGACCTGATTGCAGAATCATGGAGAGACTACTTGTGAGTTCCTGCCATCAAGACCCCTCAGGATGCTTATCCATGTCTTTTCCAAAACCTAAACCTTAAGCTCTACCTTCAATTCCACAAATTGTCTAGTATCTTCTTACTTGTCTGTTGATTTATCTGCCTATTGCTTAAGTTACTGCAATGCATAGCTGTTGCTTGCAATCAAAGAACTCTAGCGTTACTCAATTACTGAGTAGGGATGTAATCCTGAGCAAGCAAGTTCCTTCCCCTCTTTGAACATCAATATTCTTATCTGCATAATGAGCATGATAAATTAGGTTGGATGTCTCTGTACGTAAATAGATGTGAGAATATAAAGGAGATGATCAACACATTTTTTTGAAAGAATCAGTATGTTAAGCTTTGTGCTAAGCCCAGGGAACCACAAAGATAAGTGAGACAGTGTGTTAAGATTCCATTCTGTTGTTCTGGGCATCTAACTTTTTATATAATTAGGATAGCAGCCAGTAATTGAAAACTTTCTCTATTGAAATAAGAAATTTTACCCTACAGTTGGACAGAAATGGTGGGAGACCACAAAAGGGCTCATAAAGGGAGATGTCTTGACTGTGAGTATCTGCTGCAAGCAAGCCCCTTGGCACCTATGAGCACCCTCTGACATCCCTGATGAAAGGATGAGCACATTGTTGCTGGCTTGCTGACTCTATAGTCAGTGATTCTTTTTCCCAAGAACAGCTCCTAGCACATATCTCAAAGCCTTGAGCCTTGACTGATCAATGCTTGGCTAAGCCAGGGCAGTCACTGGTGGTTTGGCACAGTTTTATTCTTGGCACTGACACCAATGATACCTTGCAGATTTCAAAGCTCTTACACACAGCTAGATACTTAGCCTGAATTCAGAAAATAAAGTAAGAAATGCTCCCTCATCACCTTTTCTATTCTTCTATGCAGACCCCAGGTAATAACCACTGTGAGTGTATAGTTGAAAATGTGGTTTATGGCCCAGAATCACCTCACCTGACATCCAGTTCTTTATGCACCGTCAGCCTTAAGAGGGGGAATATATAAGACTGAGCTTTTCTTCTGAATTAAAAAGAAAAATTAAGCTATATTGAACATCATATTTTACATACCTTTTCTTCTTTTAACTCACAAGAACCCAGTAATGTAAGCATTATTACTACAGTGTTTCAGTTGGGGAAACTGAGGCCTAGGATGTACAAAGAGGCAATACAAAGATTCAAATCCAGATTCCCTGATGCCAGCCTCTTGGCTTATCTTAACCATCACACACTCTGCCTCTTGCCTCTCTTCTTGGTAATGGGAAGGGGGTAAGGAGATAGCTAAATAATCTGATACAATATTAATAACTGTTCTTTTGTGCTGTTTGGCATCATTATGCAGGATCTGTAACTCATGACCCTGATAACATTCTCACCTGAGTATAGGCATAGAAATAATGTCCCCCTTAGCCTTCCATTTTCTATACCTTCCGATATTCAGCTGTCAGTTACCTACAATAACATTTTGAATTCCAGATGGTCTCACTCTAATATTTGGGGAATGTTGGAGCCGAATTTCTCTTGGATCCGATTTTCTCTCTTCCTCCTTTCATGCTAGGGTAGAAACTCCATTTAATATTGAACTGTGCAGGACCTAAATAGAATATCAAACCAGACACTCAGGCTAAATCTTATGCATTATAAAGTTGAACATATTTTGAGCAACTAATTCTCTGCTAGTCAGTTGTACTGGCAGAAAATATTCAATCACACCTCCAGGCTAGAATAAAATGAGTGTACAACTGAAGAAAGTCCACGAGAGTTATTATGATACTAGCTATTGAGTTTTCTTGAAGCCTTCTAATTTCCTCCTATTATAATAATTACCACTTAGAACCAACTATGTGCCAGGCACTGTGCAAAATTCTATACAAATACCATTGTACATATTCAAAAGAACAACAAGAGATAAATAATAGATACCTCTATTACCCTGAGAAAATTAGGACATAGAAATTTGCCCAAACAAATGGTGCAATCAGGACTTAAACCCAGGTGACTCCAAAGCCTATATTTCTAAGCACTGATCTAGATGACTTCTACTCTCCCAAGAAAGGAAGCATTACTAGTTTCATAAATCATTCCACCTATGTGCTCAGTGTCATGCACTTTACAAATATTCAGATAAATTCCACCTCCCTCACTCCCACTTATCAGTCAATAGAGGAAATGTATAAAAATATCCAGCCACATTTGTCAAACATGATCTGTTTTTCACCAACACAGTAGAGACTCAGTAGATTTCCACTGATATCAGCTGAGAAAATAATCAATTCTGCTGCAAACTCACCTTGCACATAATGTCATTCATTTGCCCTTGTAAATGATTTAATAGACTTTCTGGGGACTGAACTATTCATCCTATAAAAGGCCAACATTAAGAAATGTGAGAAAGTGCTAGAAAGGTTAGACTTTTCAAAAGTAAGTAGAATCTCCTTATGCCTGTGTGAAGTGGATGATTTAATTAATAGAGCAGGAATACTGGGAGCTTAAGTTAGACCTAGAATCCTCAGGGGCATGAATTCTTGAGTCAGCAAGAGAGAGTCAGTGCCTCAAGGCTGAGATATCAGTCAAACCTCTGTCCTCCACTTTTCTGGGGTATAAAGTGTTTGTTTGTTTTTTTTTTCTCTTTTCCCTATGCAACAACGCAGCAGCAGATCCAAAATAACTATCCCTAGTGTAGAGACCCATCAGCGATGCTAACTCCACTCATGACGTAGCTGCTCGATATTTGGTCAAAATTAGCTCTTTTTCATAGAATGTAGCTTAGATTTTCCTCCTATGCATTCGCTAAAAGCAAAAGTAACCACCTTAACACCTGTCATATAAAGAAGACATTTTATTTGCCTCAAACAAAATAATACTTATAATAGAAAAAAACAATCATAACAAAAATAAAGCAGCCAAAACCCAATAAGAGCAAAACCACTATGTGCTTTAGCCATGCTGGGTCCTGACTAGGATTGCTTTAAGCAAGTGTTGGTATCTCACCTTACATCATCCCCTTTTTCCTGTTAGTTGCTGTGTTGCTGAGTCTATTATTCAACTATCAAAAAGCCAAAAAGAGAAGTTATGAGGCAGTTTCTGATTACACAAATATCTAATGTCCGCATTGTCTCTGTTTATTCAGATTGCCAATGACTTTAGAATTTAGAAGCTATCATTCAAAATGACCTAGGATTAGGGCCTAGAAGACCATCATTTCCAAAGTATCCCTAAGAAGGGTACACTGGATAAGCTACAGAAGTCTGAGGGTGCAAGGAAAACTAAAAAGCTAAATTCCAGAAAATGGTAAGACCTTCCTAACAGAGGAAAACAATTACTTTAACCCTGGTAGTATTGGGGGAGGAAGGAAAATCTAGTAAAATGCTAATGAAGATAAACTAGGCTAACTTTCAATAAATTTTTAATGACTGGATGCAAGCATCATGAGAGATTATAATCCCAAGAAGCCTCAAACACAGAGAAACTTTGCACCGATTCTCCATTTCTTTCCCAGAGGCTTTTTCTGGGTGCTCGAGTGTGTTATTCTGATGAATAACAGCAGTGCAGGAGAACTAAGAGAAAGTCATCCAGGTGATCTCAGGTTTTCAACAAGTTGGTTCTCCAACTTTCAGTGGTGCTCCAAAGGCTGAATGTGGGGCAGGAGGACTAAGAGAAATTCCATAAAGTTTATGCTTTAATCAAGCATAAACATTTCCTTTTATTTTTCAACTCTCTCTCTATTATGTATATACATAAAACACTAAACTGTATATTACATATTTTACATAACATATATATTATCATATACAACTTAAAAAGTCCTGGCTGATAAGGAAGATATTTTTAAGACATGTGAATGTGGTAGGAAATAAATTTCTAAACAGCACCCAAATTCAAAATGCCAGGAGAGGCTCTGAGACAGAGATCCCAGAAGTCTTACCAGTACTCACATCTCAAGTCCTTGTGAAGTTAAAATTTTTCAGGTGAACTGAATCAAACTAATGCTTCATCAAAGCTAAAACTAGATTAGATTGACTCAGCTCCCAACACATTAGCCTCACAGAATAAGGAACATGTCATTTTCTGGAGGCAAATATTGCTTACTTATGTCTCACCTGATCTTTTGCACGTAGTACATAAGACACAGTAAAAAAAAAAAAAAGAGAGAGAGAGAGACACTGAAGAAGGAAGAACATGTGACCCATGGTCAATATAAGAAATAATCAATAGAGACATACAGTAGTATAACATAGAAAATTTAAAGAATGATAAAATGTAGGTTAAAAACTAGAATAAATGACGGACAAGATGTGTGAACAGATGGGGAATTTCAGCAAAGTAATAGAAACAATAAAAAAAATTCAATTTCTTCGTCTTTCAAATGAAGATGCCCAAAGTTATTAAGTAATTTGCCTGAGGTCACATAACTAATCAGAAATATAACCAAAACTTTAAAAAAATCCATTTTTCCCAGATGATCTGCCTCCTCTCACACCTCAGCCTCCTGTTTTTCCATCTGTATTTTCTTTCAAGACCTTGTTTCTTCCTATAATAGGGAGCAGAACCCATCCAATCATCTTTTGGAGAGATGAAGAAACTGGGCTTTCCTGAAGCCATCTGACCTACTGTACCTGTTCATTTCAGCTGAGGAGCTGTCACACTACTAAGTTCTGAAATGGAAATCATGCTGTAGGTCATATACCAAGGTTTACATAGGAAAAGTCTCATTTCCTTTATCTCTACTAATTTTATTAATGATAAGGCTACTGGTGACCTAGAATAGGAAGCATGAGTCTTTACTCCCGTTCCAGGCTCAAAACCCAGCATAGCAGGTCCAAGCTGTGATGGAAAAATCTGTAGGCCCATGACTCATTTGCTCTTCAGAGGGGAGCCCCCAATTTTCCTCTGAAAAATCTCCCTTATCCTACTTACAGTCCAAAATGTTTATATAGTATTGGTTTCATCTCAACTCCAGCTTCTATGGGGGACAAGTTATTAATTTGGCTTGTGTGAGCATTTCATTGCCTCCTTACTCACCCAACTACTACGGTTGGATCAAGAATGAGTCCATACCCAATATGAGCCTTTGAGACACAATCTGGGTTTTATTACTAGGACTTGTGTATTTTGTTGAAAAATAGAGGCATAGTTCCTCTTTTTGCTAAACCTGGACACGTAGAAATATAAGGTCTCAGTTTCCATGAGCTGTATGTAGAAGAATTTTACTTGAGAGTGATACTAACAGAAAGGGAAGATAAGGCTAGAGGAAAAGAAAGAAAGTCCCTGTTACTTGGTAGCACTGCTGAATCAAGCATAAACATTTCCTTTTATTTTTAAACTCTCTCTCTATATATAATATATATATATATAAAAAACATTAAACTATGTTACTTATTATTTTTTTACATAAAGTGTATATTGTATACAGTTTAAAAAGTCCCAGCTAAGCAAGCCACATGTAGACGAATGAAACTGGGTCCCCATCCCTCACCTTATAGAAAAATCAACTCAAGATGGATAAAAGACTTAAATCTAAGACCTGAAACCATAAAAATTCTAGAAGATAACATTGGAAAAACTCTTCTAGGCATTGACTTAGGCAAAGAATTCATGATTAAGAACGCAAAAGCAAATGCAACAAAAACAAAAATAAATAGATGGGACGTAATTAAACTAAAAAGCTTCTGCACAGCAAAAGAGATAACCAACAGAGGAGTTAACAGAGAACTCCGGAGTGGGAGAAAATATTCTCAAACTATGCATCTGAAAAAGAACTAATATCCATAATCTACAGGTAACTCAAACAATTCAGAAGGCGAAGACAAATAATTCTATCAAAAAGTGGGCAAAGGAATGAATAGACAATTTTCAAAATAAGATATATAAACAACCAAAAAACATATGAAAAAAATGCTCAATATCACTAATGATCAGGAAAATGCAAATTAAAACCACAATGAGATACGACCTTACTCCTGCAAGAGTGACCATAATTAAAAAGTGAAAAAACAATAGATGCTGGCATGAATTTGTTGAAAAGGGAACACTTTTACACTGCTGGTGGGAATGTAAATTAGTACAACCACTATGGAAAACAGTATGGAGATTCCTTAAAGAACTAAAAGTAGAACTACCATTCAATGTAGCAGTCCCACTACTAGATATCTACCCAAAGGAAAAGAAGTCATTATATGAAAAAGACACATGCACACACGTTTATAGTGGCACAATTTGCAATTGTATAAATGTGGAACCAATCTAAGTTCCCATCGGCCAAGTGGATAAAGAAAATGTTGTATATATACACCATGGAATACTACTCAGCCATAAAAAGAAATGGAATAATGTCTTTTGCAGCAACTTGGATGGAGCTGGAGGCCATTATTCTAAGTGAAGTAACTCAGGAATAAAAAACTAAATACCATATGTTCTAAGTGGGAGGTAAGCTATAAGGATGCAAAGGCATAAGAATGTTATAATGGACTTTGAGGACTTAAGGGGGAAGGGTAGGAGGTAGGTGAGGGATAAAAGACTACATATTGGAGCAAGAAGCAGCTTCTCCACTCCTACTGGAATTTCTGCCTGGTTCAGCCCGCTCAGCTCCTCGAACTTCTCTTAAGTGGGCAGCAGCAGCTTCCGAGGTGGCCTGGGTGGAGGCTATGGTGGGACCAGCGGTGTGGGAGGCATCACCACCGTCCCGGTCAACCAAAGCCTGCTGAGCCCCCTTAACCTGGAGGTGGACCCCAATATCCAGGCCATGCGCACCCAGGAGGAGCAGATCAAGACCCTCAACAAGTTTGCCTCCTTCGTCGACAAGGTAAGGTCCCTAGAGCAGCAGAACAAGATGCTGGAGACCAAGTGGAGCCTCCTGCAGCAGCAGCAGACGGCTCGGAGCAACATGGACAACATGTTTGAGAGCTACGTCAACAACCTTAGGTGGCAGCTGGAGACTGGGCCAGGAGAAGCTGAAGCTGGAGGCGGAGCTTGGCAACATGCAGCCGCTGGTGGAGGACTTCAAGAACAAGTATGAGGATGAGATCAATAAGCGTACAGAGATGGAGAATGAATTTGTCCTCATCAAGAAGGATGCAGATGAAGCTTCCATGAACAAGGTAGAGCTAGGGTCTCGCCTGGAAGGGCTGACTGACGAGATCAACTTCCTCATGCAGCTATATGAAGAGGAGATCCGGGAGCTGCAGTCCCAGATCTCAGACACGTCTGTGGTGCTGTCCATGGACAACAGCTGCTCCCTGGACATGGACAGCATCATTGCTGAGGTCAAGGCACAGTAGGAGGAGATCGCCAACTGCAGCCGGGCTGAGGCCGAGAGCATGTACCAGATCAAGTATGAGGAGCTGCAGACGCTGGCTGGGAAGCACGGGGATGACCGGCGGCGCACAGACTGAGATCTCCTAGATATACGGGAACATCAGCCAGCTCCAGGCTCATGTTGACCAGAGGGCTTCCCTGGAGGCCGCCATCACAGATGCCGAGCTGCACGGGGATTTGGTGGTTAAGGATGCCAACGCCAAGCTGTCCGAGCTGGAGGCCGCCCTGCAGCGGGCCAAGCAGGACATGGCGTGGCAGCTGCGTGAATACCAGGAGCTGATGAACGTCAAGCTGGCCCTGGACATAGAGATCGCCACCTACAGGAAGCTGCTGGAGGGCAAGGAGAGCCGGCTGGAGTCTGGGATGCAGAACAGGAGTATCCATAGAAGACCACCAGTGGCGGTGGAGGTGTGCTGAGCTCAGCCTATGGGGGTCTCACAAGCCCGGTCTCAGCTATGGCCTGGGCTCTAGCTTTGGCTCTGGCGCGGGGTCCCCCTCCTTCAGCCGCACCAGTTCCGCCAGGGCCGTGGTCGTGAAGATGATTGAGACCTGCGATGGGAAGCTGGTGTCCGAGTCCTCTGACATCCAGCCAAAGTGAAAAGCTGTGGCAGCCCCTCTCAGCCTGCCCCTCCTGCGGCTGCCCCATAGCCCATAAGGGAGGCTGCTGTGCAGGGGAGCACAGGGAACAGAAGACCCACCTCAGGCTCAGCCCCAGCCCTCAGCCCAGTCAATGCATACACAGGCTTCCCAGTAACCTAGGCTGGCCCCCGAAAAGGAGCTGGACTAACTGGATTCTTGCTCTTGATAATTTGAATTTTAAAACTCATAAGAAATGAGGTGATTGGCAACAGGAACTGAAGCTTAAAGTATTAAATAGATTTTTTTAAAATATGAGAGTATGAGATAGATTTAATCTTCTGAGACAGAGTTAAGATGCAAGAGGTCATGGCAATCCCAAGTTATGAAGAAGCAGAGTCCATAAGGAAGAAGAAGTCATAGTCTGAATAGAAAACTTTCAGGGAAGAAGGAGGGAATAGGCAAGTCAAGAGTGAGAGAAGAGAAGAAAATTAGTAAAAGCAATAGAAGACCGTGTGTGGGCCATGAGACAGAAAGAAAGACTGAAAAAGAAATAAGGTCTGAGATAATACTAAGCATCTCACTAGATCTAGCTTGTCTCCAGCAGCTCATGTTTTTGGGTTCTGGTAGTGGCTAACGGCACTGGCTTTTATATCTGTAGTTCTATAATTCCATCTCAGTTCCTTTACCTACTAGCTATATAATCTTGAGCTGGACATTTACTAAAATTGCTATTTTTCTCACCTGTAAAAATGGGATAATACTACTAGCTTCATTGGACTATTAGGAGGATAAACTGATCTATGTAAGGGTCTTGGCATCATGATTGGCACATGGTGTGCACTCAATAAATGGTAGCTATTTTTATTCATACTATTGTTTTTATTATTCATTTAAATATATGTTAACATTTTCATTCACGATGATGAATGAAAACAAAACCTCTGCATCATGGAAGCAAAACAAAGCATCTTATCCATGGAGGTTACGTGTAATCTTTCCTATTGCATTTATTACCTTCACAAAAATCCTTATGACAGCTTGCTATTCACTTTATTTGAATTGTCTTAATTAAGACTCTATTTCTCATATCCAAAAATGCATAGTCAAAGCCAGCAGCCTGGTAGAGTGGAGAAGATAAAGAATTCAGAGTCATGCCTTTGAATCTAAAGTGTCTTCTTTTGACTTACATGCAGCCAATAAGCATATGAATAAAAAAAAAGCTCGCATCACTGATCATTAGGGAAATGCAAATAAAAAGCACAATGAGATACTATCTCACACAAGTCAAAATGGCTATTATTAAAAAGTCAAAAAATAAGAGATGCAGGCGAGGTTGCAGGCAAAAAGGAACACTTATACACTGTTAGTGGGAGTGTAAATTACTTCAACCCTTGTGGAAAACAGTGTGGTGATTTCTCAAAGACCTAAAAACAGAAATACCATTTGACTCAGCAATCCCATTACTGGGTGTACACCCAAAGGAACATAAATCATTCTATCAAAAATACACATGCATACATATGTTCATGACCACACTATTCACAATAGCAAAGACATGAAATCAATCTAAATGCCCATCAATGGTGGACTGAATAAAGAAAATGTGGTAAAGATAGCCATGGAATACTAAGCAGCCACACCAAAGAATAAGATCATGTCTTTTGTGGGAATATGGATGAAGCTGGAGGCTTTTGTCCTTAGCAAACTAACGCAGAAACAGAAAAGCAAATACAGCATGGTCTCACTTATAAGTGGGAGCTAAATGATGAGAGCACATGGACACATTGGGGGTGGTAACAACACACAGTGGGGCCTACTGGAGGGTGGAGGGTGGAAGGAGGGAGAGGATCAGGAAAAATAACTAATGGGTACTAGGCTTAATACATGGATGACAAAATAATCTGTACAACGAACCCCAATGACATGAGGTTACCTATATAACAAACATGCACATGTACCCCCCTGAACTTAAAAGTTAAATAAATTAATTGATTATCTTCTTTTGAAACATTTCTCAAACTTTCCATGCCACAATTTGCACACCTGGGAAATAAATAAAGTACATGAAAAATAACATAGATTATGGAAATCTTTTTTGAGATCATTAGAAGAAAAATACTAAATGGAGTCATCAAGGCATTATATTTATTTGTTCATAACACTATGAGCATTATTTCTATCATCCATGATTAAAAATTCTAAAGCATTCATATTTAAGAAAATATGTATACCATAGTGGTGGGGCTGAGAATTCAAAAATATTACTTTTACTAATAACCTCAGTTAAGAAGTCAGACAGCCAGGCATTGAGCCATCAGCAGAATATATTCCAAGTTAGGTATTTAGACAAAGAAATCTGATGTTCCATGTACTCAAAATTTATTTTCCTCTTATTATTTTTGATGAGCTGATGAAAATAAAAGGTTGTGTCCCTGCCATTTTTCAGTCATTGAAAAATTGTGACTCAGAGATCTTAAGATCCAAAGAGAATTGTGCATATGGTGATCTTTCAGCCTTCTATTCCATTTCATTAATTTATGTCTGGAAAAAAATGAATGAGAAATCAATGGCAAAGTCTAGACTGAATTCCAACAGCAGTCATAATTGTGAAAAATAATGGGCTGGGCTATTACTGTTTTATAACCATACATCAACAAAGCTCAGTAAAGAAGCATGTCAGTCATGAAGTTCACTACACGGAAGAGCCTCTGAGACTTAAAGGGAGCCCCCAATGCCCACATACTCAATAGACTACAAGGCATCGTTTCCCAGTGGAGACAAGCATCAGACGTGGGATCAGAAGAACTCAGTTTGATTCTTGGTGTTACCCTTTCTCTTCCTGATTTTATAAAATTCACATCACCCACTGAACCTCCACCTTTTCATATAGGGTGAAGATAGGGATACCTTCCTTGCTGTGAGGTTCAAAATCAAAATGAGAATGTAAACATGTCTGAAAAACAGTAATTATGTAATGAGTATATGTTGAATGAACTAGGCTGTAAATGAATTGGAAAATACTATTAAAAATATTTGAGAGAGCTGAAATTTCAATAAGAGATTTCAAAAATAGAGCTAAAACATCTATATTTCAGCCATGGTATTAATTACCTATTGGGATTGATACAAATTCCCTAACTACTGTGCCTCGATTTCCCATATGAACAACAGGAAGAAATGACAGGCCCTGGTTATATTGTAACACACAGATACACAGACACACACGATAACCAAATTAGTGCTAAATTTCATTTAAAATTCCCATATTCAGTCATTCAGTCAGCCATTCAACAAATATTTCTCTATCTTCTACTACATAGTTATCTTCTACTATGTGCCCAGCACTGTGCTAGTCACAAAGGGCAAAGCAAAGCACAAGACTCAATGTCTGCTTCTCTTAGAGTTTACATTGCAGTGTATTTGAACAAATAATTTGAAGACCACCTGATAAGTGGTGACTAGGAAAGTACATGAGTTGTGCGTTATTGCACAGAGAACCCTCACCCTCCTATTTATATTACCATGAGAATCCCACAAACCTAAACATTTCAGTGCTTTGGCTTTTGTAGGTAAGAGTTAAACCTATTGTGAGAGCCTAGCGGTCTCCTTGAGCTGAGTTGTCTGCGGGGAATGAGAGTCAGAAGTGACATCTGTCAACGCAGATGACACTGGCTGTCAGAAACAATTGCATCTTTAAGAAAGGATGAAGAAAATTCTCCTGCATGCTCCCAAGTGGGTGTGCCAGGTGTAATTGTTATGCAAGAGGGGACTTTTCAAATCAGCAGCTAAACCAGAGCTCAGAACAGCCTGGAAAGAAGCAACCCATCGTCAGGTGGCTGGCAAGCCTCCCTTTTGGAAGCATGCATATTCCTCCCCAGAAAGGAAATGCACCTTATTTGTATCCAGTAGTGCATAGATCTTTTTAAAAAATGTATGTATAGAATTCTGTTTTTTTTTTTTCCTGCCTACAATTTATCAACCCCATCTTTAGTAAAAGTACTCCAACTGTCTCTAGGAAATCCCTTTCCTCATACTAGCACGATGTGATTTTGCAAGAAATGGGGCACAGTCCTGGCTTCTGGAACACCCCATCCTCTTGACTCCATGAATGCTTATAGGGATGTAACAGAGACCAAGACAATTGATTCAATCAAACTTAACCCTAGTACTGTACCTTGAAAAACTAAGAAATAAGGTATTCCAATTCTGAACTTAAAACTGAATCTAAGACTGAACTCATTTGCAACCATCCTGACATCCCATTAGGACAATCATCTAAGAATGGAGCTAACAAAGAACAAAAGGCAGTCAAGAGATAAAGGCAGGTTGCTGGATCCTGATGAAATAAATTTTAGCTTGGAGCTAGCTCATGATGCTTAAAGCTGAACCAATTTTTTTTTTTTTCAAATGAGTTTGAATTGGATTTTCTGTTACATACATTTGTGAAAATTTTGATAGCTACTTATGGCACATATCTAATCATGACTAGGGCAAATGCTTTGGATTACTGGATAGCTTGAATTGTTTTATTCATCTCCTTTCTATATCATCACCATTTATGAAATAGCAGAATTCATACCTAGAGTGGTATAATTCTACAGCCCGGATATGTAACCATTCTGTTAAACTTGCCTTCCCGTAAACTAACTTCATTAGTCATTCCACCCAAGGACATTTGAGTTTTAAAAGATGACATTTAGTTAGGAATTAAATATCCCAATGCATTCTCTTAACATTATTTGTCAGATGATTGAAATGTCTTCCTTTTCTCTCTTCTTGTTTATTGCTAAATTGAAATATATTTGAACAATCTTAAGAGAAACATTATAAAATGGTTTTCTAAATTGTACTACAGCCAGAACTTCTCTTCTCCTCTTGTACTTCAGGCCAAATATTTACAAAAAGGCTAGATTTTTGACAGTTTAATAATCATATTACTAATTGACCATTCACTTCTACTTTAACGTGAATGGATTTTCATAAAAGCAGGTAGTGCTAAAATACCTAGGGGGTTGAAGAAGTCTCTGACTCTACTTGGGACTGGCTGGAGCCCTCTATCTCTATGCCAGTCAAAAAATTGATCAGTGAGAGCTTTCGGACTGCCCATAATGGCTATAGCATGACATATGGTTTAAACACAGAGACTTTGAGGTTAGACCGTCCTTAGCTCAAATACCTGCTCAGAAAACTAATAATAATAGAACCTGGACAAGTTACTTAACCCTCCTAAGCTTCAATGTCCTCATCAGTAAAATAGTGATAATCATAGGGGCTATCACATGGGATGTTGGGAAGATAAAATGAGAAAATATAGGTAAAGAGCTTAGGAACAAAGGAAGGGCTCAATGAAACTTTAACCAACATTAAAATACACAAGAGGCTGCCCTCTTAGTGTAGCCAGCAGTGCATCAGTCTCATAAGACATGTAATCTATGCTTACGGCCTTTAAAGAGTCTCACTTCACCACAGTCACACATTTCATCACATGTGATTATTTTGAAAAGATAAGAAGGCTCTAAGCCCTGACTTCGATGGCCCATTTGCTGTGAATCTGAGACTGGAACCTTTATCTCTGAGCTCAGAGTTTATCATCTGTCTCTGTGCTGTAGCAGCTCCACAACAGGACTCTTTTACAGTCAGAGAAAGTGCAGACTCCTCCAATATTTTCATATGTAAAAATATAAGAAATGCCAATGTATAATTTTAAGTAGTGATGTGCATATGAGTATGTATAATTTTTAGATTAACAATTCACAGTGTACTTCGGGCTATGTGGTTCAGTGCTGGGACAACTAGCGCAAAATTGATAAATGAGCCTCCCTTTTGATCTTGAAACTGTACGTCTGTGACTATAAGATAACCTTAGTTCCACACAATCTCAAATGACCAAGTTTCAGATCCTTCATGAACGTGAACCCCAGGTACCATGGCTTTTCCCCCAACTTCACTTCCCTTACCCACCCCATGCTAGTTCCATATCACCAGAAACAGAAATTTGGGTAAAGGAAAGATATTGTTGCATCACAAATTAACTGTTTATTAACCAAATATACAAAACCCTATATTTTTTCTCTTTTCTTCCTTTAAAAACTGTTGTGTTATGTAACATTCAAAATAGAGCAAAAGGTATGAAATATAAAACACAAAGAAAACTGTATACTTATCCTTTGGCATAAGAAATAAAACATCACTAATATACTCGAAGCTTCCTTTCATTACATTTTCTTCAAGTGGGTCTACCTGAGTTGTGGAGAAACAGAAGGCATAGTAGGGGGGCATTTCATTCATTCCTTCAAAATTATTTAATCCACAGAGAAAACATCTGCATATGAAGAGAGATAAAGGTTTTGTCTAATACTGCTGGGGCCCCCAAGGCTTCCTGGCTCTACAAATCACACTGTCTTCTCCAGATCTCCCTCTTTTCCCTGTGGCTGAGTAAACACCCAGAGCTGCCTTCCACCCCCACTCAGAGAATGCAGCCTGAAACACTGCAGTACGAAGTATTGATCCTATGGCAATCATCTCTCAAGCTGAGACAGATCCTAGTAGGACTGCCTGAAAATGACAAATCATCAAATAATAGGACTGGAACTAGAGTTTAGGTGCCATCTAGATCCAAAATTCTATCCATAAATCCCTTAAGTTCCTTTCAGGTTTTTCAAAAATCCCAGTGTGTCAGCTACTATTACAAAAACAACTTTAGCCTGGGAGATTAACCTGAAAAAGCATATCTTCGGGCTGGATTCATCATGATCCCCATCTCTGGCTATCAGGAATGACTATAATTCATTAGATATTGAAGTTGCCTGACAAGTCCTTAGTCACACTCTTAAGCTTTTGTCTCAGCTGGTGGATGAGAAATGAGTACAAACCTAGGGTTCAGGGTGAGTGCTTAAATCAGTGTAACCATAGCATTTTTTTGTTCTTTTTTTTTTTTTTTTTTTTTGAGATGCCACTCTGCGGTTTCTAGGTCCTGGTGGGTGGACAACCTTATTTACCGAGAACCCACTAAGAACAGTTTACTCAGTGCTATCTGACATACCAAAATAAATGGAGAACTTTGTTAATCTTTTTTTTAAATTTGTAGCCACAGAGTTTTAAGCCTCTTCAGTTGGCCTTGGAAATTGTGCAATAACATCTGTGAAATCAGTTTATGGACTCAATGTGTCTATGCTAATGCAAGGGATTTTCCCTGTTATCGAAGGCCATTTTTGTTGACTTCTGTGTAACAAATCCTCTCTGATCATGCTATGCAAACATCCTGTGGCCAAAAAAAGTAGGAGAGTGGTCAGATTTGTGAGCCCTGGGGAAGCCAATGAAGCGAAAATGTGTCTCCCAGGATATAAGTTTCCGAAAAGGCCACCTAAAGTACAATTATCAAGTGTGCCTGTGCCTTGCTGAAAGTATCTAAGGGCAGTATATATCGCAAAAAGAAATAGTAAACTCCTTTTGTGATGATTTGCCTATGAATTCATTTCTTTTTAGTAAACAACTGGCTCTTTGTAAAGATGCTTAAGACTATCACACTTCATTAACATCTGGCCCCTTCAATTTGACATTTGTTTAACACCTACTATGTCCCTATCATGACGCTAGGCACTACAGGCAACGCAGCTATGAAACACACATTTCTCAAAGTCAAAGAAACAAGTTACACTCTAATAGTTACATCCTAAACCAAGAATACAAATGCCTATAATTCAAAAAGGGATGTCCCAAATGCGATTAGGGGTTCAAAAGATGAAGAGATAGATCATGCAGTTGATGGCTTCAGGGGAAAATTTAAAAAGCTTAATGAAGGACCTTTATGTAACATAGACTTTGAAGGATGGATAGAATATTGACAGACGAGGAAGAGAGACATTCTAATCAGAGCAAAAACCATGAGCAAGATGCAGAGATTTGACATGTGGGATACTTCCAAGAAAAAGCAAATAATCCATTTTAATTAAATCACAGGCTATTCACTGGGAAGAAATGGAAAATAATGACAACATCAAGAAAACAACAGTAATAGAATAATAATGACAGGAATCACTGTAGCTAACATTTATTGTGTGAGGCATGGTTTTAAGTTCTTTTTATTTAGTAATACATAATCATAGAATATATGAGAAAATAAGTACATTTGTAAATTGTGTAGATGTAGATGTGTCCTTTCTTGGTGTCAATTTGTCAGTATGAATAGACAAAAAACTCCCACATTCATATATGCATTTAGACCCACCAGTCCCACGTAAAGAAATTTGCTCTAAGGTAATAGTCATCCAAGTGCAGAGAGATATATATACAAGAATGTTCACTATGATATTGTGTATAAAATAAAAAAATTGTAATCCTAATTGCCCAACAATAGACAATGGTGACATCAAACTTCAAAAACTTTCAAAATATATGGTTGAGTCAAACAGAAGATTTATTCATCTGTTTGTTTAACATAATACCAAGTTATAAAACATATTTCCTATTTGTATATCAAATGGGAAAAAATTCTGGAGGAAAATAAGCAATAATTCTAAAACAATTATATATGGGTATTTTATATAAGTTGGATATTTTGTTCATCTTTATTTTCTCATTTTTCTTCAGTAATTGTGTATTGCTTTTCTAACAAAATAAGATTAAAAGTATGTAAAGAAAATAACTAGATAAAATATGAACTTAGGCTATTGAGCAGCTAGATCTCACTCTGTATGTTTCCCTGAAATCACTAGTAGCTTATCCAAATGATCTTAGGGCTTCATTGGATTTGTGGACCTGGATGGCAAGGGACAAGGAGCACTTAGACTTTTAACTTAATAGCAGGGAACCTGAACCAATACATCAGGTGAACTACAGCCTTTGGCATTCTTGAAACTCTGTGAGTTCCATGTGTAGGTGATGCAAAGATTCGATGGGAGGTGTAGGGGGATGGTCACCAAATAATTTTGATAAAATCTGAAAACTGAGAAGAATTTTGGAAGGATGGTAGATTAACAAAAAGACTTTCAGATTGGTGAGAAAATGGTAATCTACAGAAGAAAAAACATGTAAGGACCTGGGGGTGCTCATTGTTTGACATGGACTGTTTTCATTTATTTCTTACCCAAACTGAATGAACTAGATACTATTATCCCAATCTTGGAGGTGAGAAAACTGACTTTGATTATATCACGTTCCCAAGGTCACCCAACAGTAGGCATTGACGTTTGCGAAGGATCCTGGCAAGAAGAAATGTCAGAGAAACAGACTGCAGTTCTGTATAGGGAAGAACAAGTACGAAATGGGTCTCTGCTGTGCATAGCGAGCTCCACACCATTGGAGGCAAGCAAGCACAGCTTAGGTGCCTAGCAGGCAGTGATTCAGAGGAGACCATGTCACTGCTGGTGGTTGCATCATTTGAACATACAGTGCCGTACAACCCTAAGAATCCTATATAGCCTTCTAGCCAGGAAATAAAACTAGGTCTTCTCATCTTAACATTCAGGCAAAAAGAATTCAGAACCTCCCTCAGGGGCCTGAGAGTCTTAGAACTGACAAAGGAACATTTTCCACAAATTTCCCCTTTATCCCCACTACTGTAATCTTCTTTCTCTTTCTTTTTCTTTTCCCTTATTGTCCCTTGTCCAAATTGCTTTATTTCATATCTGATTATCTTACTCTCCTCCCACTGCTGTGTCTCTTGTTCTGCAAGAGACATACTCTAAGATGATTTCATTTTTCTCTTCTCACTAGTCTTTTGAGATACTTTTAACCAATACATATTAGCAAGGATACAGAAAACAGTATACAATGGAAGAAATAATGTCATAAAACACTATTAGAATCTGTTCAGAGCTTTTTTTTTTCATAGGACTCAAAGCCGAGTTCTGTTATTTTCTCCCAGCCAACGTCCTGGAAGCCATTTTGCAACACTATAGCAGGAATGGTAATCAGAGGCCTAATGTGATCTTACAGATTAAAAAAAAGACTAATGGGTAACTGGGACCCATGAAGAAGTACAGCAACTCACAATCTTCTCTCAGATCTTCTCCATAGAAACAAGAGTTCAGGGTGGTCCTACTCCATTTGTTCATTTATTCATTAAGCATCACATGGCCATCTATCATGTATGTAGCAGATTCTCTGCCAAAGAAACAGAGATAAGTAAGACTTGGAAGAACAAAACTGAACAGAGAGGTTGGAGAAGAATGGCCTCCAGTAATAAATTTATAAATGAATAAATCTCACAAGTAGAAAAGTTGGAGTTTGTGGCAAATTTTGAACAGTCATAACATGAATGTGTTCAATCCTTCCAGTGATCCAAGGAAAATATTAATCCCCATTTACAGATGAATTAAGTGAGATTCCAAGAGGTAAAAAAAAAAAAAAAACAATCACAAGGCCACACATCCCAGAAGCACAAGGACCTAGATTAGAATCTATCCCCAAATTCTAGGCTGTTTACACTACAGGTGAGATGAAATGAAAGAGAATTTCCTTCACACTTAAGGGAAATTTGTTTTCTTTTCATCGCTTCAGAAAGGTATATTTTATTAGTAATGCCCCATTTGATGCCTTGAGTAAGCAGAAAAGCAAGATGAGAAATAAAGGGCCATACACAGTGGCTCACACCTTTAATCCCAGCACTTTGGGAGGTTGAGGCGGAGGATTGCTTGAGGCTAGGAGTTTGAGACCAGCCTGGGCAACATTGTGAGGCTCCATCTCGACAACAACAACAACAACAAAATACATTAAATATTAGCAATGAGCAGTGGCTGGGAATAGCCTATAGTTTCAGCTACTTGGAAGGCTGAGGCAGGAGGATCACTTGAGTCCAGGAGTTTGAGGCTGCAGTAAGCCATGATCACGCCACTGCACTCCAGCCTAGGTGACAGAGTGAGACCCTGCCTCTGAAAAAAAAAAAAAAAAAAAGAAAGAAAGAAAAAATACTTAAAGAAAAAAAGAGAGAACTAAAGACAGGATGGAGAGTCAAACAGAAAGTGAAGAGAGCATGAATCGCTCCTGTTTTCGTTTTCCCAAACCCTTCCACCGTGTGCAGTGCTACACGGTGGCACTCCATGCTCATGGTCTCTCTGCTCATGTTGTCTTTTTTATCTTCCTAGAATATTCTTCCTATGCATTTTCATCCTGTTAATGGAGGAAAATCCTGATTAAAACTCTGATTTTAGTCAAATCATCACTTAGATTATACCCGATTGTTTTAGTTCATAGTGACACTATTTTCTGAACCAAAGTTCTAGTACACGCTGTTCAATCCTGCCATTCAAACCACCTTAAACTTATACACAAACATAGCATGTCTCAACTCAATCTGAATAACTCAGAAA
This sequence comes from Homo sapiens, assembly GCF_000001405.40. Classification (NCBI taxonomy): domain Eukaryota; kingdom Metazoa; phylum Chordata; class Mammalia; order Primates; family Hominidae; genus Homo; species Homo sapiens. The sequence goes on along the minus strand of NC_000003.12, from coordinate 63,085,083 downwards.
ATAGACACCTTGGTTTTTCATGTTTTTAATTATTTCCCATTTTGTAGCAAAGTCCTGGGCAAAGTGATTTGTAATATCTATATCTATATCTATCTACTATCTATCTATCCAGTTGCAGGCTTGTTCAACCAAAGTTTGTCTCCAAAGGCACTTGCTATGATTGGTTTCAGGAAACAAACTATTCCCTTTGCACTAGTTAGTTTTTTCTCATTATGTTGAGATAATTTTCATTATAGTACTTATGAAAGTCTAACATTATAGCATTTATTTTGTACTTTATTGTCGGTTCCCCACAAGCCAATAGAACAGACATTCAAGACAGTGGGAAACTTGCCATTTTTTACTGTTGTATTTCCAGTGCCTGGAACTGCCTCTGGCACCATAGTACATGCTCAATAAATATTTACCAGATGCTGAATACAAAATATGTAACATCTGCCAATTTCAAATAAGCTAATAGAATCTGGTATAAGGAAGTAACTGGCATTTCACAGGCGGAAAAATTTTGAGGCCAATAAAAAGGTAATCAATCTCAACTGGAATGAAGAAAATGTCTGTATTACTAGTACTATACACCCTGTCCCTACTCTGCTCATAGATGGGGACTATTTCTCACCACATCTCCCCATCTGAAGATGGAGCTTGTTCTAAAAGAGTGATCCTCCCATGTGAGAGTTCTTAAGAGAATCTGACTCAGGAGGCCCAGGAAAGTATGTTTTAACAAGCACCTTAGATGACTCTGGCTCTGGCCATTCAAGGATCTCTCTTTGGGAAGCACAGTTAACTGACATACTGCTCTTAACTATAACTAAGCATATTAATTGGGCAGGGTCAGAGGAAAGGTACTTGTTAAAAACAGAGATTCCTGACTACTGTTGCTTCTTGTCATAGGTGCTCATTAAAGATCTTTTTTCCCATGAGCTTTTTAAGGATCAATTTTATAATGATTTTTTTTTCCGCCTAGGGAAGCCAAAAGTCTAGTGAGATTATAAGAAAACAGCTCTAGTTAGCAAACCTTCCTGCTTCATCTTCACAAACATAAATACTACTTAAATACTGCAAATAAAATTAAATACCTAGGAATTAACCAAAGAAGTGAAAGATTTGTGTAATGAAAACTATAGAACACTGATGAAAGAAATTGAAGAGGACACTAAGAAATGGAAAAATATTCTATGTTCATGGATTGGAAAAATCAATATTGTTAAAATGTCCATACTACCAAAGCAACCTACAGATTCAGTGAAATCCCTATCAAAATACCAATGACATTCTTCATAGAATTAGAAAAGAACAATCCTAAAATTTATATGGAATCATAAAAGACCCAGAATAGCAAAAGCTATTCTGAGCAAAAAGAACAAAACTGGAGGAATCACATTACCTGGCTTCAAATTATACTAGAGAGCTATAATAACCAAAACAGCATGGTACTGGCATAAAAACAGATACATAGACCAATGGAACATAATAGAGAACCTAGAAACAAATTCACACACCTACAGTGAACTCATTTTTTACAAAGGTGCCAAGAACGTAAACTGGGGAAAAGACAGTCTCTTCAATAAATGGTTCTGGGAAAACTGAATATCCATAGGCAGAAGAATGAAACTAGACCCCTACCTATCACAATATACAAAAATAAAATCAAAATGTACTGAAGACTTATATCTAGTATCTCAAACTATAAAACTACTACAAGAAAATATTGGGGAAAATCTCCAGGACATTGGTCTTGGGCAAAGATTCTTGAGCAAAACCCCACAAGCACAGGCAACCAAAGCAAAAATAGACAAATGGGATCATATTAAGTTAAAAAGCTTCTGCACAACAAAGGATACAATCAACAAAGTGAAGAGACAACCCACAGAACAGGAGAAAATATTTGCAAATTATCCATCTGGCAAGGGATTAAAAACCAGAATATATAAGGAGCTCAGACAACTCTACAGGTAAAAAAAATCTAATAATCCAATCAAAAAACAGGCAAAAGATTTGAATAGACATTTCTCAAAAGAAGACATACAAATGGCAAACAGACAGAAGAAAAATTGCTGAATATCATTGATCGTCAGAGAAATGCGAATCAAAACTACAATGTAATATCATCTCACCCCAGTTAAAATGCCTTATATCCAAAAGACAGGCAATAACAAATGCTATCGAGGATATGGAGAAAAGGGAACCATTGTACACTGTTTGTGAGAATGTAAATTAGTACAAACTACTATGAAAAATAGTTTGGAGGCTCCTCAAAAAAACTAGAAATAGAGCTACTGTATGATCCAGCAGTTCCAATGCTGGGTATACACCCAAAAGAAAGAAACTCAGTATATCAAAGAGATACCTGTACTGCCATATTTATTGCAGCTCTGTTCACAATAGCCAAAAATTGGAAGCAACCTAAGTGTTCATCAACAGATGAATGGATAAAGAAAATTTGGTACTTATGCACAGTAGAGCATTATTCAGCCATGAAAAATGAGATTCAGTCATTTGCAACAACATAGATAGAACTGGAGGTCATTATGCTAAGTGAAATAAGCCAGGCACAGAAAGACAAACATTGTATGTTCTCACTTATTTGTGGGATTTAAAAATCAAAACAATCGAACTCATGGAGATAAAGAGTAGAAAGATGATTACTAGAGGCTGGAGAGGGTAGTAGGGGGATGGGAGGGAGTGGGGATAGTTAATGGGTACAAAAAAATAGGAAGAATGAGTCAGGCCTACTATTTAATTGCACAACAGGGTGACTACAGTCAATAACTATTTGTACATTTTAAAATAAAGAAAAGTAAAATTGGATTGTTCATAACACAAAGGATAAATACTTGGGATAGATACCCCATCTTCCATGATGTGATTATCACATATTGCATGCCTGTATCTAAACATCTCATGTACCCCATAAATATATACACCTACTATGTACCCACAAAAATTAAAAACAATTTTAAAAGAGAGTGAGCTTAATGAACTGAAGAATTATAAAGTCGTGTGTGTTAAATATATGTTTCAGATTGTTCACCATTTACAGTGACCTTTTCCATTATCTCTTTTAAAATGTCTACACATTAAACACACAAATATGTCTTTAGCTTTGTATAGATAGTTGACTATAACTGTTGTGAGCACAGACTGCCTGGGGTTAAATCCTAGCTCTGCCTATAGCCGGCTGTGTTGATCTTGAGCATGAGCCTCACGCTCCCCACAGGGTTGTTGTGAGGATTAAGTAAGTCAATATATGTAAAGTCTTTAGAATATTAATGAGTCTCCTACTAGTGTTTCTGTTATATCATTAACCCTGAAGGTAGTCATAGCCCCAGAAATACATATCCTCAGAGGAAATAAAAAGGCAGATATTGAAAAAGACAAACCGATGATTTTTAAAAATTGTACCAATGCATATCAGCATCTGTACTAGCTAGATCTTGCTCACATAATAGTGACTGATATTTAGCATTTGCATAGTCCACATGATGTGTTACCTAGGTTCTCAGTTCCTCTCCAAAATAAAAAGATACTCTTCAAGCCATCCAGTGAGATGAACTTTGGGTGATTTTTTTATCACTCTGGAACAAGTAAAGAAAATTTCAAGTGGCAACCAGCACTATCTTTCAAATGACTTCTCAGAAATGGAAGAAATTACACCATTTCCATTTCAAATCATTCTCTAGTGAAGTGAAGCCAATTCTAAAAATAAAACCAGGGTCACTAGGAGAAACATTCTAAAAGCCATATATATGACACTTCCATGATCATCCTAAAGATAATTGATCCAATTCTCCCACATTCCTCCAAAGCTGCAGAGTTTTGATAATTCAGTTTCTAAAGTAAAATTGCAATATGGCTTATCCTAAACAATATTTTTGGCTGCACACAGGTTTTATATTTTATATAAATGGAATCATACAGATATATTTCTGCTACTAGTTTTCTTACCCAAAATTATATTTTTGAGATTCAATCTTGTTGATTCATATAATTGTAGTTTATATCACTCGTGCCTAGTTTTCCTTTGTATGAATTGACTACAACTTACTAGTTATTTTCGTTTTGGTGGACATTTATATTATGTCTAGCTTTTTATTATTTCAAGCTATACTGGTAAAATCTTTCCTGTACATACAAGTGTTAAAATTATTTTTAAACAAGAGAATGAAAACCACAAAATTCAGAATAGTGTTTTCTCTTGGAGGTGAGGAAGGGAAACTGGCATCAGGGAGAAGGATGCAGACCCATTAGAGGTATAATGACACTACTTTCTTAAGACAACTGCGTAAATGGGGTTTACTTAATATGCATGTATTGTGTGTATACATACAGATATACATAAATAGACATGTATATAACACATATATACTTTTATTTGGAGATAATTCAAAATAATTCATATGCAGTTGTAAAAAGTAATCCAGAGATTCCTTCCCCAATTTTCCTCCAATGGTAACATCTTATGTTTCTATGTAGTACAATAACACAACCAGGAAATTGATATTGATATAATTAATACATCTGATTCTGATTTCACCAGTTTTACACATACTCATTTATGTATGTGGATGTATATTTTCTTCTATGCAATTTTATCATCTGTGTTGATTTCATATAACTACTGCCACAGTCAAGATACAGAAGAGTTTTACTGTAAAGATCCTTCACGCTACCTCTTGCACAGCCATAGCCACCCCCCTCCCTTCCCATCTTCCTAACACCTGGCAACCACTAATATATTCTCCATCTCTATACTTTTGCCATTTTAAGAATGCTAAACACATGAAATCATACAATACGTAACTTTTTCAGACTGACTTTTAAAACTCAGCATTATTTCCTTGAGATCCATCCAAGCTGTGCGCATTAGCAGTCAGTTCCTTTCTTATTGCCAAGTAGTATTCCATACACATACTTTTAAATATACTGTTATAAAAAAAGGCAAATGTGATCCTTGCATCAGAGGGTAGAGTTAAAAGAGTGAGATATACCAATGAAAGAGAAGCTTCTCAACCATACTTGCTTTTTAAATCACCTATTTTAAAGCAAGAAAAAAATGTGTAATTGGTTGCCTGGGGACCAGTGTGAACTGAGAAGAATTTCACATAGCTCAGCAGTCTAATAATTTCATGTCTATTAATATATGATCAGGTCACTATTACTAAGAATTGTTCACCACTGTGATCTGGAAAATAAAAACAGGTTTTTCAAAGAAAGCAAAGGATAGTGTTCATTATCTGGATTCTCTAGGAAGGTGAGGTGGTAAAGTATATGGGCTAGTAACTTTAACACAATTTGGAAGTCTTGATGACAAGCTTTAGCAAAGGGGGGAAAAAGTGCTCTAAGGCTTCTGCCATCCCATCATTTGTATTCATTCATTCATACAAGAATTTGTCCATTCATTCATTTGGCAAACATGTCTAAAGTGCCAGCTATTTACCAGCGTACGATCTAGTTCTTGCCACCAGGTAGCTAAGGAGCTAATAAAGGAGAAGGACTAAAACAGTTTCAATTCTCTTACCAAGCCATATGCTCTTTGCCAATACCAGTATTTCTCTCTAGTTTACAGATGAGAAAACCAAGTCACAAAGAAGGGAAGCTATTCATCCAGGGTCACATAGACGGAAATTATAGGTAACTTAAATTACCAATGCAATATAATATTTGCAATGATAACCTTTTCATAGAAAAGTGGTTTTAGAGAAGTGTTCCTCAGACCGAAGCCTCAGAAACCTTTAGACACTTGTTAAAATGGAATTTCTGGGGAAAGCCGAGACTTTTATTTTGTCATGCTTTTTAGGAGATTCTCATGCACATAAGTTTGGGCACTGCCTCTGGAGAGTTTCTACTGCTATTCCGTTGTTGGAAATGAATTTCCTTTAGCAGTATATGAGAACATTAGCTCTGGTTATGTTTTTATTTAAAGGAAGAAATGAAAAAGCCAATGTGAACCTACATGGGCCTTCCCTTACTCCATTTTCTCCCTTTTTATTTCATCTCTTTCTCAAGAAGACAATGAAAACGGCTTCCATTCATTTCTTTCTTTTGGCATTGCATCCATACAGCCCGATTTCTCACTACATGAACATCTTGAGAAGGAAAAATAGAGGGCATCGCACAAATGTAAAAGGAAGAAATCTTAACCAGGTTGCCTAGGACAACACCTCAGTATTTTAGGGATTGGGGTGTGGATCTCTGTCATCTGCTCCTATCTAAAATTCCTATAGGAATATTTATCCAGGATAATAGCTATTGCCCCACCCAGAACAGCATAGTCTACCCAGACTGCCTACAGAAGAGGTTTTGTGTTTGTTTTTGTAAAATCTCCTCTGAATCTCTTGGGTGGCACAGTACCAACTGTCATGGTGCCCACATCAAGCCCATGCAGGCAGAGCTAAAAGAACCAGACCACTTGCTCTGTAATTCAGTCAGTTGCAAAGTACCAAACCACAGAATGAGAAGGCTCATCTCTTTTGTGCTTTCTTGGTCAGAATTCTGTCTGTCTTAGTTATATAGTTTTTTTTTTAACCAACACCAGTATTTCTTCAGTTATAGATGAAAATATCAAAGCACAAAAAGAATAAGCAATTTATCCAGGGTCACTGTCAGATGGAGATGATTAATCATTTAAAATACAAGGAGTTTAGCACCTGGGAATGTAAGCCAGAAAATGAAAGCAGCATCTAATCCAGCACTTTTATATTAAAGACGAGGAAACTGCAGCCCAGAAAGAGTAAGAATATTGTCCAAGGTTGATTTGGATGGAGACTGGAAGCCCTGGTCCTGAACAGACAGTACTTTTCCCACAAGACCAATGACTGTCAACTATGGCTACACATTACAATTACCAGGGGGAGCTTAAAAATTAAAAAAAAAAACAAACCCTAAAGACATTGATTATCTTGGTCCAACACCAGGGATTCTGATCAGCTGGTCTGAAATAAGTTCTGAAGATCAGTGTTTTTTAAAGCTACCCCAGGTGATTCTAATGTAAAGCCAACGTTGAGAAACATTGAAGGACACCAGTGGTTCTCAAACTTTAGCATATTTCAGAATTGCTCGGAGCTGGATCCTGCCCTCAGAATTTCTAATTCAATATGTTTGAGGCAAGACTCAAGAATTCACAGTTCCAATACCAGGAGATGCTGATGCTTCTGGTCTCAGGACAACAATTTGAGACCGCACTGCACTGGATGAGAATGTAATAGTACATATGGTCAAAACTGCCTGAATTAAAACCTAATTCTCTTGTTTTCTAGCTGAGAGAAGATGGAGAAGCTACTTATCCTTTATAACAGTGGTTCTCTAACAGAGTGAGGAATGAGGTTTACTACCCCCCTTTCCCCTACTGTCAGGAAACATTTGGTAATATCTGGAGACATTTTTTGTTTTCACAGCTGACAGTCTGACACAATCTAGCATCTTGTGGGTAGAGGCCAGAGATGCTGCTAAACATCCTACAATCCACAAGACAGCCTCCACAGCAAATAATCATCCAGTCTAAAATGTCAATATTGCCAAGGTTGGAAAAATCCTGCTTTATAGCCTCAGTTTCCTCATCTGTAAAATGGGGATTATGAGTTATCTGCCTCATAAAATTTATGTGAGGATTAAATGAAATATAGCATTTAAAGAAACTGACACCATGCCTGGCACATAGAAAATGTTTAGTGAGTGTTAGTTATTGAAGTAATTTTTTATGCATAGTCACCAGCCTATAATTTAAAGGCCAAAGATTTTGATGATAAATGTGGAGAAAACAACTTCTTTAAATGGAGAAATGGTCCTGATGGACCTAGTGTTGGGGGGCTGGGGGAAACAGGTGCAGACTGCCCAGGTGCTGGCACTAAGAGGGTGTGTTGCCTGTGAGCAATTTAAAAACAATAATGAACTGGACTAAAATCAGCCTATTTGTTATCATCGAGCATCAGAAATTCTAAACAGTGTTATCAATCAAATACTTCTCTCCACCCCTGGGCCATATCACATCCACAGCCTCTCCCACCCGTATGCCACTGCGTGTGATAGCTTGTTAAGAACCAGGCACTTGCATAAATGCTTTACATATATTAACTCGTTTACTCATTTTAGCAACAAACTATGAGGAAGGTATTAATGTTACTCCCATTTGATAGATAAGAAAACCGAGAACCAAAGAAGTTTATAAACGGACAGGCAATCACACAGCTAGTAAGTGGTAGTGCTAGTGCTGAGACCAGAACCCAGGAGTCATGCTCCAGAGTCTGTGATCATAGCCACAAAACCAGATGGCTTTCAGTAATATGCCACTTGCCATCCCAAATTACAGCTAAGAAAACCTTTTGAGGAACCATATCTCAATTCTTCTAAGGCACTAGGCTTCTTTCAATCAGCAAATAGAGCAACTCCAATGTTGAGTAGATTTCTTTGTAATGCTAACACTGGGAAACTTTTACAGTGTGGTAATTGGCAACCCAGTCTCATAGGCCTATAGGTCAGAGCCATGATTCGGTTGACCAGATGTCTATCTCCAGCCTCAGACACAGAGTAGATAGCTGAATAAATATTTGTTGACTGAATTAGTGTTTGCTGATTTCAAGCAGAGAAATGCTCAAAGGTCTGGCTCTTGCAGATGTGTTTGTTATTTGTAGGCACAAAGCAACATCTGTCAGCCAGATCCCTGGGATTTTCCCAGATATTGTGGGGGACTTTTATCCGGGGTTAGTTTATCTCAATGTGAGCAAATATGTGCTCCGGCTTCTTATGCGATAAATAATGGCTTCATGGAGTCTAATTTTACAGAAAAAGAGCAATATTGATCATTCTATTTTAGAATTTGGTATAGAGGTATTGGGGCAGAAATTGGTGAAATGCAGCTCCAGGGAAAAATAATTCAGTTTCCCATGGAAATATTCTGCTTCCAAATTTGCTTCTGAAGACAACGTAGGGAAATCAAATGAATGAGTCAGGCAAGATCATAACCATTAAGTCGAAACCATCTAAATGACAAATAAGGCTATAAAGAAAAGGGTTAAATCTGGGACACTCACTCTTCAAGAGATGACTTCAGATGTCCTCCCTCCACCTCCTACACACACACACACACACACACACACACACAATAGAGCTGTGCAGGTGGTATTTAATAGCATTTTCTCATAAAGTGTAATAGAATGAGACAGGTTTGAAAGGGCTTACCTCTTTACCCAATGAGAGGTGGTAAATGAAAATACCATTTGTCTAATATTTCCAGGAGATGAGCAATACCATTTTAGTGTATTTTTCAGAGAGCAGAAAAGCCAAAATTCTACCTTAGTTATTCTTTTTGAAAATTCTTTGAAATATGTTACTCATTTTTCTGCCATCTTTGAAAAAAGCACACAGCATTTTGTTTTTGGTGCTAATATGAAGCTTAAATACTGATAACTACATATGAAACTGTGTGTAATAAAATAATCCTCTCCAATTTTATGTCCCTGATGCATTTTGCTCCTACGCTTACACTAAATGGCCCCAGCCTTCTATTTTTTAAGCTCTTTTGTCTTTGCTGTTTCTGTCACAGGTGCTTTTCTGAAGTTTATGGGTTTATCTCTGGTGGTCTTGCTTTTATACTATTCTTCTTTCCCTTTCTATTATGTTGAAGTCTGGAAATTCTGATAACCAAGCTAGCTAGAATTGTTTAGAACATAAGCATAAACAGGGCCTATGAAACATAGGAGGGGCTGCTTATGAGTAAGGGAAAAAGTCACATAGTCTTGATGACTGCTATTTTTACTCTTCAGAGTTTTGAGGCCTCAGGCTAATGTGATCAAATCAAATTAGTTCAGTTTTACCATATTTTATAAATAAAGTTAATTTTGCCATCTACCATTAAAAATAAAGCATCTAGGTCAAATTATAATGCTTCTGAGTTTTACATTCAGCATCAAATTAAAAGCAGAATATTCTTGAACTGGTGAGGCAGATAATCTTATTGCATGTTTTTAAATAATAAAATGATAGCTCCAAGGGTCAACTGATTTGCCTAAGCAGGCAAAAAGATACATCTACAATAGAAGTGCTCAAAACTTGGCTGTGTATTACAATACTAAAGCTAATTATATAAGAATCTCTAGACCACATGGCATAAGCATTGGCATTTTTAAAAAGCAACCCAGGTACCATTTAGTAGCATCAAATGTATCAAATACCAAAGAATAAATCTAACAAAAGCTACACAAGACTGTTTACCACTAAAAACTATAAAACATTATACAAGAAAACCTAAGTAAATATGCCATGTATATGAATACAAAGAAGACAAAATTCCAAGTTGTCAGTTCTCCCAAACTGATCTATATATTCAATGTAATCCCAATTAAAAATCTCAGTATGTTGTTTTTGGCATAAACTGACAAGATGATGATAAAATCAAAATGAAATGCAAAGATCTAAGCATAACCAAGACAGTCTTGAAGAAGAACAAATCTGTAGGACTTACACTTACTTATATAACAAAACCTATTATCAATCTATAATAGTTAAGCCAGTGTGGTAGGTACTGGTGCAAGGATATACGAAATGAAAGATGGAACAGAATACAGACTCCAGAAACAAACCCACACATAATTAGTCACCTGATTTTTGATGAAAAAATACTACAGTACAGTTGGGAAAGATAAATGAAGCTAGGTCAACTGGACATCCCCGTGGAAAATATAACTGTATCTTGACTCCAACTTGATACTATAAACAAATGCTAGTCCCAAATGTATTGCATATCTAAATAAAGAAGGTAGAATAATAAAGCTTTGGGGAAAAAAAGGTAAGATCATATATCTATGACCTTAGAATAGGTAAAAATTTCATGAATATACACTAAAAGCTCTACCAGAAAGGAAAAATCTGATGAAGAAGATTATATTAAACTTAAGAAGGTCTTTTCGTCATAATATAGCATTAAGTGAAAAAACAAGTCTTAGAGTGAGAGAGGAGATTTACAATACATATATCCAACAAAGACTTATATTCACAATGTATTAAGAACTCCTACAAATCAAGAAGAAAAAGACAAAAATCTCAAAGGAATATTGGACAAAAGACTAGAGTAATGATTTTAAAACAGTGGTTAAACAAATGATCAATAGGCACAGGAAAAGGTACTCAACTTCATTAATCATCAAGCAAATGCACCTTAAAACTACCAAGTAATACTAGTAACACACCTACCAAAATGATGGCAATGACAGACATGCAAAACCAAGTATGAACAAGATATGGAACAAGTGAAACTCTTACACACCAGAAGTACACATGTACTGTGGTTATAACCACTTTGGAAAAGTAACTGCCAATATATGTTAAAGCCGAACACATACATGCCCTGTGACCTAGAAATTCCACTCCCAACAGAAATACATCCCCAATACAAATGTCCCTATGCACACCAAAAGACATGCCCAAAAATATTCACCATAGTACTATTCGAAACAGTCAAAAATGAAAAAGGAACCAATTCCCTGCCTATCAAGAGTAGAATGGATATGTTTTATACTCACACATAGGAACACTATAAACAATGAGAATAAACATGCTAATATACATACAACAAAACGAAAAAATCTCAAACAAAATGTCGAGTGAAAGAAGCCAGACATCGAAGAATATATTCTGTATTACGGCAGTGACATAAATTTCAAAAACAGCCAAAACTCATATGTAGTGTTGGAATTCCAGAGAGTAGTTATCCTTTACTTGGGGTAGTGACTGGAAAGGGACACATGAGGAGCTTCTGAGATGCCAGTGGTGTTCTGTTTCTTGTGATGTGTCAATCAAGCTGCACACTGACAATGTGGGTACTTCTGTTTGTGTGTGTTACACTCTAAAACCTAAAACAGAAAACTCCCTAGGTGATTCTAATATGTAGCTAGAATTGAGAACCACTGGTCTAGAGCTCAGATCAGCTTTCTTTCCTCCCTTTCTTCCTTCCTTCCTTTTCTTCCTCCTTCTTCACCCTGCCCACCATGCTTTCCTCTTCCAAATTCTCTGCCTCCAAATTCTCTGCCTCCAAAGTGCCAACCAGTGTTCTGGGTGCAAAAGGCACAGAAAATAAAAAGCTATCATCCTTGCCTTCAAGAAGCTAAACATTTTCTTGTGAATTAACTTCAGCCTGTCTCCTGACCATAACACTCAGCTGTCTACACTGCAGTGGTTAGAAGATTATCCCTAATTATGAAGTTATCACTAATTGTAAGTGCAAACAAATAGTCACATAACCTTCTTGAATAATTGTAGTACTGGTGCACAGGACATGACCATATTATGGTCAAACTCTATTGTAACAGGTATTAATTGCCTAGAATTATATTGGGTTCCATTTGACCCCAGGAAAAACAGAGTGTGTACAATAATGAGCTGAGTTACTGGCACCAGGATTCTAGAACCTGCACAATGCTTCAGTTGAATCTGACATAATTACCATTCCACTTCCAGTCCTATTCTCTGTCAACACCACATGCTTTCCTGAGCATAATTATTATAATCTTTTTTCAAGTCTGTCTTTCGACAGAAGTATGAGAAAATTAGGCTTTCTTCCCTCCCCTTTATTATTTCCTCTGCCTCTCTTAACACTCTTGCTCTGAAGTAAATAAATAAAGCAAGATCTCTGCAGAATCTAGACTTTGTGGATTTGCAGAACAGGTCTGTATGCTCATATCTTTGTCCCCAGGCACCTTCGATAACCAAGGCGCCGGCTGACATAGAAAGTCAAAGCAAATCATCTTTATCTTTCACAGCACACTCTGTCCCTTAAAAATGTGGCTATTGATTATTTGACCATGGTCATTATGCCAAGGTTGCCTTTATAAACAAACAAAAGATGCACTAACCTTGGCCCGCATCCTGCCTTTAGTTCTCACTCCCTCTGACTGCTGTAACCAGAAAAATCTAAAAGCTCAGATGGCAAACTTTGCCTTTGCCTCAAATTCCTTTCTGCCTATACCTTCCTTCTAACCCAGATAAGCCATCCTGATGAGAACACTTATAATGTTTCAAATAAAAGGACATTGATTAGTTCACTGATTCCAACTCATCCTTCAGGTCCCAGACTAAATATTCCTCAGGGTAGCCTCTCTAACCCTTCCAGAATAGCTTACTTCCCCATATTACAAAACTTCACAGGACCATTTAATATTCCTTTATAGGATTTTGTCTAATTCCAACTAATCATTTTTTGTGGTTGTCTTTTTCACCAATGTATCTCCATCACCTGGCACAATGCCTGGAACGTAGTGGATGCTCACTAAATATTGTTAATGTGTAAATAAAATAATGAATGAATGAATAGGTGAGCCTCATAAACAGCCTGTTACTTTTTTCATTGTTGGAAGATATTTTTTTTTTCTTCTCTAAGAAGTTTTCTCTTACAGTACATAAAACACATCACCACTTACTTTGTCCTCAGTAGAAATGTATGACAAACAGATGGCTAGAAGCTTCAATGTCAGAGCCCTTTATTTAACCATAAATCATGATCAAAATGCTTATTTTGAAAATCTTGCTGAATTTCTCTAAAAAGGCTTAGGTCACAGTGTCAAACTCCAAAAGCAAGGAGGGGTAAGAAATAAAGTTGTCTACATCCTCTGTTCATTGGCATTAGACTAGTACTGGGGACCCTGATGTGTCTGATGATTTTGTTTATATCTTAACCAAGTCCTTCCGGCTCTCTGCTCTTTTGTCTCCTCTCTACAAATCATGAAACCGGATGGACCAAACAGAGAGTACTCAACATATCTGTAACTCCGTGTCTTTCTTTATTAATTCATTCAGCATAAATAGTTTTGAGAGCATAGATTGAGCCCAGTCTTTTGCTAGGCACTGGAGACCCAGCAATGACCTGGAGAAAAAGGTCTTGCCTTCAAGAGATTCAATTAGAATTGGAGAGAAGAGGATGGTTAGGGGATTCTTTCTGGCATAAGAGTTGCCTAGATCAGTGATTTAATATGCATCATAATCAATTGCAGGGCTTGTTAAAACACAGATTGCAAAACCCCACTGTAGATTCTGATAGTCTTGGGTGAGTCTGAGTTTCTGCATTTTTAACAAGTTCTCAGGTAATGTCGATGCTACTGGTCTGAGGACCATACTTGAAAAACCACTGACCTGGAGGAAGTAGAATATTAAACAAGAACACAGTTCATAGAGCTTAATAAATATTGGTTGGATGGATAAAAGAATGGATCAGCCAATTCGTACAAATTTATCATCACATCAATCACATAAAACCATTATAAAAGGAGGCCATAAAGATGGATTTTACAAAGGTTTATTTATTGCTTAGCTATAAAAGATGCTACCTCTTCTTTCTCTGTGGTCACTAACATAACTCATCATTAACAAAAATGGTACGGCTAAAATTAATCAATCTCCTTTTCCCTATGTATGTCTTGCTCTATCTGGAGTTGCAATGGGCATTGCCTCCTCTGGAGTGTAATTCAGGCTGACTCATTTTCCAATTCACTGACAAAAAGGTCAGCTTTGTTCCAATTCACCACTGAAGGCATATCAGGAGCTAATGATCAGGAGTTGCACATCAGAGAGATTAACCCACTTTATCTGGGTTTTCTTGACCCCCTTGCCAAGGATTTGGCAGGTCAGTTGGAGTAAAGGTTGAAAACTCAGGTTGGCATACGTCTATGGATTAAATAGGCAGTCAGCAGCATAGAGAATTATAACACTGGCCCAATAGAGAGTGCTTAAGTGCATTAGCTTTGTTTGCACTCAGCAGAGGTGGGGGTAAGCCCTGATTCTGTCACCTGATTCTGAGTTACATGATCAGTGCCTCTAGTCCTCAGTTCTTTCATCTTGAAAACAGGCACGACAGTAATAAATAATTCTTAGAGTTGTTGCACATAATGCACATAGTGCATTTAGAACAACACTGACATCATATTAACCAGTCAACACATTTTAGCTAGCTTTGTTATTCATTAGCTTCTCAAACTTTTTTCATCACATTTATTAATGTTTTGTACATTATTTTTTGTAAATCATATACCTAGAGTTGGCATGTACCCACCAGTTACCTTTAGCTGGGTCAGTAGGAGGAATTTTACTGCTTGGATTTTTAATTCTGAGCCAGAGAATGTAGTGACTCATACGCAGCTAACTTCCCTTTGCCACACAGTATAAAGATTTGCACATCATGCCAAAATTCATTCCCTGTTAAAGGTACCAAGAGGAGAGCTGTAGAGGAAGACAGTTGTCTTCTTAAAAATCAGCTTTAAAAATTAAGTGTAATACTTCCAGTTCCTCCCCTCCCCAGGCTCCAAATCTTTTTTTTTTTTTTTTTTTTTTAAATCTGGAAGTCTTGGCTGGGATATGAAAGCTGAATGAGGAATGTTTTATATCAGCTCAGGGGTCAAACACATCTGGTTTCCAGTCCTGAAGTTACCATTATAAGCTGTGTGATCTTAGAAAAGGCACTTAAATTTTTTATGTTTCTGTTTAATCATTCTTATAATAATTACTTATTAATGGAATTATTGTGAAGATGTAATCAGTCAATTCATTTTCCAGTATCTGAAAAATGCTAAGTGCTGCATGTCAGCCATGTGAACTCTTAGCATCTTATCCTATTGTGTGACCCTTATTATAATATTCCTACATTTGTTAAAGGAACCCATGCCCTTTAGGATTGGAAAGGTTTCAATTACATTCCCTTTCAACCTCTATTTTTTTTTAAATATAAAACCCATAATCCTTTTAGAAAATCTACATTTCTTTCATCCTTCAAAATGTTGTAGTCACCTGGCAACTTCTCCTAAAGCTACTTCTTCAATCTTTCTGGCAACACTTAATAAGACCTTTTTAAGATAGCCCTTTCATCTACATTGCCAAGTACAGGGCCTTGTCCATAATAGGCACTCAATAAATATTTGCTGAATAGATGAATGAATAAATGCAGCCAAGACATGCAAAAGTATTCATAGCATTAAGCTAAAAACAAGGCAGCTTTGATTCTCTGTAGACATGAGTTGGGGCTCAATTACCACATCCCTTTCAAAGAATTGTTCCAAATCAGTCACTCATAAGGAATTATATAAAGACCTATTTATCATAATGCTATTAGAAAACACAAGGGTGGGAAAGGGGACTGTCGCCTCTGCATTGAGTGTCTTTTGGTTCTTACTCTGGCCAAAAATCCATGTCATCTAGACAGAGCCAAGATCAAAGGGGAAACACCTAGGCACTCATCTCCAGGTGCCTTTGTTGGCTGAAAATTGGCAGCAACTCAAGTGTTTAGAACTGCTTAGTGAGCCCTTAAAAGTCAATTAGATCATTTTACTCCCTGTTTAAAACTACCCAATGATATTCTGTGACACTTAAAACCCAAACTCCTCACCATAACTTAAAAGGTCCTATTTGATCTGAGTCCTGACTACCTTTCTACTCAGCTATTGTTTTCTCAAAGAGCCATCCCCTTTCACTTCCCCATCCCCAGTGGATGCTCTTTATCCCTTAAGACAGAGGTCTGCAAACTTTTTCTGTGAAGAGCCAGATAGTCAATATGTTAGGCTTTGAGGGCCATACTATCTCTGCCACAACTACTCAGCTCTGCCATTGTTGTATGAAAGCAGTTATAGACAATGTGTAAATACATGATTTCCGATTGGCTGTGTTCTAATAAAATTGTATTTACAGAAACAGGAGACCAACTGTAAATGGCCTGTGGACCATAATTTGCCAACTCCTTCCCAAAGATAAGACTCCTCCCATCACTCTCTATCTTCATATCCTACTTTAGTTGCTGTAGAATATTTTCACATTTGTTACTTACCTGGTTCAGCTACTAGGATGTAGCCATCATGAGGACAGGATCTTCGTTTTGTTGACTGCAATATATTCAGCACCGAGGACAGCTCCTAGTGCATAATGTCTGTTTGGTTAAGTGTTGAATTGAATGACTTCAATTTCTATTACTTCTGCTCTCATTCACTACCCAGACCTCCTTTCAGTTCTCTAGACACTTCAGGCTCATTCTTGCCTCTTAGGCTTTGCATCCTCTTCCCTTATATTTAGGGAATGAAATTCAGATCTCAGATCAAATGATATCTCTTAGCCCTTCCTGATAATTCTAAACAAACCTTCCCAGAAGCCTTAGCCTGTTTTATTTTCTCCATAACATTTATTAACAACTGGAATTTTTTTTTACCTGATTCTTGTACACCCTCCCCTATGATTTCAGAAAGATTCTTGGCCTCCTCAAAAATCTCGAAAAGTATATGACACATGGAAGGTTTTCAATAAATATTTGTCTAGAACATTGCTTTTCAAAGCTTAGTGGGTATCAGATTCACCTAAAGATACTGTTTAAATGCAAATTCTGAGTCAGTAGGTCTGGGGCGGGACCTTGAAACTCTGCATGTCTTACAAGCTCTCCAGAAATGCTGATGTTGCTGGCCCATGGACTACACTTTGAGCAGTGAGGGTCTAGTGAATATTTTTGACTGCCAGAAAAATGTACTCACCTCCAGGACAGAAAGTGGAATGTACACTGAGGATCCTTCAAAAGCCATCTGAGGCAGCCTGAGCCAAAGATCAAAGTGAGAGACCAATTCCATCCTTAACAGGCACATCCAATGCAAAATGATAAGGACAAATTTTCCTGACTCACTTAAGTGATTTTGGCCTCAGGCACCAGGGCTTCAATGAAACGGAATTGGCAACATTCTCCATATTAAATTCACCTTGAAAATGCTGAATCACTCATGGGGAACCAAAATAAATCTGTCTTCATTCCATGTTCAGTCATGTCTTTCTTTCAACCATTCTATTACATATATTAGGAGAGTTACCTGCTCTACACCTCAATGTGATAACTCTGAAAGACCTTATATTTCTGCAGGGCCACGAACCATACTGCTAGTGTTATATGGTGCTGACTTGACCTGAAAGAGGACTCCGTACCTCACAACTGAAAGGGAACGTATCCAACAGGGAAACACAATATGGCAGAGTAATTAAGAGGTATTGCTCTGGAGTCTGATTACTACTTAATCTTTATGTGACCTTCACCATAGTACCTACAGTTTTAATGCTTCAGTTTCTTCCTTTTAAATGGGATAATAATGAAACCTGACACTTAAGGTTGTTGTGATGATTAAGGGAGGTAATCCCTCTAAAGAACATAGCCCAGTGCATGGCAAATGTGCATATTAATGAATATTAGCTGGGATTCTTATTCTGCTCCATCATAGAATATTGTTGTCTTATTTATTGAAAGTTATCTCACATTCTAGAGTTTGCAATGTGGCTTTGAATACAATGATTAACACAATTATTTTAACATAATAATTAAAATATAGAATGCTTACTGTGCATCAGGCAATATATTAAGTGCTAATTTGTCTCATCTAATCCTGAAATTAAATCTATAAAGTGAATATTGGTGTCTAAATTTTGCAGATGGGGAAACTGTGGTTTAGGATAGTGAAGAGAGTTTTTAAAGATCATTCAGTTAATGCGGTTAAAGACCTGAGCCCAGGTCTGGCTGATCTTCAAGCTCCAGCTCTTAACCACTATGCTCTACTACCTTGCTTGTTATTTTATACATATCAATATAGATTTATATGTCCTGGCTCCAAAACAGTATCTATTTCCCTCACAGCACCAACTCTTTGGGTGTTTTTCTCTCCTGTTAGAGAGAGAGTTCTGACCAGTGGCCATTAAACATACTTCCAGTTCTGGCAACCAGATTTCCAGTTCTATTCTGATTGTTCTGATGGTTTTTGTTAGTTTGTTTTCTATTTGTTTGTTTAACTCTTGCCTTTATAAAAAAAAAAGTCCTGTTTGATAGCACTTGGGTCCCATGAACATCATGACTTCCATTCCTAAGGATGCTTTTTGATGGCCATGTTGTCTCTTGTGTTGCAGTTTTCTGTTGACAATTATCAACCATTCCAAAATTTAGTGGTGTAAAATGACAGTAGATTCTGTGTGTCAGGAATTCTGAAAAGGCAAAGTAGGCACAGCTGTTCTCTGCCTACAACATCTAGGACCCCAGTTACAAATACTTGGGATTAAGGGACAACTCTAACATCTAGGAGCTGGAGTGGTTTAGCAGCATCTCCAATCATGCCTGGCACATGAACAAGGATGAATCAAAAGCTGAACTGAGCTAGGAGTGTGGACCAGAGCACATACATGCAGGCTTTCCACTTGGCTTGGTCTCCTCAGAACGTGGCAGCTGGGTTCTGAAAGGTGATATCCCAAGGTGGATGAGCTGAAGAACAAGCATTCTCAGACTCGGCAATCATATGGTGTCACTTTTGTTTTGTATTCTATGGTACAAGTAAATCACTAAGAAATGGCTAGATTCAAGAAAAGAGAATTAGATGCTATCTCTTGATGGGGGAAGTAAGATCACAGTGTTGAAGAGCATGTGTGATCGGAGGTATTTTTACGGAAATCTTTGAAATATATAATTTGCTACAACCTTCAACTCTACACTTTCCCCATTTCATCATATTTCATCATATTGAACATCAAATGCCTTGCAATAGACTTTCCTGCCAGCCTCGAATTTCTAGAAATGAGGAGAAAAAGAACTTACCTAATGTCTTGAACACCCCTCGGAAAAAAAATACACTTGAAGGTAGCATGCCTTCAAGACATGACCCATAGTATTTAATAGAGATTTTTGGAATTTCTAAGAGGTCTTTCTTAGATAAAACCAAGGAAGTCCTGACATCTAAAAGAGCCTTACTGAATAACTACCACATATGAGTACCTATAAGGCTACTCTTGACATGTATAGAATTCTCACAAGCCAATGGATTCAATTATATTCAAAGTTCTTTATAATAATGAGAAAATTGAGGATTAGAGACCCTAGGTAGCAGGTCAAGTTTCATTCAGATAAAAAGTGGTAGAGCAAGGATTCTGGTCCAACTTTTTCAGACAACCATAGCCATTCAGTGATAATCTTCCTTGGAGATCAGTTAGTTTCAAACTCATTTTATCAGTCAGGACTGTTGGCTTCGGGTGACAAAATAAACAACCAAAGTTGGTTCATGTAAGTGGCAAGTCATGGATAGATCCAGAAGCTCCAATGATATCATTATAAATTTTTCTCCATCTCTTATTCTTCTTTTTCTTTTGGTTTTATTCTTAAACAGGCACTCCTCATCTGATAGAGATGGTCACAACCAGCTACAGGCTTATATTCTACCACTTAAGCAAAATCAACATACATTCATCTTCCTTTCCCTATAAATTTGAGGAAGTGTCTCTTTTATGTCTTATCTGGATTAAACTCTAATTGTTCTCAGTTGGCTTACAGCCCATTTCATTCACACCAATCTCATGGTGAGGAGGGAGATAAAATAAAGTGGTTGGCCAGGCCTGAGTCAGGCCTTCAGAAGCAATGCAGACTGCATAGAGGAGAAGCTTCCCAAAAGAACACCAGAGTGAAGTATCCAATGGCAAAGTAGTGGACACTAGGCAGGAAAAACATCAGGTGCTGACTACATCCTCATTTTGCAGATGGATAAGCTTGTAGCTGGCAAGACTGATTCTCATTCCATTTTTATCTGTTCCTTCCCTCTGGCTCCCAGTGTTCTATTATTGCATCTGTTCCTCTTTCCTTAGAGGAAAAGAGTTGACAAATTTATTCACACTAAAGTGTGAGTCACTCAATCACCAAGAATCCTTGCATTCTAGTTTCTATAATGAGAATTCACTCATTTGACTCATATCTATTAAGCATGCACTATTTGGCAGGCTCGTGCTAGGAAACCACAGAAGATACAGAGGTGAAATAAGACAGGCATTTAAGGGGTACCAACATGCAGTTAGCTAGAAGAAGTAAGTTCTAGTATTTGATAGTACAGTAGATAAATATAGTAAAACCAGTTTATTGTATATTTCAAAATTGCTAGAATAAAAGAATTGTAATGTTCCCAATGCAAAGAAAAGACAAATATTTGAAGTGCTGGATATCCCAATTACTCTGATTTGATTATCACATGTTGTATACAGGTATCAAAATATCACCCCCAAAATATGTACAACTATTATACATCAATAAAAATATAAATAAAAAATAAAGCAATGCCTTAAAAAGGCATATTTTACAAATGTATTAATATTGTAATAGAAAAAAACAAGCTATATTTTCATTTAAAAAATGTTAAGGTCATCAGGGAGGGGGAAAACATGTCAGTATTTTCACACTTAAGGAGTTCATTAAAATTGCTTGGAGCTGATTTCTGTCACCTCACTCCAAATCCAGAGTTCTATTTCAACAGGTCTGAAGAAAAATCCAGGAACCTGAATTTTATGAAGCATTCCGAGGTGATTTTGATGAAGATGGTCAGAGGATCTTACTGTGAGTTCCTCTGGCTTAACCCAAAATGATTATTCTCTAGAGGCTACATTTCTGGAACCATTGAGTCTCTCCTAAAAAAGGCAAATCTTGGAGCAATACCTTACCCTTCAAAACATACTGCATAAGCAACATGGAATCCTGCCTCTTCATAAAGCACCCACTTCCTCCAAGTTGGGATTTGCAAGGTGGATGAATGATTCCTTATGGGCATGTGACATATTACAGCAGATGCTCCTGGTGCCCTGCCCACATCCCTGTAGTATCAATCTCTTCACAATGGGGAGTGTTACTGTGAACACATGTGCCTCTCTGCCTGAGGGTTTTTTCCTGGCCATGCGAGCACATTTGGCCCATACAGGTCCAGGTGAAAGGCTGGACCGTGAATGCTCCTAGGATAGCCTTCAACCAATGCCTACGATTTTCCTTTCCTTTGAGAGATGGGAGAAATGTTCTCCATGGTCTCTGAGTTACCCAAAGGTGTTAAGCTTCAGCTGCCCACAGTGGAAACTGGCTTGTGAGGTTCCCTTCACTGGCTTTCTTCCCTACCTCATCTCACATTCCACTCTTCTCCTAGTGTTTCTTGTCATCACTTCCTGTGTAACTGACCAGCACCTTAATCCTTGTCTCAGGGTCATCTTTGGAAGACCAAAGTGAACACCCTTCAATATCTAATTGTAAAAGTCATGTGGTTATGTGCTGTGTTTAACATAGTTCTTAGAAAGATTAAGTGCTGACAATTGCCCTCAGATTACATAACCAAAGAATTCCTTCCAGTCAAGTATCTAAAGAATCAAGCCAAGGCTTAAATTAGAATAGATTCCTCAATATCTCTAACACACAAACAAGCACACATGCCATCAGCTATCAAGCAGAAGCTGAAGACCTTATTACCATTGCAATTATTATTATTACCATTAACTCTGGAAAAAGTACTCAGCCCAAATCATGCTAAGCAGTTATTCCAAAAAGGAAGTGGGGAAGAAACAAACTAATATTAAAATGTTGTTGTACATTTTAATAGTCATAGAAAGTGCAAAGAGTGGGTTTATTATGCAGAATGCATTCAAACATGATTAGCTGTTTGGCAGTATAGCAAGAAGAAAAAAGTGGAAAAATCCCAGCAAAGAACAGCCAGACCCAAAGATGTACTTAAAGAATAGATAGAAAACTGCTTCTTGGGATTTAGATGTTGAGGCAGAACTGCATCTCCCTTCTTTATCTACTTTCAAATGGTAACAAATCATTCTGATGATAATTGCAGAATGTGTCTATTTATGGAAATCTGATAGCCATGGAGATCATCCCATTTTGCATTCTATTGATTACCTTCCAAAATGATTAATGGGTTTTCAGAAGAACTCAGAGAATAAATAGTAACTTCAATGCTTTGTCCCCTGATATGAAGAGAAAAAGAAAATAAAAATACTTGTTGAATGAATACATAAGGAAGAAGACAAAATTAGTATTCAGAGAAGGAGGTTGGAGGATAAGTGTGTGTGTGTGCGCATGTGTGCGTGTGTGTGTGTGTGTGTGTAGGAGAGCTGTTTCAGACAAACACTCAGAATTTCTGTTTTCGCTTCCTGCTGTAACTTCCAGGGAGAGATCAGTTTAGAAATTTGTTTTCAGTTCAACAATACAGACCTCAGTTGGGCTGGAAAAAAAAACACATAGTTGCAAAGTTTGTAATAACAACCTGCTGTGGTTTTTTTTTTTTTTCCTGAATTTCAGATAGGTGCTACTCTTCTGAAATCATTTATTAGATATTTTCAAAAATATATCACTAAATCCATTCTTTGACATCTCATTGTAACAAAACCAACTGTTTCCATTAGGATCCTTGGTTTTCAAACAACAGAAATATTGATGAGTCGGGCTAATTTAAGCACAAAGTAATTCATTGGCAGGACTGGGGGAAACTCAGAATTAAGGGAAAAACTGAAGAACTGTACGGAAGTCTACCAGAGGCCAGTGATACTCTGGGAATGCTGAAAACAGGAACAGATTGAAAAACTCATCAGCCACCACTGCTGGGACGAACCAGTTCCACTGCTTTTGCTGCCCTCCCTCATGCCACTTCATTAAAGATGAGGAATACCAGGAAATAATCACCTGTCCAGCTTCGGTCACAAGCCACCTCTTTGGCAAAGGGACAGCAGGGTATCTGGAATGTGAGTTACCAAGACGGTATGCAATGGGGGAGGAATTCTCCAGAAGAAAATTAGGTACAGGAGCCAGAAGAAGGGGAACCATAGAGCAGAGCCTCGGGACCAGGCTAGAGGTATTGCAAAATGATTAATGATTACTGAGTAACAGGTTTTTTAAAAGGGTACCACCAGCCTTCGACCACTTCATGTCACTATCTCATGGTCTTGCTGCTTTTCTGTCTTGTCTAAAATATTTTCTTTAATGCCATAATAGCCATCATGCCAACATTAAAATGTTTGCAGAAGGGCATCATTTTGGGAAATATGATTCCTCATCCCCCTGTCACCACTAACTGTCTTCTGCCCCCCGAAACCTGAAGCTCTGCTTTCCCTTCCTGTTTATCCCTCCAAACTCTAAACACAGGAGCAGCCCTGCCAACCTGCTCTGCCTCTACTGTTGCATATGGTGGCTAAAGACTTGGGTTTGAAGATCAAATTGCGACTCTCTGAGTTCTAATACAACACCAATTGTTACATGCTAAGAATCTGATGTTATATTCTCCATGTTAGGTATTTTACATCTATAGTCACCTCTGTGCAGGTAAGCCCAACAGTTTAAAACTAAAAATAATAATGGTAATACAACAGTCCTTGGCGTCCAGTTGGATATATTCCAAGGCCTTTGTAAACCATCAAACTATCAAATATATCTCTTCAAATTATATCTTCCCCACAAAAAGCAAAAAAACCATCACTGGTAAAATGTAAATAACCCCCTCAGTCTTTAATGATTCTGTAAATATGGGACTAAAGTAATTGATAAAGCCATTAAAATAAATCCTGGCTGGAACACTCACTGAAGCAATTTCACAGATTACTTTTTCTTGTTTTCATAATAGTGTAGAGATCTGACTCACTGCTGAATATAACATTCCCTTCTTTGATGTCTCCAGTACATGTAATGTCCACATAAGAACTCCCAATTTTGCAAACCTTTTCAAGTCCCCCACCAGTGCTGGAGGGTATATGGGCGGGGAGTAGATAATGAGCTGGGCTTTGGAGTCAGACTTCCCAGATTCAAATCCTGGCTCCGACACTCAGTACTGCATGAACTTGAGAAGACCTCACTTTCATAAGCCTTCTTTATATGACTTCCCTCATCTGTAAAATGGGGTAATGACAATATTTTTGTGTGCTAATTCATTTAAAACACTTAATAAACTGGTATTTCATAAATGCTTAATACATATTACATATTACTTTTTTTCAAAAAACTCTTGAAAATAATTACATTAGGAAATTATTTTTTTCTCAAAGGTGTATAGAGAACAGCAAAGTACCTTGAAATATATACACTGTACTGAGTATTCAGCGAGGCTCCCTTACTAACTAGGTGGATCCTTCCCCAACACAATGCATATTTGTGTCTTAGCAAAATTAAAAATTTCTTTATGGCATCAGCCTTCCCAGTCACTTACAAATAAACAACTGAAATGCTAAATCCATATGCACCAAGGATCTAACACAGACTTGACAAAAAACTGGGGAGTCAGATAGTAAACTTTTAGAAGGAATGTTCCTGAAATAGAACCTTGCTTTGTGACAAAGATAAAACAAGCATATTAAAGTTTACAGCAAAGTAATTCAAACATAACTGAGCTACAGAATGCTGTACATGAAACTATGTAATCCTCTGACTGACTTAAAACTTCAGGGTCAATACAAGACCAATTAGTTCAATTCACTGAAGCGATCATTCCACAATGACGATGTAGAGTTTCCCAGGAAACACATTGAAGCTGCAGAAATGGAGGTAGTGCATAAAAAATAAATAATAGTCTCATGATTTCCTGTTCTCATCAGATGGTTGGATTTAAAGTATGGAAAACACATTCATGGTAAAGTCTATATTACTACTAATAAATTAACACAATAGTATCATAAAAACACTAACTGATAACAGCTATTTGGTGGCAGGATTTCCCATTCATTTTCATGGGAAATACTCCCCCAAGTTCATAATGGGAAGTTACAAATGCTAACTCAAACTCAGAGCCTGCTTATATATGAACGTGCATTCAGTAGAAATGTGGTACAGTTTATAAATGGACTCAGGGAAGATATGTGACTCCAATTAAATAAGGAAGCAAAAGATGTCAAATAAATATTCCTCTCAAGGACTCTTCTCAGCCCAAGAGGCCCTGGAGATTTAGCGAGAGGGAAATTTACTAGTAAGCATTTTACCTCTTTGGCAACACTATAGAGGAGTATCTTTCTATCGGTGGAGATGTACTTGATCTACTACTGAGCCCTTCCACATGGCCTTGGGTTTTATTAATTAGGATGATGATCAAAAGATCTCTCTGCCTCTACACTCAGGTATTATAGCACCAAAACATAGCAGCATTACTCATTCAGTCCTTGAAGTTACCCATTCTCCTTGCATTAGATCTTTATTTAAAATACAACTACCCCTGGGAAGAGGAAACACATTATTACCATTGCATTATGAGTTAATTCAAGGCAACCAAAAGCCATTAACACATGGGGAAAATATATAGAAATACATATATCTGTGGTATTGAGGGGAGGGGTGGTGACACTGTAAAGCAAAAAGAAATGTAGTTGAGATAGTTGAGTGGATACAAAATATTGTTACACTTGGATGGCACATTTTCAAATTATGATAAATGAGACTATTTTCAGCAAATATTTTCATCCTTCCTCTCACCCCACTTTAAGTGGAACACTTCCCTGTCCCAGCGACTTTGGACCTGACCGTGTAACTGACTTCTCCAATAAAATGTGGTGGTGACAGAAGTAGAGGCCTCCCTGATGTTTTCGTGTGTTGGCTTGCTGTCTTGGTCTCCCGCCATTCATCAGGAGAGGAACATTCCCAGGTAGGCACTGACCCAAAGACTGTGAGCAGAACTGAACCAAACCCACAACCTTGAGTGAACCAAGCCCAGCCAGTGCACAGCAGGATACAGAGCCATCTCTCCTTACCCTTAGGCCCTGGAAAAGTAAACTAAATGTTTATTATTGCAAGCCACTGAGTTGTGGGGTGACTTGTTATGCTGCCTTATTGAACAATAATTGTTAATAATTAAACATAAATTGACAGATGAATAACAACAGCCTATGCCAGTTGAGCCCTGACCTTGTGCAAGGCACTAGACTAAGGACTTGAGATTCGTGATTTGTTTCGATTCTTACACAGTTTGGAGGGGTGGGTTCTGTTTTCCTATTTTAAAAGTTAGATGACCGGCCTAAAGTGACACTATTAGCAGGTGGTGAAATTGAGATTTAAATCCAGGGCAATCTGATTCTAATACCCATTTTCCAACCTACTACACTGCCTTCCTGAGTTCTCATTTATGTCAGTGTGGAAGGGTTAGGTCCCATTCTTCTACTCATCTTGACTTCTTTTGTATTACATTAATAACTATTTATTGAGTACTTACTACATCGCATGCATTGAATCTGACATACAGTAAACATCCATTGCTTAAATGTAAGTTAGCTACTATTATGAGTTTTACTATGTGGATATGTGAAAAAATTTTAAACAGACAATGAGATATTAAAACAAAAATGGAGAAAAATAATGTGGTCCTACGAATAATATATTTTATGTAACTAAAGAAAGACATCACCCATAATTGTTCATGTTACATAATTGATTGCCAACAAATAAAATCTCAGAGGTTTAATTTTGTTTTCAGAGCAAGGAAATTAATTTAAAACCTAGGAAACATTTTACCATCTTTCTCACTGACATCTTTTATATTCCAAATTACCTCTTGAACCCTAAGCTTGTTTTAAAAACAAAACCAAAGAACTCCCCCAAACATAACATATAATCCTCTCTTTCTCTCTTGTTCTCTCTGCTTCTAATCCTTCTAACCTGAGAAATTAAATGGAGAGCAGAAAGTTTTTGGATAGAGAAAAATTCCTATATGCTAAAATAATATTCTAGAGTATACAAGGAAAACATTCTTTTTCATAAATAATTTTTGAAGGTTTTAACAATAAAAAGGGACAAAGTATCTAGATACCAACCACTAATTGCCTAGTTCTAGGAATCTTAACATCATACATTTAAGTAAATCACAGAAAGTGTTTGCAATGTCCCTGGTTACACAGCTAGTAATGTTCAATGGAGACTTAGAATCAAGGTTCTCCTGACCCAACAAATTGGGCATCTTGTTTTGCTGGCATCAGGTCAGAATTAGGAAAGTGATCAAGTTATTCTGGGTCTACAGTCATAAACAAAAACACCTACAAAGGTCATTAAGGTGAGGTAAATTAGTGGAGGTGGCTGTGATCAGACCACAGGGAGTGGAGAGGACCATGGGGAAATGGAGAGGCAATTGCTGTGGCAGGCACCATTGACTGCCCATCCACAAGTTATTCCTGACTTGCTAACACAGACCTGATTTTATTCAGGTGATAGTGTTCCCAACCCCAGGGAATAGATCAGCACTAGTGTAAACAAATCATGGGTAATCCCATTATGTTTTGCTGATAGCTAGAGGTGGCCATCTGACTTAGCTCTGGCCAGTGAGAACAAAGGAAAGACCATACCTTAGTTCTAGGGAAAATTTCTCTTCCTGAAAAATAAAAGAATAGATGGGCAAGGAGCACCCCCACGTTTTATTTGTTCTTTTTTTTTTTTTTTTGCCAAGGTCTTAACTCTGTCACCCAGTCGAGACTGCAGTGGCGTGATCACAGCTCACTACAGCCTTTACTTCTCTGGCTCAAGCAATTCTCCCACCTCAGCTTCCCAAGTAGCTGGGACTACAGGTGTACACTAAACTTTAGCCCATCTAAAGGTTTTTGGGGTTTTTTTGTGTGTGTATTTTTGGTAGAGACAAGATTTCACCATGTTGCCCAGGCTGGTCTTGAACTCCTGAGCTCAAGCCATCCACCCCTGCTTCAGCCTCCCAAAGTGCTGGGATTACAGGCATGAGCCACTGGGCTTGGCCAGAGCACTCCTGCAGCACTCCCTTGAATGACCTCTTTTCCTCTTTACTGATGTGGTAAGAGATTAACCAAAAAAAAAAACAAAAAAACAAACCAATAAACAAAAAAACATTGAGGATGGCAGCAAATGATTGATAGAAGATACCACTGTTAAGCTCTTGAATGAAAACTGGACAAACCCTATCTCCAGAGTCTTTGTTGAACAAGCAATGAATATCCCTGTGGTTTAAACCTCTATTACTTGCAGCAGAATATATTCCTAACTGCTCTGTTTCCCAACAAAAATAGGTTTCTCTGACTATTGAATGTGGAAACGCAGGCCCAGAGTTGCCACATTTTCTAATAAGCTTAAAGTCTGGATTTTTTTTAACATGTAAAATCACCTGTTTTAAAAATACTGGCAACTAAATCAAATTAGTAAAATATTGTGCATACCCCACAAAAGATACCATCAGGCCAAAGAGCTGTAATTCTTGAGGGCTGTGCATATCAAGTTTGTAAACTCTGCCCTAATTTAATCACCCTGTTTGTTGGTTGGTCTTACAGCAACCTCACAGAAAAAAAAAACAATCAAAAAGCAATTATTATGAGCGCTGAATCCTGCAGATATAATAATCCAGATTTGCCTTCCTAGACTCAAGAAGAAAAGGAATGGCTTCTCCATAAAACTAGGCTTGGATTTAAAAAGAAAGTTGAATTATTCAGTCATAGAGAAGATTGAATCTGTTCAGACATTTCAGTGGGTCTCTTTTCCAAATTGATTTGTCATTCTTTTGATAGGATCTCAGAAACTGATTACAGAGCTACTTGGAACTCAGGGTTCATGCAACTCTCATCAAAACAGGAAGGATAGAAGGCTCTTTATATGTCAATAATCAAACCAGAGACCTCCTGCTACTGCCAGGTTTATTGTGTGGCTTCAGATACTGCCCTTGAGTGGAATAAAAATAGCAGCAATGATAGCAACAGCAAATAATAACAACAATGACCTCCATCCAATCAAAGTATTGAAATGTATCTCTGTTGATTTTATACTGGGGGACTGCCCTCTCCTGCTCCATTTGGTACTGATGAAACTGTAAATCCCAAGGACTTGCCTATCTTCTACACGCAGGGGAAAGCACATGACCCAGGTCTGGCCAATTATCTTCCTGTGTGATTGGTTGGAGAGATGCACATATAGAAAGATGGGCATGGTCAAAGAGATGGGCACATGGGAAAATCAGAGTCCCTTTTATGAGCATCATTGTATGAACAGAGAAGCATAATCTCTTGCCTCCTCTATCATCTTAAACTGTGAAGAAGAGTGCTGTGCAACACCAGACACCACGTAACCATCACATGCATAAGACGTGTCTTAAAAAAAGAAAAGCCAAGTGATTTGTGTGTAGCCTAGAGTTAGGGACAGAGCCAAAGCCCAGATGACAGCACTTAAATTCCTGGATCTAACTGTGCCTGAAAGAAGCTTACCTCTTGGATGTTTCAATTAAGTAAGCCAATGAATTGCTGGAGAAATATTGCTAGAGAATGGTAACAAAAGGTAATGATTAAGCAACTGAATGTAAACCATAATTAATGGCATAGAATGGTAGAAAAACCATTTTAATCTATATGCCTGCTAGACAACACTCAAGAAAAGGACAAGGAGTGTTTTTAGGAGCTACAACCAAAAGAAATAAGTAATGCAGTACATAGAGATGATACATGATAATTAAAGAAACTCAAATACCCCTGCTTCATATTTTTAACAAGTGACCCTATCTTGAACTATCTGTCTTCTTTCTACTCTTCTTTCCCCCCTCTACCTCCAAGTAAGATGTGTATTTTGCAGACACAAGGATATGACCTCCAGTGGGTGAGCTCCATGAACAGGCATCTTACAAGCCAGAAAAACCTTGACTCTTTCTTAAGTCTTGTTCCTTGTTCATTGTTAACAAATTATATTATTTCACTGGCAAGGAGGAACAAACATTTTATCCATTCTGAACACAGGCTTTAGGGTCAGGTAGATTTTGTTTGGCTCTGTACATAACTAGCTATGATACTCAGATAAGTTACTTAAAACCCTAGGATCCTCAGTTTTCTCGGAAGCAATACATGTTCTGGTGAGTATTCCACAAGGTACTGTGTGTAAAAGTGTGCAGCACAATGCCACGCATATTCTACAAGCTCAGTCAAGAGGTGTTCAGCACTTAGTCCCCTTTTCCTCTATTATCTCCTCTTTGTTCTCAGGTTGTTTCTTAATCTCTTGATTTGCATTTCTAGTTATTCCCTCCTTTATCAAAGTTTTGTCTGACCTTATTTTGTGTTCCATAGATATAGTGTTTATTTTCTTTTAATTTTTATGTATTTATTTATTTTTATAGTCTGTCTCTGTCACCCGAGCTGGAATGCAGTGGTGTGATCTTGGCTCACTGCAGCCTCCACCTCCTGGGGTCAAGCGATTCTCCTGCCTCAGCCTCCTGAGTAGCTTGGCTTACAGGTGCCTGACACCATGCCCAGATAATTTTTTCGTATTTTTAGTAGGGAAGGGGTTTCATCATGCTGGCCAGGCTGTTCTCAAACTCCTGACCTCGAGTGATCCACCCTCCTTGGCCTCCCAAATTGCTGGGATTCCAGGTATGAGCCATCGCTCCCGGCCTCCCATAATATATTATAGCATGCTGGAGAACACATGCTTGATGGAGTGGTGTTCACAAAATCCTCTTCCAAGACTTATGCCTTGAGCTCCCAAATTGTATCTCCAGCTGCTGCTTTCAAATTTACACTTAGATGTCCACTATGCATATCAAATTTAACACAAAAGAAATAGATCTCTCAATTTTCTCCGTATCCTTGATCCCATTATTTCCTTGGTCTTCTCCATGTGAGAAAATGGCACCAAAGTCTACCCCGTGTCCAACGTATTTTCTCCTCTATTCATTTCCCATAACCATCCAAGTCATCAGCACTTTTCCTAAATATATTATGTACCCCATATTCTTTTCTTACTGCCAATGTCATTATCCTAGTTCAAGCCACCATCACGTCTTACTTGGTCTCCTAAAGTCTCAACTAGTCTATTATGGAGTTCAGAGTTGGCCGAAAGTGGTTACCATGAGTTCTTTCTGATATCAACAGGACTGACCTCTAACATCATGACTGTTTTTTCTTTTTATTGCACACCTTCAAGATTATATTCAACCAAGGAAAATTTGCTGCAAGCTAGAAAAGTCAAAGCACTATGTCATGAATTTTCTTAATGCAGGAAAATTTCTACTATCAAAAATCCGAGCGTCATGCTGGAAAAGCGTGGGCTGACATCACATGGCACCAGGTCACATATTCTTCCAACTTTAGCCATTCTTTCTAATGTTATTTTCCCACTCCTGCAACACCAGGAGGGAGACCAGCTTCTTAAGCTTATGAGAAGTTTAGGGGAACATGGTGAATTAATTAGACTCTTGTGAAGTTCAATCAATCACTGCTGAAAGCCCTGAAAGGAAAGGCAGCAATCAATCTCAGGTTTCTACAGCTCAAACAAAAGAAAAGCATCTAGGCTACTGGGTTACTAGATATAGAATTTTGAAGACAATAATTCTACCCTCTAGGAACAATAATATTCAATAGTAATTTCTATTATATAACCTATGAATAACTACTAATGTTTATTCATTATTTACTATGTGTTAGGAATTATAAAATGCCTGGCATGCATTATATGA
Source organism: Homo sapiens (assembly GCF_000001405.40). Classification (NCBI taxonomy): domain Eukaryota; kingdom Metazoa; phylum Chordata; class Mammalia; order Primates; family Hominidae; genus Homo; species Homo sapiens. The sequence continues at coordinate 63,052,906 of NC_000003.12, read as the reverse complement.
AAGTGTTCAGCAAAATTAAACAGATTAATAATTGCTGGTAATAATTACAATAACTAATAATGTGTCACACAATCCCACAACAATCCTACAGAGCATTATGATCCCATTTTATAGACTAGGAAACTGAGTGAGACACGCTAAGTAACTTGCCCAGATCCAAACTACTAGTAAATGGCAGAGTCAGAAATAGCTTCAGGTCTCTCAGAATCTAAATACCACAAGTTTTTGCTTTATCGAGTGCCTACTATGTACTGGCACTTAGAATACATGATTTTTAGCTTTCACAAAAGTGCACAAAAAGTAAAATGTATGCACATTTTAAAAAGGAGGAAATTGAGTCTCCAAGAGGTTAAGTGGCCTAAAGCCAGACAAAACATAGTTCAGCTGTGATTTAAACGTAGCGCAGTCTGATTCCACAGCACTTTTTTTAGTAGATTATATGTCTATGTATACACAGTAGCTTTATTTTTTCAGTAGATATATATGTATACACATGCATGTGTATGTGTAGTTTGTTAAAACTATTCAGCTGAATTTATTAAAAAGAACCCTATTTTCTTTGACTGCTGGAGACCACAGGATTTGTATCATTCTCCCGAGAGTACAATGTCTATGCTAATTAACATGGAGCTCAGGAGTGAAAACCAGAACGCTGAGCCCCAAATTTGTGCTGGATAAAAGTGCTGCTGACCTGCTTCCTGTTCCCCAGTGAACTTCCAAGCCCTTCACTCTCCCGGTGAAACCTTCCTCCTCCTCCCACCTCCCCTCTGGGAACCAATGCCAGCAATGTGTGTGGAATGACTCACTGAAACGTTGTAAAATGAACAGATCTTTCTGAGGCTGTCAGCCAATACTGAGAAATTTGGTACAGACCATCAACCAAATGGAACTTGATTCATTTATATTAGGATGACGGGAATGAGTCAACTCTCAGGAGCCTCAAATCTTTTATTTCAATTAGTTCAAATAATGTAAAGCAAATGCTTTTAAACCACTAAAATTCAACAAGCTGCCCACGTCTTCCCATAAATACACCACCCCATCCCTCTTTGCCTTTTCACAGACACAGGAAATTGCTGAGGTCCAAGGATAGCCTTTGACTGGGATCATCTTCCTACTAATAGGGGAACTGACGCCTACAGTTGCCAATATTCTCACTCTGTTAGCCACAATCTTTTTCATAAGACTACCCCAGGTGAAGATCTCAGAAAATTAAAATTAGAAATCACCTCTAGAATGGAAAACAATGTGGTTTGGAGTAATTCTTGCATCCTGGAAAAAGCCATGAAATTCCAAATATTTATTATTCATTACATGAAGAGTTTTGCTCCATTTTATTAATTATAATGTAGAGGTTAAGAACACAAATACTAAAATCAGACAGACTTGGGTTCAAGTCCTGGGTCTACCATTTACTAGCTGTGTAGACAGAGTTTTCTTCAAAACATCTCACATGATTTCTCTCACTTATAAAGTGGGACTAACATTAGTTCTTAGTTCATAGGCTTTTTTAAGATTAAATGCGATACATAGCTTGTTAAGCGCTTAGAACAACATCTGGCACATTATGAGTGCTCAACAAGTGTTATGTATTGTCCTTGTGATCATCCAGGTATATGACAATAATCTCTTTGCTGTAAACAAGAGAATCCAGCATAAACAGAATTAAGCAAAAAATAAAAATAATAAAATAGAATTTGGTGACATTGATTTACAGGTCTAGAAAATTACCAGGTTCAATGACAGCTGGACTCAGAAGCTCAATCTATATCATCAAAAATCTGAGTACTCAATTAGCAGCTCACATTTATCCTTGGAAAGAGAATCGTCATTTTCTAACAGTTTCAGTAAAATCCAGAGGCCTATCACATCCTGGGCTAAAAGTCTTACCTAACCATCCTCTACTAATCGTTGTGGCTCTTACTGACCAGGCCTGGATAATCTCACAGTGGGATAGAACAAACTCCACTTGAACTCTATGGTCTGAGAGTAGGAGAGAAATGCATCCCCAAAACAAAATTAAGATGCCACTACCAGGAGAAGTGGGGGACAGAAACGCAAAGTTAGCAGATGTTCACTCAAGTCCCCAGTAGTCAAAACCGGCTTGAGATGTAGAGTGTAAGACGGGTAAGTGATTCATCATGTAGAAATCAGAAAACTTTAAAGATGACAGGAAGTGTCTCCTTTTTCTAAAAGCCACTCTCCGTTCTGAATTCATTCGTAATACACTGAGTCAAGTAAGTCATCTTTAGACTATTTTAAATTATTTTCAAGGCCGCTGCTATAATATGGCTGGCCACATACAGGATGGCATTTCACAGTTCAGTTAAACTCACTTCTAAATGTATAAAAGTCTGAAGAGACAGTTCCCCTGTGGAAAGAAAGGTTACAGCCTACATCTCTGTGCACATTCTTTATTTAATTCTCAACCCTGAAAAGAGTAGGTATTATTACAGGCTGAGTATGTCTTATGAAATACTTGGGACCAGAAATGTTTCAGAGCTCAGATTTTTCCATATTTTGGAATACTTGCATTATACTTACCGGTTGAGCATCTCTAATCCAAAAATCTGAAATTTGAAATGCTCCAATGAGCATGCTCAACCTGTATCACCATTTTACAGATGAGGAAACAGAGGCTTGGCAAATTTAAGTGAATTACTAAAGCCATGGAAGTGTGAATGTGGTCCATTGTGTTTCTCATCCAAACCTGTCTGACTCCAAAATTTATACTTTTCCTACAACAGTTGGCCATCACGTTTCTCAGCAAGAGCCATGAGTAGTTTTCTCCCTTTTTTTCTTCCTTTTCCCATATTTGGAGTGCTTTGTAAAGGAGGTAGAATGGTTCTGAGTGAATCTGAGTCTCCACACATGGAATCATTTGTAATGACACCAAGTACAGGTGAAAAAGCAATTTCACAATTGCTGAGGCTCTGCCACTTTTAGCAAGCAACCACCCTCTTGGAATTGGAATGTCTACCTCTCCATCTCAGGTCAAGGCTGGGTGCTTTTAAAACAGCTGAAGAAAATTCTGCCATTTTGAGTTAAGCAAGTGTGAGAAATCCAACATCGTCCATTCACAAAGAGCCTGTATGATGTGTGTGAGGTGGCATAAAGACACACACACACATACACACAGTGTATCAGCTAGCTACACTGCAAAATTAGAAGTAATAGCAAATATGATATTTTCAGCCTACAGAGTTTTCTCTCAAGCCTACAACCAACACAAGAAGTAACAATGAATAAAAATTCCCATTCTTTCCTCATTTTAAAGCAGTCCATGAAGTGCAGAAATTGGCTTTGTAAAACGTTTGGTGTCCAGTGCATAGTAGTATATATACATATAGCACTTGCTCAATAAATAATTGTTCAGTGAGAGAAAGAACAACTTATACAGCTATGCAATTCCTTAGAGTTAGGCAATTTCTTCTAATATTGCTGTCATGTGTAAGTAATGTTTAATGTTTAATTTCTTAGTTTCCTCATAAGCAGTTCATGAGACAAGGATTAGAATTAAGTAGCTGGAGAGGCAATTTCAGGCAGCACCAAATAAAAAGAGAGAGTAAGTAAAATATGGCAGGCAGAAAGCTAATAAATGGTGCTTTTGTGCACAAGTGACCACTGTGGGCAGGTGGAGTTAGATGCCCCCAGGAACACTGAGGAGCAGTGCAGACCCTAGAGATTCATCTCCTCCCATCCTTCCTTGCTTGAGACCTGTTCCTGGAGGTGTGGCATTCACTGTCCAGCACTTGCAGTCTGTCCTATGCATGAGCCTGGCACACTCCTGTGGCCAGAGAAAGCCCTCGGGCAGTTGCAGGTTCCCGAGATAGGATGCCATCACTTGTACCAGAATGTATGCATGTTTGCTATAGCTTCCAAAATGACCCCAACAGTGTCTCCATCTCCCGGTGTTCACCCTCTTGTATGATCTTCTCACCTTGACTGTGGGTTAAACTGAGTGACCTGCTTCTAAGGAATAGAATACGGCAAAGTGATGCAATGTCACTTCTGGGATTAGGCTACAAGAAGACTGTGTACTCACTCTTGATCACTCTCCCAGGCTGGGAAAAGCTAGCTGCTTTGTTATGAGCTGCCCTATGGAGAGGACCATGTGACATGGTGAAAAACCAAGGCTCTCAGACTAACAGCCTGGAGAGACTAAAGCCTGTCAACCACCATTCAAGTGAGCTTGAAAGTGAATGCTGTCAGCATCAGGACAGTCTCAAGATGACTGAAGCCCAGGCTAACAGCTTGGAGGCAGCCTGTGAAGTATTCTTAGCTAGGGGCACCATGCAAAAGCACACCCAGTTTCCTGACCTACAGGAACTATGAGATCATAAATATTTGTTGGCTCAGGCTGTTAAGTTTGAGGGTAATTTGATACACAGGAGTGTATTACTAATATAGCTGCACTATGACAACCAAAACTTTGATCATTTTCTGATGATGAAGTAAGAGTTTCAGAAGAGGTCTTGGCTTGTCTATACTATCAAGGCACACTGTCTATAGTTTTTGTAAGATTTTCTTTTTTCATTTCGTTTTGGTTTGTGTTTGAGGCAGCGTCTCACTCTACCACTCAGGCTGGAGTGCGGTGGTGCAATCTCAACTCACTGGGCTCAACCTCCCTGGGCTCAGGTGATCCTCCCACCTCAGCCTCCTGAGTGCTGGAACTACAGGCATGTGCCACCATGCCTGGCTTATTTTTGTATTTTTTGTAGAGGCAGGGTTTTGCCTCTTTGCGCAGGCTGGTCTTGAACTCCTGGGATCAAGCAATCCACCTACCTCAGCCTCCCAAAGTGCTGGGATTACAATGCATGAGCCACCATTCTCTGCCTGTAAGACTTTCAGAGAAGAAATTTAAGCAAGTCAGTGGAGATCTTGCTCAAATTTCTGTATTTTTTATTGATTTAATTGGGTCTAACTTACCATCTAGAACAATGACTTGTGTACTGGTCACAGTAACTGAAGTTATAACCTGGACAAAAATATTTGAACTAAAATGTGTTACAGCCAAATGAGAATCAATTAACTTTACACAATTGATTCCTGACTCTTAGTGTTTAGTATGTGCTTGTCAAAGCTATTGAGTAAAACCTTTAGTCCTGCTACTTTTATTTCTGAAATAATTAAAGCTAGGCAGTCATTAAATGACACGAAGTCTGGATGTTTACAGTACTGAAATACAGTTTGAGAAGTTACAAGTTTGAGGCCAGAGAGATTTGTTTCTTAACGAAGCACAGAGTCACCCTTATGTCAAGCTTGAACATACTACCCTGTGCTGAAAGGGTATATTTAGTAAGCCAGTATTATGGAATGTACCTACTTTGATTGCCTTCTCTTCACTTTGTTACTGAGGGAGGGATTCCCATCTTAGGGTTATGGGGATGGTCAAACAGACGTCGCTTGACACTGGACAGGTGAGATTGACAGCAGTTTACTAGTGGTATATACTCACAGCCCAGGGGAGGGGGACACCATAGGCCACACAGGGCCACATGGGCTACACTTGAGAACAGAGTGAACAACTAGGGGCTGTGGAAGGCAGGCTTTGTAGTTTCAAGAGGGTGGGGTGACCCTTGGTTCCTGTGGGAGGGTGGGAGGGTGTGGTTAGCTTGTTTGAATATTTCCATGCACTGCAAGGAACTGAAACCTGATACTCAGTGATAAGCAGGAACTGCATTTGGTCCATTTAACAAGAAGGATTGTTTGGCCAAGGGACTTTACCTGCAAGAGAAGAGTGCGGAGTATAACTTGCATTGAGGCCATTTGAGGCCTTCCTGATTTTACCAGATGTCAAGAGAGCACATAATGTTAATTTTAGGCTTTGCCTTGTAATATCCTTGGGAAATTTCCACTCAAAGTTCCCAGGAGTCTCTGTTCACAGTTCCTCTTGAGACGTCATGGGATAAACAGACCCTATAAGCTGTTATATTTAAGTAAGCCATAATAAAATTTACATACCCTTTACTTGAAGTTAGGTCAAATACCTACAAAAGGATACACACGTTGCTATTACAAATTCCCTGCTTAAAGTCCTTCTTGGTTTAGAAAATCCACTTGCTCAGTTTTTATGACTTTACAGAGGAAAGTCAAAGTCACATAGTCATCCCTCAAGGTTGTAAAAGATAGTAAAAATTGTGGTTTCAGTGCATGCAGGCCCACAATTTCCGCCCTGAAGGAACCTGAAAGGGAGTTGGGATAGCTCCTCTGCATTTACCTGGTCTTGTTCGCAGTCACAACTGCAGAGTGAAAGGCAACCCTACGTTTCCCACTCCCCACATTGAGACCACTCTGCCTGCCCTAGTGCCCAAGACCAACTGAGAACATGAACAATTTAGAAAAAAACAGCTTTAGAAAATTTCTAGATATTGCTGAGCACTGGATTTGATAGGGAATAAAGGTATAGCAAATACCTTTTGGCAAGTCTCTGTTCCTTCTTAATGCTTTTGAGTACAATAAACAAACTGTCACGTACAATATTGCTCCAAGAGAGGAGACATCCTTAGTTGGGATAAAGGACACCTTGATTATATAGTCAAGGAAACAGAAACCCGGAAGGGCAAAGTATTGCTCAAAGATCCCACAGCTGATTAGTGGCTTTAAAAAGGTTCTATTCCCTAGGACACTTGGCAATGTGCTCAGAAGAACAAGGTGTCAATGTTGGAGTAAATTTAATCTGAATTCTAATCTTAGCTCTCCTATCCACCAAGAGTGACACACAGAGCAAGTGATTTGAAGTCTCTGAGCCTCAGTGTCTTCCTCTGTATGAAAGACTCAACAAAATACTTCTCCTGACATATGATATAGAATATATGTGTATACACATATATTCACACTTACATCTATATTTTTTACTTTTATCGAGGTAAAATTAGAAACAGTAAAATGCCCAAGATCAACATAGTTGAGCCATAATTTGATGGCTAGATGTGCGCGACTCCAAATTCATGATGCACGTAGTTTCTCGTTTAAGGGCAACCACCCTACAAATATAACCTTTTGGAATGTTTTAGTACCTACACAATCACAGATAGAGATATATCATTAGAAAAACATACTAGCAATATATTAGGAATTAGAAATTAATAAATTTTCACCAGTAACACTGACAGTGTCTTTATAGAATTTTAAAAATTAAATCTTTTATAGAATTTTAAAAATTTATTTAACAAATAATTGCTACATGTCTATTATGCCTACCATGTGCCAAGCACTGTTCTAGGTGCCAAGAATACAGCATAAACATAAAGAAACAAACAAAAAGACAAAATGCCCTACCCTCACTCAGCTTAAATCTCAATGGACAGGGAGAGATGCTATAATAAATAAGAAAATAAATTCTATTAAAACACAGATGGTGGATAGGAAGTGCTACGGTTAAAAAGCAGGGAAAGAAGATAAGGGTTGCTGAAGGGGGGTACAATTTAAAATATGGAGATTTAAGAAGAATTGTCTGAGAAAGTGACATTTAAGAAAAGACCTGAAAAAGTTAAGAGATCAAGGTGTTCCAGGCATAGCCTACAGTAAGTGCAAAGGCCCTGGACCAGAAGCAAAGCTCTGATGTTATGACCCAGGAAGAACAAAGAGATCAACGTGGCTGAGGGATATTAGCAGAAGAGAGTAATAGAAGAGGCCAGAAATGTATGGCAGGTGCAGATTGTGAGGGATTTGCAGGCAATGGTGAAGGCAATGGCTCCTAGTCCAAGTGAGATGGGAAAGCTAGAAAAGAGAAGTGGTATGGTCTGAAGTATGTGTTAAAAGATCATTCTGTCATTCTGGTTGCTGGGTTGAGAATAGATGGGGGGATGTGGGATAGAAAAAGGGAGAACCAGGTGGAGAGCTACTGCAGAATCCGAGTGAGAGATAATGTTGGCTTATCCCACAGTGGTAATAGTGGAGCTAGTGAGAATTATGAAAAAATTTTGAAGGTAGAACCAACAAGACATGATTAGTTGGGAGGAGTAAAAGAAAGGGAAGGGTTGAGGGTGACTCCAAGTTTTTGGCTGGAGCAACTAGAAGGAGGGAGCAACACATATAAGTACTATGAGAGGGGCAGATTTGCATGAGCCAGGTAATATGGTTTGGCTGTGTCCCCACCCAAATCTCATCTTGAATTGTAGTGCCCATAATTCCCATGTGTCATGGGAGGGAACCAGTGGGAGGTAATTGAATCATGGGGAAGGTCTTCCCCATGCTGTTCTCATGATAGTGAATAAGTCTCACAAGATCTGAAGGTTTTATAAAGGGCAGTTCCCCTGCACAAGCTCTCTTGCCTGCCGCCATATAAGATGTGCCTTTGCTCCACAATTGCCTTCCACCATGATTGTGAGGCCTCCCCAGCCATGTGAAACTGTGAGTCTGTTAAACCTCTTTCCTATATAAATTATCCAGTCTCAGGTATATCTTTATTAGCAGCATGAGAACAAACTAATATACCCGGGATGGGAAGTTAAGAGTTTTCAGATACATTAAATTTAAAATTCTTATTAGTCAACCAAGTGTAGGTTTCAAAGATGCAGTTGTGTAGGAGTCTGAATTTTAGGGCAGTGGGCCAGACAAGAGATTTAAATGTGAGGAGCAGGACTTGAGCTCTGGGGCTTTCACTGTTAATGGCAAAATGAGAAGGAACCAGCTCTAACAGCCTCATTTGTCTCTTCTTTATGATCTACAGAGATCTTAGACTTTGTATTCTCCCCAAAGTGTGTTCTCTTCTGAACTGTTTCTCTGTAGGGTTGAGGAAAGGCCCAGATGGAAAGCCTGGCTCTTGAAGAATGGTTCTTGGGCAAGACAGAGGCAAAATAGCAGACACCTATGTTAGTTTTCTGTAGCCCAAGTCCAAGCTGCCACTGACTTAGTGCCCCTTAACTTCAGGCACAATGGAGGGAAAATGACTTGTTTATTTAGGTGTGGGGGACAAAAAGAAAGCAGCACCAGTCACCCAAGTGCCCATTCTCCCACTCCCGTACTCAGGACTTATGCTAAAGCCCTGTTTTTTTCCACTAGAGAACTGCTTATAGTGGATGCAGTGAAAAAAACTCCTCCTTGAGGATGACTCAGCTTCTCTGGTCTTCTGCCAAGCTCCTGTTGAAGAGGGAGTTGGAGGAGGCTCCAGACAGTGAGGACAGAGCACCTGCACAGGAAGGTTCTGTGATCAGGACTTCCACCTTTAGCAGTTTTTTTTCCCCCAGTTCACCTACATACTAATGGCTCATCTTTCTCCAGCATGCATTGTGCATCACATACACAAAGTGCCATCTTATAGCTGAGAAAAGAAGCCATAGAGCTGTCAGGTAATGCATTCAAGGCTGTTCTGAGCTTGTGCTCTTAACCACTACAGGTTGTTACAACTTTGGCCTTTCTGATCAGAAACAGATTCTTCCTGGTGCCTCCAAGAAAGAAGGTCTTTACAGTAAAAACTCAAGGCTCGCTCTCTCTCGCGCGCGCTCTCTCTCTGCCTTTCTTCCTCCTTAGACCTTTTCAGAGAAGAAGGATAATGGCTTAGCTGCCCACTCTTTTCTAAGGAGACAAGTTCAAGGGGGCAAAGGGCAAAGGATAGTTTTAGACAAATTGTTTGCCCTTTATAAACCTACCTTTGATATAGAGTTGGGAGCTGCAAACTTGCTTGTATTTTGAACCCAAACCGTGGTTAGTATGAATTTGCTTCTTTTCTTAGGAGAGAAAAACCAGTGTTATCCAGATTTAAAAATCCCTATGCTGAGCCCGATACATATTTCACCATTTCGTCTCAGCTCCCCAGTGTATATAATTGCTGTTGGAAAGATACAGATTCTCCCAGGTGAGAGCATCTGCGTTGGAAGCTACAGGAATGCAGGGGCCTCCTAGCTATGAATCCCCACCTTCTCTGTCACCACCAGGGCCCTGAGTCATACTCTTCCCACATCCAGAGTAAAGAATGATTTTTTACCCCCAAAGGAACAATGTTTCTGTATTTATAAATCCAAGAGATTCAGACACATCTGCTCTTATTTACACAAATTCTGTTGTGGCTGTTAAATTGCATATGCTATTTTCATGAAACTTTATCTTAATTTCATTACCAGCCTGAGTAATCATGTGATAATTGCCTGATTTCCAAGTAACTGGGCAAAAATGTTATTTAGCTTTTTCTTTTAACTTTTTTCTAAGACTCATGATTTTAATAAAATATTGTGCATCTACTCTCCTAAATGAAAGCCAAAGTAATATATTTGCAAGCTACTTAGGTGTCTATGTTTGAAGAGAAAATGGTTGACTTTACCTTACAGAGAGGGTTATTAATGGTCATGGGTGATGGTCAAATTCAGGCATAGAGAGTCACATGAAAGTACATTCGAAGTTAAGAAAGACGCCCTGGAAGAAAGAGCTCAGGATTTGGCATCAGACAGACTTGAGTTGGCAGCCAACTGCCTTCATGAACTAGCTAGTTGCATTATCTTCTCTGAGCCTTACTCCTCTCATCTAGAAAATGTGTTTAAACAACAACAAAAAATCAATCTTCTATAAATCTCAGAGGTGAGTGCTAGGGATGGTGTCTAGCACATAGTATGTGCTTGATGAATGGCAGCTCTTATCATTTGTATTAGCTTCCAAACCAGTGCATACTGTGTTACATTCAAACTACTTGAAGAAAATGGGCTGTGGGCTATTTTCGTTGTTGTGAGAGATTTCATTCAATTCCTCTGACTGGGACAATGTTCTATGTTTTTGATTGCACTACAATTCCCTTGTTGGAAGAGGAAACCAGAGCCATTGTGTTGCACATCAGCATTCCAGAATATGCAGTTCCCATCATAGTCTATAGGAAGCACCTCCCTTGAAAGTAACTGGGAGGAACTTACCCTCAACTCAGTAACCTACATAGACCTCAATAGTCTCTGTCTTATTTTCCAGGCTGACACCATTCTAAACACCCAGTTACTGGCAGGATTTGGGACCACCTGGAATCTTGATGCTGTCACCCTATGGCTCCAAGAAGTCACAGCCTGAAATTCTACTATTGTCATACGCTACTCACCAGGCTTAACCTCCTTAGATATGACCTCGGTTTAAATTATCCTGAGTCTGTTATGACCCATTGAAGATCTTCCTTGAAATTGTCACTGGGAATGACAAGTCCTACATCCTACAATCTGATTGGCTGCTGTCTAGCCCCAGCTCTGCGAAGCCTGTCCTACTTTTGAGATCCAAATGTCCACCACAGGCTATATGTGCATGACACTTCCTTTGGTTTCTGTTTCTACTTTGAATTGAGAAGTAAGCAATGGATTTCTAGTCCTAGGTCTTCTACAAACAAAATGTGTGATTTTGGACAAGTGCTATACATGGCAAAATGATCATAAAGTCCTCTCATTTCTGTTTCCATACTCATTTGTAATGTGATGTTATCACATCAAGAGGTGTAAATCTATTTCTCCTAAGCATCATGTCATGGTTCAATCAATGGAACATTAGCAAAACAATGCAAATAGAGGCTTGAAAAGTGCTTGCCCATTGGACTCTGCTCCCTCTGGCTGCTGAGACCCATTCTGCCATGTATGAGCAATTCAGACTAGCCTGCTGGATGATGCTGAATTTAAACCTATAGCCAGACTGAGTGAATGATGCCCAATGGACCATCCATTCTTCCAACTGCCAAGAATGTGAATGAAGCTATTCTAGATGACACAGCCCAAGTCAAGCCAACCGAGGTCACAAAATTTACCCAGACAACCCATAAAATTATAGGTAAATAGAAGGTGGTTGTTTTAACCCAATAATGTTGGAATAGTTTGTTAAGTTGCTAAAGCCAACTAAGAGAGTAAGTCAGGTTTTTCCCCCTCTGATTCTCTTCCTACATCTTGAAACTGTGGGTATTGAACTAGATCTGTACTGGTAAGTACAGGACACAGGTACCATCATCCTCCTAACAAAGACCATATGAAGCATTAATAACAGATTACAGTACACTTTCTCATTGAACCCAGAAACCTGATAGAATGCTTCTCATTCCAACACACTGGGGGCTACCCTTAATCCATAGTGTTGGAAGTGGGATGACACCATTTGCCAACTGTTTTAAACTAGCAATTCCCAACCCTGACTAATTATTAGAATCACCCAGGGAGAGGTGTAGAACTTCATGTTGCCTGGTTCTTGAAAATCACATTCAGTAAATTTGGATCAGCCTAGAAATCTGTATTGGTTGAAAGCTTTCCAGGTGACTCTTACGTTGAGACAGGTTTGGAAACAGTAGACTGAGTGATTTCTGAGGTGATTTCCAACTGTATCCCATGATTATTTTGAGTGAAGCATTGTCCTTAATCTTTTACTGGATTAGATAATGACAATATGTTCTATCCATAAGTATTCCCATGTGAACATGCATGTGAATCTTCAGATGAATCACCCACACCACTTAGAGTAATCTAGGTTTCTCTGTTTATATTCTCCTATTAGTATGCAATAAGTAAGCCAGAAAAAGAAGATTCTCTTAGGCATTCAGAGTAAATAAAGGAGAGAGGTGAAGGATTCCAGATTCAGGGAAAGGTAATTTAACTGGTATATTCCCTGGGGCATAAGCCATGGATCCTGTTCTGAAAGACTTTGCAGCATTATTAAAAC